>NC_000023.11:13349609-13652639 GCF_000001405.40 Homo sapiens
GTGATCCGCCCGCCTCGGCCTCCCAAAGTGCTGGGATTATAGGCATGAGCCACCTTGCCTGGCCAGGCTTCCTTTTAAATCCGCTTCAGGAGACGCAGATGGAAGGAGAAAGGCCGAAGCACAAAGGCTCCCTATCAACACTTACAGAACTGCTGTTGCTTTTCTCTCTGGCTTTAAGAGAGATCACCTACAAAATCGTATTTGTGAAAGCTGAATCTGGCTGCCAAAGAATCCAGGGCTTGAAGCTAAATCTCTAAGGTCATGAATTGTCTTCTTATGCACTCCATGCCAGTCAGAACTCACCGATGTGCAGAGAGAGCTCACATCTTACCATTTCACAAACTTCATCAATAGCACATCTATCTCCCCAGGGCTCTGCACATTGCCAGAGAATCCCATCACCCTGAATTATTTCCCTTCTCTCTCCTTCCTCCTTCCTCCTTCATCCTAGACCCTCTAACTGCTCAGTAGACTCCAGTAGACTCTTAACCAAGCCCCACCCCCAGAGAACTGGTTTCCAAAGATGGCTTGGAGACAGTATGCCCAATTCCACAGTAGATTACAGTTTTTTGTTTCATTTTGTGTTTATCGGCAAAATGACATATAGGTCACTTCAACTTGTGGAAAATTCCTGATCCACTACAAGTATATTCAAATAAATCTTTCAGAAGTAGGAAATCTTATTACAAGCTACCCTCATGCACAGTGAACAGGGAAAGGAAGTGGGCTAGAACAAGAAGTCTGCTGCAAGGGAGAAATCCAGACTGCTAATTCTACCACATCACCAACTTTCTGTGGACTCACACCAAGGGAATTCTTCTTCCGAGAGCTCAATTTCCGCATGTGTAGAATAAGCTGAGGAGGGTGGGCGAGGGTCTTGGGACCTCCCCTAATCTTCATTGCATGGCCCTGGTGCATTTACTATGGGAAATGAGAATTCAGGCTCTGTCTCTGCCCCACCTATGGTAGATATATGGTCCCTCAAGTCTCCCTTCACCTGAGTAGTCCCATTCATCCAGGCACATCTAGAAGACAAAAATACTATTACTGCTGCACCAACAGCCTGCAGTGATTGGTTTTACTTTTTCAAGCCAGAGCCCAGCTGGCTGTGAAACACCAAAGAGAGGAGGGCTCTGTGTTTATAGCTCAACTATGAAGATGAGTTCACGTCAAGCATATTTGTCAGCTCATCTTATTCTGACACAGGCCCAAAGAACCGGGCTTGTGGGAAGTGCAAGGAGAAGAGTCGGGACTCTGATAAAAAAGATGGGTCTTTTTGAAATATTTGTCCAAGGCTGGTTCTTTGCATATATAAAACACTATATTATTTAAGTCGTCTTCACATTAATGATCTCACTAGAGGCTCAGAGGATAACATAATTCCATTTAACAAATGTGGAAATTAAAACAGAGTTATGAATGCTATACCAAGTTCACACTATTTAGTGAAAGAGGTGGAGCTAAAACCCTAGGGACCTGATCCCAAGCCCAGTCTTATTGCAGCAAATTGGCCCAAACTGTGATCAGGGAACCGTGGCACTGTGGGATGCCAATAGGTGTTATGCAAAGCAAATAATAAATAAAATTATGGAAGAAATTAAAGGCTTCAGGATCAAAAAGATTTGGAAAGTTTTTGATTAAACAAAGTCCAGCATTTTACAGGACTTCTCAGAGACTTGAACATATTATTATCACTGCAAAGTTTCAAGAGTTTGGGATATAGCACTTTCCCAAATCAAGACTACATAACCCATTTTTAGGGATGTTTGACGTAACTAGTATTCTTGAGGACATGCTTTGAGAAACTTTCCTAGGTCAACTGTGGGTTACATCCAGTCGTGAGTGATACCACAGCCCCTTGACCTGGTCATTCTCGAGGCTGAGTGGTATTGCATCTAGGGACACAGAATTAGAACAGAAGCTCATTTGAAATATGGAAAATATTTCGTGTTCATAAATAGTCACTAGTGTTCTCTTTCTTGGTTTTGTTGTTGTTGTTGTTGGTTTTTGTTGTTTTTTGAGACAGTGTCTTGCTCTGTCTCCCAGGCTGGAGTGCAGTGCCACGATCATAGCTCACTGCAGCCTTGAACTCCTGGGCTCAAACAGTCTTCCCTAGTAGCTGGGACTACAGGTGCGTGCCACCATGCCTAGCTAATATTTTTTATTTTTTTGTAGAGATGGAGGTCTCACTGTGTTGCCGAGGCTGGTCTCGAGTTCCTAGGCTCAAGCAATCCTTCCTCCTTGGCCTTCTAAGGTGCTGGGATTACAGGTGTAAGCCCCTGTGCCCATCTTGTCACTAATACTCTCTAGGGGAGGGTCATTCTTCCCCACTCTGTTGATGTTTGACTTGGCCGCATGACTTGCTTTGGTCAAAATATGAGAGTGGACTTGTCACTAATACTCTCTAGGGGAGGGTCATTCTTCCCCACTCTATTGATGTTTGACTTGGCTACATGACTTGCTTTGGTCAAAATATGAGAGTGGACACGACGTGTGGGACTTCTGGGCAGAAGATTTTGAGCCAGCACGCGGTTTGCCATGTGCATTTCCCTCTGCCATCATGACCAACCATGGTTCAAATAGAAATAGCTTCATCAGCCTGGGGCCTGGAGTGAGGAAAATATGGAGGCGAGCTGTTGCCAACCCATGATTGGAAATAGCCCCTGCTGTTGTAAAAGCACTAAGATTTGGGGGCATTTTTTACCAGAGGATAACCTGTGCCAGCCTGACCTTTACAATTTCCAGAACATTTATCATCTCATAATTAAGTATTGATAAGGTATTTCTACAGAAAACATCTATTCATAATACAGAGTATTTGAAAAGTAATCAGAACTCAGCAGAAAATTCAGTGGTCCTAAATTTAGGAGACCTGTTTCTAACCTGCTTGCCTTTGATAATGTCTCTGAACTTCCAGTTTTTTAAAAAACGCCGAAACAGCTCACCTCACGTGATTGATGAGACAATTAAATGGGAAATATATATATATATATACACACACACACACACGCACTTACATATATATGTATATTTTAAACTGTAAGGTGTTAAACGTAAGATATATATTCAGTGTGCTGTCCTGGCTGGGCTGGATTTCAGAGCTCCTGCCTTGTCAACATGAATAGCGTTACCTCCAAGTGAGGAAACAGGAAGTCAGATGCTCTTGATTCATGTCTGTGGTTCCTTTTCATCATATTCCATAAACTTTATAGAAGGAGACTTCCAAATTAACAAATATTGAAGTTTCTCCATCTATCAAGATACTTTGGTCTCTAAGTAAAAGAAATCCTGGCTCAGCTGGGCACAGTGGCTCATACCTGTAATCCCAACACGGGGAGGCTGAGGAGGGTGGATCACCTGAGGTCGGGAGTTCAAGACCAGCCTGGCCAACATGGCAAAACCCCATCTTTGCTAAAAATGCAAAAATTAGACAGGCGTGATCACAGGCACCTGTAATCCCAGCTACTTAGGAGGCTGACAGGAGAATCGCTTGAACCCAGGAGGCAGAGGTTGCAGTGAGCCAAGATCACACCACTGCACTCCAGCCTGGGTGACAGAGCAAGACTCCATCACAAAAAAAAAAAAAAGAAACCCTTGCTCACACAGACTTGAGCAATAAGGATGTATTTCATCTACTAAAACACCATGTCCAGTAGTCAGGTAGTCTATAGACCATCAACAGCTCGTTAATGGCAAAAACTCTGACTTTCTCAGACCCTTCTTTCTACCTTCCTCAGCATCAGCTTGCCCCTAAAGCAGTTTTCCTCACGGTCACTAAATGGCTGCTGGAAGAAATCACATCTAGAAGCTACACACGAGAGAGAGGAGATACAAACATTCCACCCACACACAAGTTGTAAGTCCTTCCTCAGTTTGCAAAAAACATGGGCCAAGGGCTTGATGGACTAACGGTGGAGAAGTCACCTCAGGAGCTCCGATGAGGATATCAGAGCAAAATCAAGATTTGTTAGTAATGAGGAAAAGAGAAACAGGCAAGAAAGTAATACTCTGAAAAGCAGCTCAACAGAAGAAAATCTAGCACCGCATGCATTTCCACAGACCCATGAACTGTTTCAGGTTCAGATTTGCAAACCTGATAACTGGGCATAAGTAATATCTCCTAACACTTAGCTTTACCATCTGTTGCTGACATAACAATTTTACACAATACCAAAAATGCCAGATGGAAGCTACACATTAGCCATGTCCAAGATGTTTCGTGCTCACAACATATATGGAATAGCTTTGTTCCATACACTGTTGAGTTTGTAGTTCTCCACTTATAATTCTGGCCATTGATGGAGAAGGACAACTCCGAAGCTTCCCAATTACGTGCCTCCTTGATCTTTGGAAAGCTGTGCACACTGCTGGCCTCAGAATTTCTATCCAGGATAGACTTAGAAGCTACAATATATTTGGAGCTAGGGGGTGGGGAAGGGATGGCACACATATTTGAAACTGTGTTTGCACAGCGAATACACAGTTTTTATTTTAGAATTTATATTATGGTAAATAAGAATAGCAAAGTTTTCTAAAGATTTTTTAAAATTTTTACTGTATGTAAGATTGAGAAAATGCCAGTTGCCCTTATCGTAGACTAAGAAGTCAGGGAATAGCTATTGCTATGGAGCAAAGGTAATGGAAGAGGTACTAAGGGAAATAAGATTCCTACATAAACCTCCCACCAGCTTAAAGAAGAATATAGAGACTGGGCATGGTGGCTCATGCCTGTAATCCCGGCACTTTGGGAGGCCAAGGTGGGTGGATCGCTTGAGCTCAGGAGTTCAAGACCAGCCTGGGTAACATGATGAAACTTCATCTCTATAAAAAATAGAAAAAATTACCCAGGTATGGTGACACGCTACTGTGGTCCCAGCTACTCGGGAGGCAGTGGCGGGAGGATCACCTGGGCCCAGGGAGGTCTAAGCTGCAGTGAGCCGTGCTCATGCCACTGCACTCCAACCCAGGTGACAGAGCAAAACCCCTGTCTCTAAAAAAAATAAAATGTATAAAGTATAATCAACAATTTCCCCATTTTTATTGTAAGATGTTTTAAACATATATTAATATACAGAGTGATATAACAGATACCCATGTGCTCAACACTCAGATGTAACAGATATTAACATTTTGACATTCCCCAGGCCCTCTTCCTGGTTCCTACCCTTCCTCTTGCTGTGGAGGCCACCCCCATCTGGATCAATCTTCTCCATATTTTACACTATTACCATAAATGCATGTATCCACAGTAAGACTCTAGTTTTGAAAATGGCATCCTATCAGGCATTATGAGGAGCTTGCCTTTTCATTGGTTGTTTTGATGAATCTTACCTATGTTGTTCTAGTTCCCTCGTTTGATTTGCTCTGTAATATTCCATCGCTGAATATAGTACAATCTACATATCTGTTGTTTGGTTGGTGAACATTTAAGTTACTTCCATTTTTCACCATTACAAACATGCTGCAAAAACCAATCTGGTGTGTGATTCACTGTGCACATGTCAGATAACCTCTCTAGGTTAAAGATTCACAAAGGTAGAGTGAGAACTTTCATTCCAGCATGATTTATCAACTTATACCACCAATGTATGAAAGTTTCTTTTCCTTCATTTTGCAAATCTGTTGGCTGTGAAATGGCATATTCTTGTTTAGTTTGCATTTCCTAAAAACTAGAGAAATAGAGCAACATTCCATTCATTTGGTATTCAAGTTTCCTCTTCTGTGAATTTGCTTTTTCATATATTTTGCCCATTTGGAGTATTTGTCTTTTTCTTGCTGAATTGTAAACATTTTTTTACATATTTTAAATACCAACATTTGTTGATTATATGCATTGCAAATATCTTCTTCCTGTCTATAATTTCTTTTAATTTTAAGGTGCTTTTTTCTTGTATTTAAGTTTGTAATTTTAGTGTAGTTATATTTGTCTATTTTTTCCTTAATTAAGGGTTTTGTTTTCTTGTGCTTGTCTATGGAAGATTTAAGATTATAAAGATTTTCTCCTTTATTTTCTTCCAGAAGTTTACATGGTTTCTTTTGACATTTAAATCTTTGTCTGGAATTTATCTTTGTGTGATATAAGCTAGTGACTTAATTTTCTTTTCAGAAGGATAACTAATTTCCCAGACTCGTTTGTTGAATAGTTTATACTTGCCCCACTAATTTGTAAGATCTTCTCTGTCACGCATCAAATCTCTGTGTATGCCTGGATCTGTTTTGTCCAACTCTGCACAAGTAGCATGCTATCTAAATTACTATATTTTAAAAAGTAAGTCTTGATATTTGGTAGGGCAAGTTTCATGTGTCTTAACTATTATGGTCTCTTTCTCATCTATATGAATGTTAAGGTCAGCTCATCAGTTTCCACAGAAAATCCTTTCTAGATTTTGATTTGAATTACATTGCATTTATAGATTAGTTTGAGAAGCATCATCTTCCCGATCTTGTCTTTCCTTTCATGAACCTGCTATATTTCTGCATATATTTAGGCCATCTTACACATCTTTCAGTACTGTTTTGTATTTTTCTCCATAAAAGGTTTTGCATACCTTGTGTAAATTTATTCTTAGGCATCTTTTAGGTCATATAACTGTGGTAAATGAGAACTTTATTCTAAAACATTTTCTATGCCTATCAACATTTTCTCCGCTATTTTTTTCTTTTATGTTTTATACCTAATTTTTTTTTTTTTTTTTGAGACGTAGCTTCACTCTTGTTGCCCAGGCTGGAGTGCAATGGCGTGATCTTGGCTCACCACACCCTCCACCTCCCGGGTTCAAGCGATTCTCCTGTCTCAGTCTCCAGAATAGCTGGGATTACAGGCATGCGCCACCACACCGGGCTAATTTTGTATTTTTAGTAGAGACGGGGTTTCTCCATGTTGGTCAGGCTGGTCTCGAACTCCCAACCTCAGGTGATCCGCCTGCCTCAGCCTCCCAAAGTGCTGGGATTACAGGCGTGAGCCACTGCACCCAGCCTGCTTTTATGTTTTATACCTAATTCTTAAAAGTATTTGCATTTTATTCTTTGCATGATGTGAGATGTGAATATAACACTTTCCCCCGAGTCAATTATTTTCAACTCTGACGAATAATCTCTTAACCCATTGGTTTGTGAGTCTTCCTTTGTTATCTGTTATCTTCTCATATATCAGGACTCTTTTTTACAATCACTTTGTTTTCGTTGATGATATATATCCATTTCCATGCCAGTATATGATCTCATTTCCGTAGTTTTTAATGTGTCTGTGTGTGTTTGTGTGTGTATACATACACACAAAAAAGTAGAACAATGAAATAATGTGTCTCTTTCTAGAAGAAGTATTAAGAGGCAGGAAGATTGCTTGAGCCCAGGAGTTTGAGACTGCAGTGTGCTACTATGATTGGACCTGTGAATAGCCACTATACTCCAAACTGAGCAACACAGTCAGGTCCCATCTCTTTTTTTCTTTTTTCTTTTTCTTTTTTTTTGAGCCTGAGTCTCGTTCTGTTGCCCAGGCTGGAGTGCAGTGGCGTGATCTCTGCTCACTGCAACTTCCACCTCCCAGGTTCAAGCGATTCTCCTGTCTCAGCCTCCTGAGTAGCTGGGATTACAGGTGCGCCACCATGCCTGGCTAATTTTTATATTTTTAGTAGAGACGGGATTTCACCATGTTGGCCAGGCTGGTCTCGGACTCCTGACCTCAAATGATCTGCTTGCCTCGGCCTCCCAAAGTGCTGGGATTACAGGCGTGAGCCACCCACCGCACCCGTCCTGAGGTCCCATCTCTAAAAAAATAAAAAGTATTGAACCAAGGTCCTCTCACGTAATTTTTCACAATTTATATTATGCTTTAATATCTAGCAGAGCAGCTCAATTAATTACTCTTGGAGTGTGTTAAACCAATATGCTAATTTGGGAAAAATTTACCTCCATAATATTCAGTCTTCTTATTCTGTATTCATCCAATCATCTTATTCTATATTCATATATTCATGTTTTCTTGTAACTTTCTCAGTTGCAGTTTGTAATTTTCCTCACATAGATTCAGTTTTAAAATTAACATTATGTCTAGACATTTTAGGGTGGAGTGTTGTTTCCCCAACACCTCATATATCTTGGTTAGTTACTTCAGGGAGAGCAGGAGAGCTGGTTACTTTTGTTCACTTATCTTTAACCAGTCATTTTACTAAACTCCCATAAAGATAGCCACTTTTTAATTATCTTGGGGTTTCTCAGTAGGCAATTATATCATCTCTAATAATACTTTTTGTTTTCTCATTTCCAATAGCAACGTCCCTATATCTGTTTTAGAATTATATTAACTAATACAATGGCAGTAAGGATCTTTGTTTTCTTTCTGATGTTATGGGATCCTGTTTCTATTTTGGTTCTTTGTCCTGTAGTGTGGGTGCTCATTAAAGGACTTCCTTTGTGTTTTGTCTGGATTATTCTCCAGGCAGCTGGTAAGCTCCTTGTGAAGACAGCCCATCCTGTTCTAACATGTCTGATACTCTGTGTCTGGTCTCTGCAGCTCCTGGCACACAGCAGGGAACTTGATTAGGGCCTGAAAGAATGTGTCTTATGCTGGATTCTTGGGAGGCCCTAAAAGATCTGCACTGCTTCTTTCTGGATGTGGCCATGTGTTTAGAAACATCTGCTCTCCTAGAAGTCTGGGGTTCCTGTTCCAGCTTCGAGCAGACACTTGGGTTTCCCTTACAGGCTACTGTCTGTTGTTGACCACATACTCAGGAATAAATGGAAATTGCAGCAATTTTGTCAGTAGGGTTTTGACAAACTGAGAGATTCCAAACAGAAAATAAAGAGATTCTAAACAGAAATACTTACTTGTTATAAAATAGCACATGCAAATTTCCCACCAATCCCATCACCAAAGGTAAGCACCACTAACAATTTAGGGTTTGTGTTTATGCACACTTGTACACATAAATACATGCATTTCTAGATGTGTGTTCTATGCTTTTCAAACATATGCATGTTTGAATAATGTGAGCCCATTTTTGTAACTTCTTTCCAATTTTATGTAAATATTGTTTATTCGTTTTAGCAGCTATATATGCCACCATATGGCTAGACTATAATCATCTTTTCTCCTATTAATATATATTTCTAGTTTGTTTCCTTGTGTCTTAAACCAACTTATATTTAGGATAGATTTCTAGAAGTAGGTTGTCGAAGTATAAGGTAAACTTTTTTTTTAATTTAGCTTAATTTTAACATACTTTCAATTCATTCTTTGACCATAAAAATTTAGAGTCTGGTCCATGAACCATGACTTATTGGTCTGTGATAAGTACAGACATTAAGAGTAAGTGTTTAGAAGTGTTTATCATAATTTGATATTTCTATGATATCCAAACATGAATTTTATATTTTACAAAAGCATCGGACTGAAAAAGAAAACCTGATTATTTTAAAATAACAATAGTAATGCTAAAACAAATTGTGGAAAGGGCTCATTTGGACAATATGGGTTAAGTGAGGCCAAAAGCTTTTCACTGTGAAAATCAAAATATTTAAGGAGTAGTGTCTTAGAAGACATATGAGGGATAAATGAAAAAAAATGTTATTTTTAAAATATGATGTTGAAAAAAAATATGCTGTATTTGGAGCTGGATATGGGGTATGACCAATTATATAATAATTTCTTATCAGAAAAAAAGAATAAAAGGACCTGATTCTGCACCATGAATAATTGGGAAGCACTGCTTCCATGAGCAGTCAAAGGGAGTTTCCATTTTCTTTTCTGAATCCTCACCTCTAGCTCACATTGTCAAAAATCAAAATGTTTGTTTTATAATCTGTTGGTTATAAACACTCTCACTGTTGTTTTGATGTGAATTTCTGTGATTACTAATGATGTCCGTATCTTTACTCGTTATTTGGGTTTCTTCTTGTTATTTATATCGTTTGTGCTATTTTTTATTGGCTTGGAGATTTTTCTTTTTTTTCTGGTATCTGTGGATTTCACATACTTATATTTGAGCTCCTCTATTATTTCAGAAGTAATTTTGTTATACTTTACCCAGTAAATTCTATGTGTTGAGAGCATGAAGAATTGGCCTCTCCTCTAGGCTCCATTATATTTTCTTATTGGGCACTGCTGGTTTAATGATATAGCTATAGATTTTTGTATAGTTGTCTTTCTTTTGCACTCTCTTACTGCTAATAGTAGTTTTTTAGGGAATACAATTTTCTCTTTCTCTGTACCTCTTTCTTTTCTATTCTTTCCTTACAGCAGTACCATATTTACTGGACATGCCTTTACAAACAATTTCAATTCTGTCAGTAATGCACATCATGGTCCATAGTCAGTTGACCTGTCATCAGAGTCTGTATGACGGTCAAAAAACAAAATGAAAGAAAGCAAAACACAGTTTAAAACTGAAAAATTGCTGTTCATTAAGTCGAGGTTATTTAGAAAAAGAAATTGTTAGGGATTCCCGTAGGGTCAGTCTCTGATATCAGGACTGTCCATTCTCTCAAACAATAATGCTGTCCAGTCTCTTCAGAGGCTTTCTGATTTGGCCCTGTTCCTATCCTTTGTCCAGGACTTTTCTCCACACACTTTCTCTTAAGCCAAATGGCAGGTCAAATGAAGCCCTGAAATACAGCCATCTGTGGGTGTTGAAGTGGGGATGATTGTGGTCAGCCCTGGGAAGCTGGGCATGCATGTCACAGATTTAGAAAGTACTGCTGGCTGGCAAGCTGATGGAGGGCAAAATGTGCACATGGAAGCAAATGCACAGCTTCAAGTGATCAAGTGTCAGTGCAGACAGCAGGTGATGAGGGTGGCTCACACCACCTGCTGGAGCACAGCTGTCAGAAAGGGGATAGCCACGTGTGGGGCCACAGGCAGTGCCAACCCAACAGGTGAAAGCCCAGGACAGAGAAGAGCCCAGAAGCTCTGAGGCAGACATTTGGGTCACAGCCTGGGATGCACAGTCATGCCTTGTGCCCAAAATGAAATGCCAGCAAGTGTTTCTCTCTCTGTGTTCTCAAAAGATCTCTTCCTCATGTATCTTAATTAGTTAAGATTTGGGGTCTTGGGGCAGCCTCTTGAATGCCATCAGACATAATAAGTTCTACAGCCAGGGTCATTGGCCTGACTTCCAGGATTATGAAGGGTCAAAAAGTCCCACATGTCCTAACTACAAGGCAGGCGCCAGTGAAGACAAGCTGTTAGGTAAGACATAATATTTTTGGAGAGATATAAAGGACAGAGGTCAGTTGTGAGGGCAGGCATGGACCCAGCATCGAACCAGCAAGGCACAGGTTAAGTGAGACACTGAGCAGGGCCCAGTTCTGTTCAGCAGCAGAACAGAAATCACCTGACAAATCCAGAAGTCACATCAGAAGGGGTTAACTGGGAAAGACAGCTCAGGAACTAGGGTGTTACACAGTCTGACCATAGGCTACTTTTTACAGGCCCAAAGTCCCATCACCATGGACAAATTTTGATGGTTGCTTTAAATATGCTCATTTGTGAATCCAGTGTCTGATGAATAACGTGTGGTCTCTTGATATGTGGGGCCTGTAATTAAGTGGAATATAAAATAGTAAATCATTTTGACCATTAGCAAAGTTTCTCTTTGTTCATTTAATGAAAATGCTCAGTATTGGCAAAAGAGCAGAGAAACAGGTGTCCTCATATACAACCTATGAGAGGTAAACTGAGGCCTTTCCAAGGAATAATGTGGTGACTAGAATCAAAACCCTTTCAATGCACATACCTTTTAATCTAGCAACTCCACTTCTATGAACATATCATAACATATATATAATAGTTTAAGTGCAGGCTGGATGCAGTGGCTCACGGCTATAATCCCAACACTTTCGGAGGCTGAGGAGGAGGATTGCTTAAGCTCAGGAGATCGAGACCGGCCTGGGAAACAAAGTGAGACTGCCTCTCTACAAAACAAATGGAAAAAAAAAATTAGCCAGGCATGGTAGCGTACACCTATAGTCCCAGCTACTCAGCAGGCTGAGGCAGAAGGAGTGCTTGAGCCTGGAAGGTCAAGGCTGCAGTGAGCTGTGATTGCACTACTACATTTCAGCCTGGGAGACACAGAGTGAGACCTTGTCTAAAATAAAAAAAAATTAAAAAAATAAATAAAAAGTCTAAGTGCAAAGATGTTTGATGCTCTGTTGTATATAATAGCAAAATATGACACCACTGAAGCAAGATAGATTCTTCACACCACTACCCTCAGCCCCTTGCTTTTAGTACACCTGTGGTGGACAGTTTCATGCATGGTCCCAGCCTTTCACTGTGGGCTTACCTTGCTGGCTCAAGGCTTTTCTGCTTCAGAGTTTTCTTGGATCCCACAGAAGGCCATTCTGCCTGTGTTGGATGTGGCAGAGAAAAGTGGGGTAGTTAATATTCCCAGGGGACCACAGTGCAGCAATGAGAGAAAGAAATGGAGGACGAATGCTCCAACCTCTCCATCCAGAGACCATTTTGAGGACTATTCTACGTGATTCCTCCAAGGGACCCCATGGGATTGAGCTTCAGTTGCCCACAGCGATCAGCAACTCACTAACACACCTTTGTGGCTTTGCTCTTTCCTTGACTTACTCTCCCCACCCCTCTCTTCTGCTTCTCTCACATAAATTCTTGCAAATCCTTGTCTCGGATCTCAGACTTTACTTTCAAGGGAACTCAAATCATGAGTCAATCTAAACATCAGAAATAGGGGTTAAATTAACAAGGGTACATTCATACAATGGAATATAATGCAGCCACTAAAATTACCTAAGATCCAAGGAAAAAGAAAGCATATGGCCTCACAAACGTGTACATAAATGTTAAAAGAAGATGTATTTCAAATAGCCCAAAACTGGAAACAATACAAATGTCCACATTTGCATGTGAGTGGATAAATAAATTGTGGTATATCCATATAACAGAATATTCTTCAGTGATAAAAGGGATTGAACTATTGATATAGGTAACAATATGAACCTCAAAATAAGTATGCTGAGTCAAAGAATGCAGACACAAAGAGTGCATAGTATAATATTCCATTTATATAAAATTCTTTTTTTTTTTTTGAGATGGAGTCTTGCTGTGTCGCCCAGACTGGAGTACAGTGGCATAATCTCGGCTCACTGCAACCCCCACTTCCTGGGTTCAAGCAATTCTCCTGCCTCAGCCTTCCAAGTAGCTGGGATTACAGGCACCTGCCACCACACTCAGCTAATTTTTGTATTTATAGTAGAGACAGGGTTTCGCCATGTTGGCCAGGCTGGCTCTAACTGCTGACTGCAGGTGATCCACCTGCCTCGGCCTCCCATAGTGCTGGGATTACAGACGTGAGCCATCGTGCCTGGCCCATTTATATAAAATTCTAATGCAAACTAATCTATACTGACAGCATTTCAGTGGTTACCTGGGGTAGGGGTTGGGGTGGGTGTGGACAGAAAGAAGAAAGTGGGATTACAAAGAGGCACAAGAAAACTTTTAGGGGAGATGGACATGTTCCTTATCTTGATTGCAGTGTTGGTTTCATGGGTATAAGCATAGGTTAAAACTTATCAGAATATACCCTTTAACTATGTGTGGCTTACTTTTTGCCAGTTATACCTCAGTAAGTTTGTTAAAGATGAAAAATGACCTTGGATAAAAATAATTAATGACACTAAAATTATTCATGTTAAAGTATTAGTTTGAAATAAAAGGCTAGCTTTAAATCAATATTTATGAGCATAGATACCCATACAAATTCGTAGATTAATGATCAAAATGGAAAAGTCCAAAACGTTACTAGTGTTCATCTCAGAGTCTGGGATGACATGCATTTTCATTTTTTTTCTTTTCATATACCTGTATCTTCCTAATATTGATAAATATATATTACTTCTGTAAAATAGAAAATCAGTAGATAAAACACAACACAAGGTATCTTATGCTACATGCTAGGAAAATGGTAGAGGCCAAAGATTTTTCAAATTTGTTGTTTTAGAGCCCTGGGAGTTTCATGAAAGTGCCTCAGGGATTATCCCAGGAGGAAAATTAGAATACATAGGCCAGTGTCTTCATGGCACCTCTAAATAGAGGAGCTGTTTTCATTTAAGGAACAAATGTGAAGGTCTGAAGAAGGCTAATTATTGGGGCCTGGGGCAGTTGTGGAATGCTTTGAGGTTAAGACAGAAGTGAGTAGGAAAGATGGGCCTTGACTAGGCAAAGAACAGAAAGTGAGTCTTCTAGAAAAGTCTGAGCAAAATTACTAATGGCACCTGTTACCCTCTGTAGCATATTTTTTTCTGCTTCCATTACTATTCAACTCTTCACTCAAATGAGAACTTACCACTGCAAAACATCTGGGCAAATTCTAGGCCTACTCAAAATCACTTGGGTTAGGAATCCAAGGGACTCAATAGCACTGCCACGGGTGCTGGTGGGAACACTAAAAAGGAGTGGAGTTTATCTCCCTTCCCAATCTCCATCAGATCCCCTTCCCCGTTTTTGATGTGTACCACTAATATTTTCTCAAGGTAATATGAATTTCTTTGCTAACGTAACTAAAAGGCCCTGCCAGCCTTTCAAATAGGTCTCTGTTCTCCTAGAGCTGCCATGGAAAGAACTGAAAATCTGGAAAGGACCACATTGAGTCATTGTCCTCATGTGAAGTTCTCCAAAGAGCCTTTTAAGATGCCAGAAGGATCTTCTACTGGTGTTCTTTTCTCCCTTTAGCAGCCCTTGAGCCTGCTGCAATAAACTCATAACTTTTTTGGACTCAACCAAATGGGGCATAGGGAGGGCATGTGGCATGAACTACTGCCAAGGCATGCATGAGGCAATGAGCTGGCTATGCAAAGACTCATCCCAAAGTCCATGAGGCAGCATGTGCTCCTTGGACCAAGAGGAGGGAGAAAGGGATGTGCACTGGGGCTTACTGTCTCCTCCATCCTCATCATCCTAGCTCAATACTAGACAAAGTGTCTTCGCTAGCACTGAAATCTGAGTGTCTTGTTAGGTCGATGTTTGGAAGACAGTCAAAAGTACGTGACAGGCCAAGGGTTGCCAAGGAATAGAAAAGCAGTGGATTTGTTTCCTGGCTGATGGCCAGCTGCAAGGCTTTCTTAAATGACAGCCAAGAAGCAGTAAATCAGGTACAATGGAGTCCTATCCATGGAGAGATTGTCTCTACAAAGTGTTATACTTCAAGTTAAATGGTCACAGACAATTCAGCTTCAGAATAACTTAAAACAGCATTTCCATCTGCTTGAACCCGGGTTCCAATTAAAACAGAGAAGTATTAGTCTAACCCAGTCCTCCACTGTTACCAACTAAGACATGCTCTGGAAGATTTAAAAAGCAGCACAGCCATGAACTGAGGAACGGGTTTCAAATTTACTTACAGAAAATACAGTTTATTTTCATCTCCCTAGAGAGAGACAATCCTGTTAAAATCACAGTTTTATATGTAGCCTGTAGGACCAAGAAAAAGGAGCAGTTGAATATATTAATATTTCTCAGTTTAGATGAGAGCGAATAGTTAAATTTAGCTTTATCGAAGAAACAACTATTCCATGTATCACTATCCAAGGAATTTCAGTAACTTTTTTTATTTATTGATTGATTTATTTATTGAGACAGGGTCTTTCTCTGTCACCCAGGCTGGAGTGCAGTGGCACAATCATGGCTCACTGTGCAGACTCGAACTCTTGGGCTCAGGCAATCCTCTCCCCTCAGGCTCTCAAGTAGCTGGGACTACAGGCACGTGCCACCACGCCTGCCTAACTGGTGGCATTTGCCTGTAGTATGCTGAAGTGCCAGTAACTTTAGCATAATGTTTGCATTTGCGGCTACGTATTTCCTAAGTGGATGCTTCTCAGCCTTTCATGTACATGTGGAAGATGAGCACATTTTTAGGACACACTAGGGTAAAGGAATAGTAGGGCTGCTTACAGGAGGCCCCACCTGGCCACTCCAGGGATTGAGAAATCAGTATCTCTCCAGGCTGGGATCCCCATCAGTTTCCAGGTGGCTGCTTCCTGAGTTTTAGAACAGGCATTGTCAACCTTGGCCGCACATTGGACTCACCTGAGGAACTTTAAAATATGCATGACCTGGTCCCACCCCAGAGTTCCTAATTTAATTGGTCTGAGGTATGGCCTAGGCCTCAGGATTTGAAAAAGCTCCCCAGGTAATACTGATGGCCAGCCAAGAATGAGAAGCACTGTTTTAGAGCAGGGGTCACCAGCCTGTTTTTGCAAATAAAGTTGTATTGAAACACAGCCACCATTTGGTTACATACTGCCTATGGTGGCGCTCATGCTACCACGGAAGAGTTCAGTAGTTACAACGGAGATCTTATAACCTGAAAAACAAAAAATATTTACTATCTGCTTCTTTACAGAAAATGTTTGCTGAGCCTGTTTTAAAGGGAAGCTTCAGGAGGACTTTCAGTGTCATATGAAAAATAGTTTACAAGGATTTTTGCTCAAGGTAGTGGCAGAATTCTCATAAGGGACTCTCACAGGGACAAAATATTCAAAGTACACAAACATTCAGGTACCACGAAGGTAAATGAGCATTCATAGCCTTTCTTGTTTTCCCCTCGCCTTACAAGGCACATGCTGTTTTCAAGTTTTTGTTGAACAAGACGAGGGGTAGCAATAGGGAAGTCAGGAGAAAGGAAAGGCTAGGCTGGTTTATGTTAGGAAAAGCAGGGAACTGCTCTTAGGAAGAAACAATCCTGAAAAGAAAAAGCTACAAGTCAGAGGAGAGGCAGGGAGGAGTGAGCTTCAGGGAAGAGTTTGGGAAAGTTTCTAGAGATGGGAGACTAGAGAGCTGTCACCCTGTGTTGAGTGGCACTGTAGAGGTTAATGGTTCTAGTGATTTTTAGAAATGTGGCTGTGTGATATGAATCATAATCCCCTTAGTCTAAGAGATTTCTGTAAAGTTGTATACATTTTCCATACTTTTTTAGATGTCAGATTAGTCTTTTTGCAGTGAAACTCTGTACTATGATTGGCCACAATGGAAGCTGGAAATATTGGGCTACAGGATGAATACGCCTTAAAACTACCAATTATTGACAGCATCATAATAGTTGGAATAGCACATCTAAGAGTTAGCAGCAGGAAAATAAAAAAGGAATGAGATGGGAATCTGAAAGCTTACAAATGGCAGCGTGATATTGCTGGGTCAGTTTCCCCAACTCTAAGCTCTAAGTATCTCTGATAGGAACCTGTGGAGAGGAGCGTCTGCTCTCCTCTTGGTCACTGGAGCCCAAGATCGCAATGTTCACACTTCCATTTATTGTGAGGAATAGAACACCAGCACTTAAGTGATTGTCCAAACCAACATCACCAAAGCAACAGCTTTGCATAACACCCTTGCCAATACTCAGAATCAAGGGCCTTAAAAAATGAAGGAAAGTAACTGGAATGAATGCAAATACTTGCACCTAGAGAAGCCTTTCCGGAATTATTAGCAAACACTCCACTCATTCCCTGACTTGGCAATTCTCCCAAAAAGAGAGGAGGGGTTTAGGTACCTGCATTCCTCAAGACCCTGTATGGCCTGGTGAACTTGGAGGTGATCTAGGACCAAGGTAAATCATGTGGCTGGGCAGCCTGAGAACAAAGATCAAATCAGAAGTCAGAGAGGCAGCAAGCAAATCTGGGCTGTTTTACGGTATCCCAGCATCCTGGACTGACAACATGAGCTGGTATTTATCTCTCCAATTCAGATATCAGTAGCCAGACATTGCCATTGATTCATCATCACATTCTTCTTCCCGTAGGGTTGGACTCTGAGAACATCTAACTCAAAAGAGCACTGCCGTAAAATACTGTAGGAAATGTACATGCATTGAGTGCATTTCAAAAGAACAATCCTTCAGTTTCGACTATTTTTCTATTTGTTTGTAATTGCTTATCTATGTACATGCTTATCATATTGTGTCATAAATATGGAAAGCCTTCATTGCCCAAGCGTAATTTGTCTCTGCAAGAGTCCATTTAAAATTAAACCACCTGTAACATTCCCAGCGGGTCGGCAAAGAAAAACAGTACCACATCACATAGGACCCAGCAACTAGGAAGAGAAATATCAGTTAGGACAGAATACTCAAGAGCAAAAGAGGCATATGACAACATGAATGCAACAACCATAAGCACACTTAAGGAGACTCAAGAGTACAAAGAAAAAAGTTTCTGGAGTTAGAAAGAAAAATTAAAGTGAAGAAGAGGCTAACATTTTTGGTACTTGAATTAGAGGTATGGGTGAGCAATATAAAAAAAATTAATCCACCCAAAATAGAAACCAAATGTCACAGTAAGTACTGGAAAAAAAGATTAGGATTTTATTCTAAAAAGAAAACCAATTTGTTTTAAAAAGTAGGAAAATACATTTATATTTTCTTATTTGCGAAAAATTCAGGATATAATTGCCATATCCTAACTCTTAAAATGAACAACAATGACGTAAGTGTTGATTTTTCTTTTGACACAGTTGTTCTGGCAAAACCGTATGATAGTTTTGTGCACCCTGTCTTCACAGTTGACTTTCGCGCACAGTCATAAGTAAGGTCATCTTTACAAAAACGTTTGAGGTTTCACCAGTTTCCCCACAGACCTCTCCGAAGCCTTTGATATTCAAATTGTTTTCTGACTCCCATCTTCTGACATCATCTTTGTTAAGTTTCTTTTTTTCCCAAATTAACCTTACCAGATTCTTATTTTGGCTTTGCCAATGATTTGAGCCATTCTCCAACATCATCAGCTTTGTGAACTCCTTCATGTTAGCAACATTTGTGATTTCAGTTTAACAACTGTTTTCATTGCATCATTAGATTTTACAGCAGCCACATTCAATGGCACAGTTACTTACAAAGCTCCTTTGTTAGACTATGAACTCTTTAATGGAGAAGCTGTGACTTATTTATCTTCTACCACCAATGATTGCCATAAAGTAGATACTGATTAGTATTAGCTGAATTTAACGGCTTTTCATTTAAGGTCTTCATGTTTAAATATTGACTAGCATAGATGCTCACACAATATTGATTGAGGACAAACTTTATTAAGTGGTTAATTCCTTAGCATATTTTTAAAATGTTATGTTGACTTTTGCTTCCCTGTCTCTTCTGTGAGTATCTAGATAAGTATTTGGACCATTAGCATGCACCAATATTGTTTACTTAACAGCCTCTTTAATGGAGGAGCTGTGACTTATTCATCTTCTACCTCCAATGACTGCCGTCAAGTAGGTATCAATTAACAGTATTGCACTGAATGTCTTTTCGTTTACGATCTTCATCTTTCAATATTTCCAGGCCAACCAGAAACACATCATAAGCAGCACATGCCTCAATTAAATCATTGGCAAGATTAGAAAGACAGCCTAGAAGTAACTTTGGGCACACACAGAGTATTTCACAAATGTTATTTGAATTGAAAAATGGATCTTCAAACAAGACAGAAAAGGTTTTATTTTACCTATAATTTTGCATGGAAGTCTTGGGTGACCAGAGTAATTCTCGGTTTCTTTCCTTCCTTCCCTCTCTCCCTCCCTCCCTTCCTCCCTTCCTTCCTGCCTTCCTTCCTTCCTTCCTTCTCCCTTTCCCCCCTTCCCCCTTATTTTCTTCTTTATTTCTTTCACTCTTTCAGCATAAAGAGGTTAGGTCAGCATTAGCATCCTGAAGGACCAAGATAATTGATTGCAAGGGCCAATGTCCACGATAATAGAGAGTCAAGATGACCCCCAAAGAAAGGAAATTTGCTAATCTGGGTGTTAGTTGCTCTCCATCCAATAGAGAGTCTTTAATATGCTCATTCATCTCTCCAGTCTTCAGGAGCATTTCCAGCCATCTGGCTCGCTTGCTGACCCTTGCCCTTTCAGGTAGCAGCCATAAATGCAAAGCTCTCAAATAGGAAAGTCTGTTGGTCTCATTTAGAAGGCCTACTCTAGGCAAGGTTAGGAAGATGGGAGATAATGATCCTTTGCCATCTCCCTAGAATTTAAATACACAAATTAAAAAGCACATTAACTCTTTGTTTAAAAAGAAAAACAAAATGTCATCAAAGGCAGGCTTGATTCAAATGCAGTTTAGGCTAATGAAGGAGCTGTGTCCTTTCACTATTTGTTCTGGGATCTTTTCAATCAGTTAGCATTGGCAAAGCTTCTGAACAAAGACAGTAATTACCAGATAAAAATTGCCTTCAGTGCATTGTCTAACTGTGTTCAGTTTGGCATGAATGGATTTATGATCCTTTCATTCCAATAGGAACTACCAGTCCGCCTTTCACTTCAAATAGCCTATTCATCTCAGCATAAAAACAGCTAAAATATACTAGCAGAATATGCTGCCTCTGCAACCCAAGCTGCACACAGCAGGAGTCAGCTTCTTCCAACAGGCACAAATATAGCTGGCTTTGAAAAACTATAAAACAAAGGCTCTAGAAAACTCTTGCATAATTTTTTAAAAACAGCAATTATTTGGTTCCAATCCCTTTTACTACTCTGTATCTTTTATCCAATATTAAATTAATTCCATTGTGTATAAAATGGTCAAAACCACAAATTACAGCAGGGAATTTATGCTTAAATAATGATCTGTGGTTGCTATTCAGATACATAGATTAATACTTTCTATTCCTTAGGGGGAAATGGCACAGAGAGGTGTTTTTGTTTTGTTTTGCTTTGTTTTTAATAGATAAGGCATAAAGAATCACTTTATCAGAAATAAATTAATTGGTGGCAATTTACTTGACTCCCAACATCCATCTGCAGTGCATTATCTCTTCTACCCTCTATCCTGTGTGTGAGGTAAATGTCTATGTACACACAAACCATGTATTACAAGCATAGAGTAGTACTCATAAAGGAAGTTTCTATAGAAAATTAAGACCTTCATGCAGAGCTTTGTGCTGCAGTAATATAATACAGAGCATGCTAAAATGTTGACCTGAGTCTGTCTTCAAGTATAGTGGTTTCGAGATCAGTTCCAATCACAACTTTCTCATTGGTCAGCATCACATGATGTCTTCATGGTGGTATGAGTTTTGCAATTGATCCCGTTGGCTTTGGTTATCAACAGTGTTTCATTGGATGTATAAGAACTGCTCATGTTGGTTTGTCCCAAATGCATCCTAGAAATGATAACTATTTAACTAACACAAGTATATAACTGTAACAGAGTGGAGTCCTGAAAAAGTACTCTCCAAAATTTGACAGACTTGTTTCTATGCCTTGACGTGTTACTAAGTCTACATATGAGTAACTCTCTATCTCTGTGAACTTCAGAATGCTATTCTTAAAAACTAGAGGAGGGAGTTGGTCCAGAATATTCCTTTTGTCTCAAAGTATTTCATGATAAGATACAGCACTGCATATGCTTGTTACTATGCCCTGCTGGAAGAATCAAGCCTCTGAGAATCCCTGCAATAAATAAATTTGCTTAACTTTTTAGCTCAGCATTATAAGAATTTATATGACTAATGAAGTCCTTTTATTCTTTAGTGGAACAGTCCTAACATTCCCACCCTGATTGTTTCTCAAACACACTTGGGGAAACACTAAACTAGAGTGTCTGCAAGCTCCCTTCCAGACCTAATCTAATTCTAGGCTCAGTCCCCACTTTGTGGACTAATGGCAATGAACCCCATCATGGCCAATTGCTAGAGAGTCTGAGAATTTTTTAAATGCAGTGCAATTTTTTCCAGCCTCCAACATTCATAGGGACACAAAAGACCTCCCTCTCCCTATTCTTCATCCTCCCAAGTACACAGAAAGTATCTATAATCACCAGAGAGAGTCCAGGGCCCTTAGTCATGTAAATCTACATTCTTTAAGTGTGTTCTTGTTTGTGGTCCCTTGGTAGATGTAGATTAAAGCTCAGCCCTGAGTAATTTGAATATATATGGAGTAATGATACTTTGCCTTGTCCATCTCTTGCCTTTTGACATCAATACAAATTATACCTTTAAAAAATCTACCCAAACACCATAATCTCCACCTTTAACTTCCCAACAACTCTCTCACAGATTTTGTCAAGACTTTGCTGGCAAATCTGTTTTAAATCCCAATTGCTCCCATTTTTGCTCACTCCCACTTTTTTTATTCTCTCGTATACCCAGAGAACAACTGTCAGCTACCACCCATATAACAGTGGTTTCCATATTCAAAGTCTAATTCTCCCTTAGCATTCTGTTCTTCATTTCATTTACCATTTCTTCTAGAATTCCACCATCCTAACTTCTAATGGCTTTGATTGCTTTTCTCTGGATTTTCTCCAAGTTCTACATCTCTCCCTTGAACTAAAGTTCCCAATTTGAACACAGCGCTTCCATGGAGATATGACTAATAATGCATTGGCTCTTAAATCTGGCTGAACATCAGAATCATATTTTTTGAAACTATGGATTACTGAGCCCACACAGCCATGTACAAAACATTAAATTGTTATTTTTGATTCCTATACTTGTTAAACAACAGGATCCAATTAAGCTAAAGAAGAGCTTCAGCCTATTTTCTCACCACTTCTGTGATCATGAACAACCAGCCACAGTGGGTCTCCCTCCAGTATTAACTTCCTTGGGTTGATAAAGCTTTCAGGAAAGAGAGTTATCATATCACAAATACCACAATGATTTTTATCTGAATGGCTTCCTTCCAAAATTCCAGATCCATCTAAACTTTTACTTCATTGGAGGGTCCTTCCTGACCCATGCAACTCAACAAAAAACTCTCACAGTTTTTATATGCTTTGTTGGGGATTAACCCATCTTGCATTGCATTGCTAGCTTAGTATGTCTAGCATGGGCATGCCTGCTGAAGTTTGGAACTTCCCATCAAGGAAACAGGAAAATGCCATTGGCAATGAGCTGAAGACTGATTTACTCTACCAGGTATGACTTTAATGACTAACTGCTTGTACACCCTTTAGAAGCTTTTAGATTGTAGAGCCCCTTACTCTTGTATTTGTCTTCTGACCCCAGTCCTGGGGATAAATCTGTTTCAGTTAAAATTAACATTTCATACAAGTCCTCACTATATTCCTCTGCATACATTTCCTGCCAAATAGCAGCTAGAATGAAGGTCCCCTCAACTTTGAGGACAGAACATTTATAACCTCCCTATCACCACCACAAGATGTAGCATATACTAGCTATTTTTTTAAAAAAAATTTCCCAACAAGATTGCATGCATTCTGAGAGGAAGTGTTATGTCTTAAAATTTTTGCATTTCTTATAGGGGACTGTACCTAGTAAATAGTCTTCGGTAAATACACCATCAGAATGCAAAAATCAAAGTGGGAATAAGCATTCTAACCTCTCATTTTATAGATGAAGAAACAGGTTCAGAGAATTGAAAAGATTTGCCCAGATAAAAGTACGTAGTCAAAATTAGATCTCAGACTACTCTGTTCCCCGGGCTGTTTTTGTTTACTCCATGTATCCTCTGTTAATTGACCAGATTGATTGATTGACTTCCTAGCTCTATCACCAGGAAGTCAAAGTAAAACTCCACCACTGAACTCTTGAAAGGCGTGTCTTCTGAAGGGTAGGATTTCCCATCAAAGAAACAGGAAAATGCCATTGGCAATGAGCTGAAGACTGACTTTGATTTACCCTACCAAGCATGATTTTAATGACTACTTGTACAAACATGTAGGTACATCAATATTGGGTAGATTCATAGTGTTAGGATAAATTAGGTAATTGAGTAGAAAATACAGGCACAAGCTAGACTAGGTCCAAACACCTGGCCTCATATCAGTTGAAACCATCATATCAAGAATAAACAATAGAAAGACATGATCACTTTCATTGACTTCAGCTGGAAACATTTACAATCCAATTTCAATTTAGCAAGATTTCATCAGAAGGTATCTCCCACAAATTGAGGTCCATCTTACTGTTATTATTTGAAATCTTTTTGTATATGTGTAGTTTGGAACATCTGTTATTGCTGCTACTACGGTTTCTATCACTGTTTGATGCTGGGACTCTTAAGCTCCAACCACGTTTTCACCGAGCTGAGTCGCCTTCTTATCACCCCTTTCTGGTGAGTAAGATCATCTAGGTAGATTCTCCAAAAGAAATACCCAGTGAGGGAGGGGCAACCAGCAGAGCCACAAACCAGTCCTCATGAACCCAGGACCTGAGCATAAAAGGCTATTTGATACACATGTAAAGGAATTTGGAGGTGGGGTAGACAGCAACTGAATCTTTAACTTGTAGCATATATTCTTTAGAAATGGCTCCCTGAACCATGCTAAACCCCGTAAGTTGCCCAGACACTGAAAACCCAAAATAAAAGCTTCCCCTGTTAGTTAAGGTCAGGGAAGCAGAGGCGTTTCTCAGAAAAAATGTAGCTTCTTTGGCATTATGAGCCTGAAAAAAACTCTTCAAGCCCAACTGCGAATGAGTCAGCAGAGTTTTCTAGAACAGCCAAGGAGAGAATGCTTTCCTTAGGAGACTATTTATTTGGTTGCTACATAATACTGTAGATTAATTAGGAGTAAGAATGAGTGAAACTATTTGGAAAAAGTGATAGCAGCTTGAAAGCTTCACCCACCCCTGACCTAATGGAGGAGGAAACATTACAGTTCTGGGTAGTTCATTATTTTGAGGGGGTGGAAGAAAGTGATATCAACCAAAGTATTCTTATAAAATCTTTGAGTATTGACCCAGATATCACCCTTATAAAGTCAAGATTATAGAACAAATGAATTGGTTCAACATTTAAATAAACCCTTGATATTTAAAGGTATCAAATATGCCCAATGTGACTCCCAATATGTTAATAATAAAAAAAAAAGATCGAGAGCAAAATCTAGCCAAAATAGAAATTAATATGGCTTAGAAACGTCTTTCCTCATTTTCTAAATGTTTCCATATCTGGCAAAATGACCAGAGTGGAGGGTGAATGCTTTCAGCATGCTCAAAATTCAAACTCCAAGTTTAAGTGATTACTTAAGAGGCTTTAGTCTCTGAAATCCACCTGTCCTCACATGACATCATTAAATGTTTGCCTCTTAGGCTATTTCTTCTCTCTTCTTGGTCATCAATTGCTCCAGCTAAACTGGATCATTCCTATCAGCATACATACACCAGCATGTATTTATCACCAGGTTAAAACAAATATCAACTCATGGTTAACTTCATTTCATTCATACCCTTCCCTCTGAACTATTTTGGTTTTTTGCTTGTTTGTTTGTTTTTGTTTTGTTTTGTTTTGAGACAGGATCTTGCTTTGTTGCCCAGGCTGGAATGCAGTGGCATGAACCTGGCTAACTGCAGCCTCAGCCTCCCAGGTTCAAGCGATCCTCCTGCCTCAGCCACCCAAGTAGCTGGGACCACAGGCATGCACCACCATACCTGGCTAATTTTTGTATTTTTTTGTAGAGACAGGGTTTCACCATGTTGCCCAGGCTGATCTCCAACTCCTGGGCTCAAGCGATCCCCCTGCCTCAGCCTCCCAAAGTGCTGGGATTACAGGCATGAGCCACTGTGCCCAGCCCCTCTGAGTTATTTTGAATTACTTTCCAGACATTGGATTGTTCTATTCATAAATAGTTAAGCATTTATCTCTAAAAATGAAGAAGATTTTTGAAAACGTAACCATAACACAATTATCCCACTTAAAAATATTAGCAGCTTTAGTTTAACAATGTTCGTAAAGAAATTCTATTACTTACGGAGAACTAGAAAAAGTACTAGAAGCTGACCAGAGACAAAACAAAGAGCACTGGTTCTTTTCTTTGGGCATCTGCTGAAAGAACATCACATGCCCACCTAAATAGGGTACGCCTCTCTGTATTCTATCATTAGGAGCAGCAGGACATCTGGGGATGAGAAGATGGAGAGATCATCCTTATATAATGTTGCAGTCTGGAAGCATCACTCTCAAAAAGGTAAGTTTTTAGGTTATTTTTAGTTTGGTTTACAATTAAAAAAAATCCTTCATTGAACTCTGACTCTGCAGATTCTAGAAAATAGAATATTGTGGGCAAGACTGGCTTCAGAAGTTTTATGGCTTAATAGAAAAAGAAGGTGGGCAGACCTGGTAAAAATCTTTGCAGGGTCATGCATGCCTCCCACGTCAAGTATTTGCCACTCTTATTATTATTTTTTTTTCCAGACAGGGTCCCGCTCTGTTGCCCAGGCTGGAGTGCAGTGGTGCGATCTCCGCTCACTGTAACCTCCACCTCCCAGGCCCAAGTGATCCTCCTAACTCAGCTTCCTGAGTAGCTGTGACCACAGGCATGTGCCATCATGCCCGGCTAATTTTTTGTATTTTTGGTAAAGATGGGGTTTTGCCACATTCCCTAGGCTGATCTCAAACTCCTGAGCTCAGGCAATCCACCCGCCTCAGCCTCCCGAAGTGCTGGGATTACAGGCATGAGCCACCATGCTCGGCCACTCTCATTTTTTTTAAACCAAAGAAATCAATCTTAAATCAATTTTGCACTTGATTTATGCACATCAATTTTGTTTGCTTCTTAAAGAGTATATGATTAGCTGTACAAGAGACTATAGGTTAAGAAAATCCTTAGTCTTGAGAAAAGCACTGAAGAGGAAGAAAAAGACACCAGGCCCCAAGACATCCACCAAAAATAGATCCAACTTACATTGTCTGGCAGGGCAAACAATCCCATCACAATCACATGCCAGCCCCTATATTCTGGCTGGTCCCCAGAATTTAGTCAAGATCAAAGTAAAATTTTTTGGTTTCTGGGGTGAGCCTTCATCCAGGTCAAAATATTCTGGAAGAAGGCTTGCCTGGCACCTGGAATTCCACACCCTTGAGCTCTCCTTTTCACGGAACAGCATTCGTCAGATTTACTGACAGCATAGCAGTGGCATAATTAACAAATAATCCAGTTTTCAGCTTCCCTGGCCTCCACCTGCTAGATACCAGGAGCACCTCCACTCCCACAGAAGTTGTGTCAACCAAAATGTCTCCAGATATTGCCAGATGTCCCCTGGAGGGCAAAATCAACCCTGGTTGACCACCACTGCAATAGTATTATTTGTATCAAATATATGAAACATAAAGATTGCTAAGGGAAATAAAGTAGACTATTTTAGATATCCAGTCTTAAAGGAAACCACTACTATCATCATTGGCCAAAAAAAGAAAAAAAAAAGAACAGTGCTAATAATTAGACATAAAATAATAAATGAAAACTATCATTGCTTTGAAATATTCCCTGGAGGAAATGAAACATCTGTGTAAATTTTATCCTTTCACGTGTGAAGATGACTGGGATAGCAGGTGTGGTAAAAGACATTGTTCCAAAGCCTGTTCTGTGGTTTGCTGATGAGAATATTCCCTGGCTTGGGCTACAGCTGCCATGTGCAGTCTCTCTATTGACAGTCTTTCTCAACCACTCCCGAAAATCCCCACATTGTTTGAACTCAAGTTTTGTAATTACAGAGATGTGGTTCTCAGAGCCAAAAATGAAGCTGCCTGGCTGGAGCAGCAGGATATAGAATAGGCCCTTGGGACTGGGAGATTATAACTTTTGTGGTTTCAAGTACTCATAAATGTGGTGGAGAGGGGTTTTGGAGTTGATCCACAACTCGTCAGAGGCCCTGCTATTTTTTCTACCCACAGCCATTGTAGAGAATCCAAGCCGAGTTTAAGAGTGCTGTGGAAATACACTGCTGCTACTGCTGTTTCTATTACTGTTTGATGCTGGGACTCTTATGCTCCAACCACGTTTTCACCCAGCTGAGTCGCCTTCGTATCACGCCTTTCCAGTGAGTAAGATCATCTAGATAGATTCTCCAAAAGAAATAACCCAGTAAGGGAGGGGCAACCAGCATGACCACAATGCTAGTTGTTGTGTGCGAATGGTAAACAGAATGAAATTATGAATGTGTGTGCGGGTCATTATATGCATGCAGACACATACATATGCATATGTAGTATAAATCTCCATAAATGCCTAAGGTGATGGCAGTGATGAGGGGCAGTTAAAAATGTTAAGCACAAATTGGAGCTGAGACACTGATCAGAGAAAAATTATCTGTAATACTGAGAAAGAGCCATCTGTCATGGCTGGAGGCTCAAGCAGAGAAGGGATAAGTGGAGAGGCCCCAGGAACAGATGGAGAGGCTTGAACCCCCACACAGAGCAGAGCGTCCAACAGCTGGGACTGATTAATCCAGACGGCCGACTATTACGTCATGTGTTGGATTACAACCAAATGAGTGGCTAAAAGCTCCTAGCAAGTTCAGGCCAACACGAAGTCGCTTCACAGATGGCATCCACCTTGGAATTCCGTGAGGGATGAAGACACTGCTCAGTCCTGCCTCATTGTCCTCTGTGGAAAGAGCAAGAGGAATGAGGATAGGCCTTTCCCACCCCTTTATTCTTCTTTATTCTCAGGGTAAATGGAAGTAGAGAAGGAGAGTAAGTGAGATTTTAAAGAAGCTTTTTGACCTGTGTCTTTGTTCTCTCCTTGCTCTCTAAATTACATGATAGAGGGAATAATAAGGAACTTTAATGTATGAAGTTCAGTCCAGTAAATTGATCCCATAGCCCAGCATGTGATAAACAGTTTCTGAATATTAACTTGATCTACTCGTGCTTCTTAGTAATCCCACAAACACTTTAAACAACATTTCAGAAGCACAGGTAATCCCACAAGCATTTCAGCAACATTTCAACTCAACACCTGTCCCCTCTCCAATGTTCCCTTCAAGTCAGAAACCTAACTTTGGGTACCCAACTCTACCGTCAATCAGTCACTGGGGCCTTATGGAATCAATGGAGTCTTGTAGATTCCATCTCCTTAGCATTGCTTGAAACGATCTTGACTTCTCTATTCTCATTGCTATTGCCTTAATTCTGACCTTCAGTAAGTCCTGCCTGGACCGTTACAATAGTTTCTTCTAAGCTATCTTCTGGTTTCTTTGCTCCAGTGCATTCTTTTCTTTTTTTTTTTTCTGCTGACACCCAGCACTTTATTAGTGGGGAAACTCGCCTTGGTCTGGCAGAGACTGGGATGGACAGGACCGGCGCCCATCTCGAGGGGGTATTTTCTGGAAGATCAGGTGTTCCTCCCTTGTAGGTTTAGAGGAAACACCCTCATAGATGAAAACCCCCCAGAGAGCAGCACTGCAACTGCCAAGCAGCCGGGGTAGGAGGGGCGCCCTAGGCACAGCTGGGCCCTTGAGACAGCAGGGCTTCGATGTCAGGCTCGATGTCAATGGTCTGGAAGCGGCGGCTGTACCTGCGTAGGGGCACACCGTCAGGGCCCACCAGGAACTTCTCAAAGTTCTAGGCAACATCGTTGCGACACACCGGAGACCAGGTGATGAGCTTGGGGTCGGTCATAAGCGCAGTGGCGTCGTCGCTGGGGGCTGGCAGGGCCTCCCGCAGGAAGGCAAAGAGAGTGTGCGCCCCCGCACCGTTCACCTCGCCCTTCTCGAAGAGCATGAAGTTGGGCTCGAACCCACCACCAGGTCGGACGTACTTGAGGGAATTCAGAATCTCTTCGTTCTTGGCGTTCTCCTGATGCCCAAACTGGTTGCACGGGAAGCCGAGCACCACCAGGCCCCGGGGTCCGAGGCGCCGCTGCAGCTCGTTCATCTGGGTGTAGTCCCGGACCGTGGAGCCTCAGAGGGACGCCACATTCTCTATAAGTAGTACCTTGCACCGCAGGGAGCCCAGGCTCACAGGCTCCCCGCCGGCCAGCGGGCGCGCCGAGAAGGCATACACCGACTGGGCCGCCGCCGCCGCTGGCCGAGCAGCACACATGGCGCAATTGTCCAAGAAGCCAGCGGAGCGCCCCGAACAAGCACTGTCTCCAGTGCATTCTTTTCACAGGGTCGGAGCCATGGGAAAACTTCCTCTTTGCCCTCTGAAGGTTCTCTGAAAATCACTGACAAGAGACAGATTAGATTAATAGGAGAAAACGCATACAAATTTATTTGAGATCATAGTTTTACGTGACAAGGGAACCTTTAGAATGAAGACCCAAAGATACAGAGCAAACTGGCCATTTTTATGCTTAGGTTCAACAAAGTGTGGACAGCTGTGCAGAAATATGATTGGACAAAAATGTTGTGATCTAAAGCTAATGGACTGAGTGTGGAAACCCAACAAGGCCTGTCTGTCTAGATTCTTCTTGGCCTCTCTGAGCAGCGTTCCTTCCTTCTGGGTGTAAGGCAAGACCCTCTCTGGAGTGGGGGTGTTATGACCTACAGTCAAACAAGGTATGTCAGGGAATTTCGTTATGGCCAGTATTTACACAGAAAGCTGGGAGGGAAAGTTAGAGTAATGTTTTTAGGTTTTATGGCTGGCTTTGGGGAACAAGGTTTCTGGTTTCTAGAACCTGCCTTGGGGAAGGATTCTAGCTTCTGTTGCTCCTCTGGGGAGAATGGGACTGAGACAGGAGGGCAGGGGAAGGTCAGAGAACAACATTTGCTTCTAAACCTGCTTCTGGAGCTTTTTTTGGGGGGTATTGTTATCCGAGTCCCCACAATAGCCTCCAGAATAGCCTTCTTAAAACTGAAATCTGTTCTTGCGCCACTGCTCTCCAGCCCAGCCTGGGCGACAGAGCGAGACTCCGTCTCAAAAAAAAAAAAAAAAAAAAAAAAACTGAAATCTTTTCATATTATTTTCCTGCTTACCACTCTTGTATGGCTGCCCATTCTCAAAGGTTTTTAGACATATTTTTGTCTTGACAGAATATAGATGAAATTCATCAGAGCAACACAATTCTATATACGTAGTCAGATTTTCATGAAACTCTAATTTTTTTTTTCAGAGAAATAAAGTTCATCACAGTGAGTCAAGATGCCTCATTCCAAGCTATGGTGTAAATTTCATAGACTAAGAAATGTGCAAGTTTCCTTTTTGCTAAGTATGACACATCACCTCTCTCTCACAAAGGGATATATGTTGTTACTAATGTAAACTCATTAGTTTTGATCAATGTTTTGTGAACTCAAAAGTATCTGAGACAGCTCTCAATCAATTTAGAAAGTTTATTTTGTGAAGGTTAAGGACATGCCCGTGACACAGCCTCAGGAGGTCCAGATTACATGTGCACAAGGTGGTCAGGGTACAGCTTGCCTTTATACATTTTAGGGAGACATAATACATCAGTCAATACATGTAAGGTTTACATTGTTTCGATCTGGAAGGGTGGGGCAACTCGAAGCAGGAGTCGGGCTTCCAGGTCATAGGTAGATTTAAACATTTTCTGATTGGCAATTGGTTGAAAGAGTTATTATCAGTAGAAAGAATTGTTTGGGTTATGATAAGTGGTTGTGGAGGCCAAGGTTTTATCATGCAGATGAAGCCTCCAGGTAGCAGGCTTCAGAGAAATAGACTGTAAATGTGTTTTTATTGGACTTAAGGTCTGTGTTGATATTAATGCTGGAGGGGTATAATGAGGCTTGTCCAACCCCCTCCTCCATCATGGCCTGAACTAGTTTTTCAGGTTAACTCTGGAATGCCCTTGGCCAAAAGGAGGGGTTCATTTAGATGGTTGAGGGGCTTTAGAATTTTATTTTTGGTTCACAGGATCATGGTTATATAAGATGTTAACATTAGGAGATGCTGGGTAAAAGGTATATGGGAACCTTCTGTACTGCCTTTGCAACTCTTCTATAAATCTAAAATAATTTCAAAATGTTACTATTAACTATACTCGAGGTTATTTATGTCTATTTTATCTGAATAATGGGAATATCATCTAATGGTGTGCTAATACCTCTTTCCCCAACTCCACATTCAGTGATGGCTAGTTGGTGGTTTCACATCAGACAATGTGGGAGTATTTACACCCTGGCAAGTGGTACGTGCAATAAACATTTATCAGCATACTGAGGCAGCCAGATGTGACTTTCTCTGCCTGAATATGAAAAGGTATCAATACATATGGGTTGCCAAAAGTGCAAGGGAGAAGAGAAGACAGCAACTGTGAAAACAAGCTCCCCTCTTTCTCTGTAAAGGCTGCAAATCTGCTTATGAGTGTTTCAGAGTCACTGGGCAACCCAGGTCACAGGCATATAGCAGAGATCACTATGCTGCTCCGGGCCCCTAGGAAGGCAGGGTGTGGAGCCTATCATTTCAGATTCTGAAAACTTTGAGGGATGCGAGAAGAGACTATGGAAGCCAAACAGGAATCTTCTCATAATTTTAGCCATGATGAGTATATTGAGAAACATTCAAAATATTTAAAATTTGGCATCAGGAGTCAGGGCCTATCAGTTCTACATAGCATCTACAAGCATAACATTTTCCATCATGGTTTTCTGTCTGTTAAAAGTCATGTTATTATTCTGTGCCAAAATCATTCAATTTAGTATATGAAGAAAAAAGGAATACTTCCGGGGACCACACACCCAACAGAGTGGGATGCTGAAAAGATTCACCATCCAGATCTTTCATAGTAGAGGTGATCAGCATTGAGGGTACAGTTTGATCTTTTTTTTTTTTTTTTTTTTTTTTTTTTTTTTCAGATAGAGTCTCGCTCTGTTGTCCAGGCTGGAGTGCAGTGGCATGATCTTGGCTCACTGAAACCTCTGCCTCCCAGGTTCAGGCGATTCTCCTGCTTCAGCCTCACGAGTAGCTGGGACTGCAGGCCCACCAAGCCTGGCTAGTTTTTGTATTATTAGTAGAGACGGGGTTTCACCATGTTGGCCAGGCTAGGCTCGAACTCCTGGCCTCAAGTGCTGGGATTACAGGTGTGAGCCACCACACCCAGTCCTACAGTTTGATCATTTTTAAGGTGCAAATTCTATTCAACTTCCCATATACATGGGGTTTCACACTGGGACGGTGAGGCAGGGGATCAGAGGTGGGGTTAAGTATTGAAATCAGCATATAAGGCAAGAATAGTTGATAATCAACACTACTCTCTAAAACTCCTTAAATCAGTGGTGCTACAGAGATAGTACACTGCTAGAGGCAATTTAGAATATTTTGTTGTGTGTTTTTGGTTAGCATAGCCAAGGGAGGGGGTACCTTAGATATTCATGAGCCACAGCTGGGGATTTTAAGCAACCGTCATTGGTCATAAAGTCCAGAGAAAAGAAGGATCCTCTCCGGTCCTTCAGCACTTCTGAATGCCCTGCTAGACCTGCATTGTGTGTGAAAACCTGCTCAAGATTATCTGAGGATAGATGCTCACAGCATTTTACAAATAAACACAAAAGTATTTTTAGCAATCTTAATAAACCCTGAATTTTTCTGGAAATCAACTACTGTATGAATCAAAAGTTTGTATTTTGCTCTGTATGGAACTTTTAGCACAAATCATTCATTGTTGTGGAAAATCCTGACACCACCAGTTCTCAATATAACACACCTGAATCTACTGGCATTTGTAACTATTGCATTCTTAGTTTTCCTACAACTATTTATTATTAAAGGGGAGTACTGTTCTGATAAGGTTGGAAATCACTGCCTTGAATTTCTGTAAATCACTGAAATCTATGCTGCTTGAAACCAATGTGTAGGGACCAAGGGAAAACTTCCCCTTTGCCCTCTGAAGGTTTGCTGAAAAATCAACTGACAAAAGGCAGATTAATAGGACAAAAGGCATACAATTTATTAACGTGCATGAGAGTCCTACAAAATAGGAGATCTCAAAGAAATGGCCAGATAATTAATTGATGCTTTTATACCATCTTGAGGTTACAGAATGAATGGGGACTTGGGAGATTGCAAAGCACGCTATGTTGGCAAAACAGGTTATAGGAGAAGGAGGAGAGGAGGCCTGGCTGGCAAAGGTGGTCTTGTTAACACAGAAAAGACCTCACAGGTAGCAGCTCTCAGAGAGAATAGATGGTAAATGTTTCTTTCAGACCTTTAAAGGTGTCGGACTGTCAGTTCATCTTTCCTAGATCCGGACAAGGCAGAGCTAAGAGAAAACCTGGCTGCATCAGTGCAGATTTTCTCTACAGATGCAAATCTCTCCCCACAAAAGACAGCTTTGCAGGGCTGCTTCTGTTTGCAGGCGCCCTGAACAGCCATCTCAAAATATGTCAAAGAAATATATTTAGGGGTGAAATATTTTGGTTTTCTTTAAAGTCAACAATGAAATTTGTTATTTTTTTCACTTTACATTCAGGTTGTTGTCGCCTTTCCCAGGGACACCAGAGGTCCTGGCTTTGCTTAAAGACAAGGCTTCTCAACCTCAGAACTAATTAACATTTGGGGAAAATGCACAGTGCATATTGCTAAACCCTCTACAGTGCACAGGACAGTACCAGCCCCCACCCCAACATGGGGTATATCCGTGGCCTCTACCCACTAGATTCGAGCAGCAACCTCCCCACAAGTTGTGACAACCAGTGTTAAAAGAAACTTTATACGAATTAAATTTAATAGAGTTTAACTGAGTAAAGAACAATTCTAAAATCAGGCAGCCCACAGAACCACAATAGGTTCAGACCTGAAGGTCTGCCACATGGTTGGATAACATTTACAGATAGAAAAAGGAAAGTGACAGAAAACGGAAGTGAGGTACAGAAACTGCTGGATTGGTTTTATAGCACCGTGTTTGCCTTATTTGAACAGGGTTTGAACAGTTGACTGCCCGTGACTGGCTGAAACTCTGTGATTGGTACAAGGGTAAGTTAGTCTGTTTACATACCAAGTTAGGTTACAGTTCAGTATGTACGGAGAAACCTTTAGGCCAAACTTGAAATACATAAGGAGGCAGATTTAGGCCAAACTTAATTTTAACACCAGAAATGTCTCTAGACATTGCCAAATGTCCCCTGGGGGGCAAAATCACCCCTAGTTGAGAACCTCTGGTTTAAGGCAACTCTACTTTGGAATTCTGTTCAGAATGAGGAGAATTTGGGTCATGTTTCTCAAAGCACGATTTGCAAATCAGATCAAAAATACAGGATTCCCCCAAGGTACGGGCCAAAAGTGCAAATCAGAATCTGGGGTGTGTCATATGGTGGGTCAGAGCCAGGCACGATGGCTCTTGCCTGTAATGCCAGCACTTTGGGAGGCCAAGGCAGGCAGATCACTTGAGGTCAGGAGTTCAAGACCAGCCTGGCCAACATGGTGAAACCCTGTATCTACTAAAAATACAAAAATTAGCCAGGCTTGGTGGTGCATGCCTGTAATCCCAGCTACTTGGGAGGCTGAGGTGGGAGAATCATTTGACCCCGGGAGGCGGAGGTTGCAGTGAGCCGACATTGTGCCACTGCACTTCAGCCTGGGTGACAGAGCGAGACTCCTTCTCAAAACAACTAAAATAAAATTAGAAAGATCCTGGCTTGATTCCAGCTCTACTTGTTAGTAACAGTGTGGCCTTAGCAATTTAACCTCACTGAACTTCATATTCCTTAGCAGCAAACTGAGAGTGAAAATGATGCTACATCTCAGGGATCTTTCGAGGATTAAATGAGATACTGTATGTGAGGAGCTCACGATAGCGTGGGTCTTATTGATCTTTGTAATGCCTTGTTATCCTAACCCAAGCTGAGCACACACAGCAGGAACAAGGTCAGAGACCCTGGGAGCAGGGACTGAGGAGCCAGCCTTGGCTTCAGATGGGCAAAGTCTATAATCAATTTTGTTTCAGAGTTAAACCATAAATTAAATTCCTTTCCAAGGTTAGTTGGCCTACGCCCAGGAATGAACGAGGACAGCTTAAAGGTTAGAAGCAAGATGGAGTTGGTTAGGTAGGTCTGATCTCTTTCACTGTCATAATTTCCTCAGTTATAATTTTTGCAAAGACATTTTCAGCATATCAAGGCTTTAGGCTAGTATTATCCAATACAGTAGCCACTAAACACATGTGGCTATTTGAATTTCAATATATATTAATTAATATTAAATAAAATTAAAAATCAGTTTTTGGATCACACTAGCTACACTTCAAGTACATAACCAAATGTGGCTAAGGACTACTATACTGGAATGCACAGATATAGAACACGTCTGTCATCATAGAAAGTTCATAGCATGCTGAATTTTAAATAACCACAGAAGCCTAGCTCAGTGTTTCTGTCATTTTTACTAGGAACACATAAACTAAAATGAAGACAAACATTAGGACTGTCTGGGGAAAAGCCACCAACGTTTTTTCACCTTAAATGGTTGTTTATTTTTTGTCACTTTGGGGAAGTTAAAAGTAAATATTCCCTGTATCTGTTTTGACTTCTCATTAAATTAATAACTAAGTCACAGAAAAGATACTCCTTTTTCCAACACTCTGTTAGTGCTCAGGCTGCCCAATCTGCTTTCAAAGAGAAATTATTTCCAAAATGCCCTACTCAGAGTTATTCAGTTTCCCTTAAATGTGGACTTCACCATATTTTTTAAAGACTATGAAATCTACCACATTAATCAGAAGGGAATTTTTGATAATAACAATTATTACATACATAGGGTAACTATATATTATATATAGGGTAACTTCCTGACGTTGCCATGGCATTTGTAAACTGTCATGGCACTGGTGGGAGTGTCTTTTAGCATGCTAATACATTATAATTAGCGTATAATGAGCAGTGAGGATGACCAGAAGTCACTTTCATTGCCGTCTTGGTTTTGGTGGGTTTTGGCCAGCTTCTTTACCACATCCTGTTTTATTAGCAGGGTCTTTATGACCTGTATCTTGTGCTGACTTCCTATCTCATCCTGTGACTTAGAATGCCTAACCTGCTGGGAATGCAGCTCAACAGGTCTTAGCCTTATTTTACCCAGCCCCTATTCAAGATGGAGTCACTCTGGTCCAAACGCCTCTGACAAGGTACAAATAAAACAAGTAGGATTAATTTACTTGACGGAACTGGAGCCTTTTGGAGCTTCCTAGAGGAATCATGTCATCCTAAAATGTCAGAGCTAAAAAAAATCAGAGAAAACACTTTATCTACATTTGTGAATAAAAAGACCAAGATTCATAGTGAAGGGACACAGCCAGTTAGTAGCAGAACCAGGACTAAGGGAGTGACAAGAATCTGTTTGACTTCAAATCGCTGGTACTTTCCTTTTCAAAACCTGGCCAGAATAGGGAATGCCCTTTTGCTGTAGGACTGACAACAGACCACCATGTCTGCAGTGTCTGTTCAGGTTCAACCATGTCATATAACATCCCCAGATAGGGGGTATCAAATTCCTGACACAGCATAAAGCTACAAACATCCCTTTTCATTCACCAGCTCCCAGAGTCTTTGAAAACCTAGAAATTGGCCACTTTTGCCCTTCAAGACCTTCTGCTACTTTGTTCAAAGGAAGCAGAAGATCAAAGGAAAGTAGCCATGTGGAGGCTCATTGTTCAGGCCTAGGCTGGCTGAGTTTCCAAGGCCTCCAGGGAATTAGGGATTGAGGACCATGTCAACTTGATTAGACCTTCAACTAGCCTTTCAGGAAATAATTCTCTCATTTGGGAGCAAAGAGAGTACCTTTCTCCCCATACTCAGTACATTATATCTGTTCCCTTCTTAATGCCTTTCTTTTTTCCTCTCTTCCATGACGCAGAAGTAACTGGATATTTATGAAGACAGCCTCCAAGACCTTTCATATTCCCCCACATTTGTGTGTATCCCTGACACATAATACTTCAATTCCCTCAGCCTTAAAATCAGGCAAGTGTGCCTACATCACAGGATTGTTGCAGGATTAAATGCAATGCTTTATTAAGTGAGTTGGAGACTCTGGGTTTATTCATTTCCTAAGGGACTTTCTGACACTAAAACACACACTAGCCAAATAGTGCTTCTCTTCCAAAATGGCAAATTACTTCAAGCAAAAGCCCTTCAGACTCAGCAGGGAAGAAGTAAAGAGTCAAATGTTACATCCACCAATACCAGGAGAATCCAGGGAAGTCTCTTTAGTTTCTTTTTCTTGTATTCCTTATATTGCTGTTAGATTATGGATGAAGGAAAAAAACTCCCAGATCCTAAAGCATGCTGACTGGACCCAAATAAATGACATTATGAGAGCCTGTATTAGTTATCTATTGCCTTCCAACAAATTACCCAAAAATATTGTGGCTCAAAATAATAAACATTTATTATCTCAGTTTCTGGGGGTCAGGAATTCAGGAGCAGCTTAGCTGGGTGGTTCTGGCACAGAGTCTCTCATGAGGTCGTAGTCAAGATGTTGGCTGGAGTGACAGTCATCTGAAGCCTTGACTGGGGTTGGTGGATCGTCTTCCAAGACGGGTTACTCACATGGTTGTTGGCAAGAGGTCTCAGTTCCTCCCCAAGTGGACCTTTTCATAGGGCTGCTTGAGTGTCTTCATGGCATGGCAGCTATGATATAAGAGAGACAGCAAAGAGGAAGTTGCCATGCTGACACCATCTAGTCTCAGAAGCCACACACCACCACTGCTGCCATATTCTATTAGTTAGAAGTGAGTCACTAAGTCTAGCCCATGCTCAAGTGGAAGAGAATGAGTCTCCACCCTTGAAAGGGAAAAGTTTCAAATGTGTTGACCTATTTTAAAGCTACCACAGGGCAGCTGTCTGGGTGGCTCCTTCATCAGTTTTCTTGCAACACTTCATATCAGCTCTCTGTACCTGCCAAACTTCAATGATTATAAATGTATGAGTCTAGTCATGTATAAAAAGCTCTGAAAAATTAGGTAGAAGAAACTTCAAATAGTTTAATAAGCTTTGCATTGCATTTTCATTCCCCTTTGGTTGGATTTTCATTGGAATGTGGATTTCTATAAACTACATATTAAAACTCCCTTTATGGGTCATTGCTAATCTAAAACTTATGGTGATTTAGACAGGGATTGGATTATAAAATAACTTTGTCCATAAGCACAAATAAAAAAGTGTAAATGAGATCTGAGGAACAGTGTTTACATACTTTAATGAGGTCATTGCTTTCAGGCACTTTATGGGCAAACTTTCCATTTAATTAAATCACAGAGGCCAGATTTAAGCTGACACTTTAAAATGTTCATTAAAAAAATTATCCTTTTTGTACCCTGGACCCAAGGGAAAGATCATGAAGTATGTGCTATATGCACAACTATGTCCTGAGAACAATGAATCAGCTGTTTTTTAAGGCTATTTTTCTTTGTTTGCATTTTCCCCTAAATTCTATTGTAAAAAATTTTAAGCATGCAGAAAAATTGAAAGAATAACACAATAAACACTTGGTTATCCTCCACCTAGATTTGATCATTTTGACATTTTGCCAAATTTGCTAATTCTCTCTCTCTGCACACACACACACACACACACACACACACACACACACACACACAGAGAGAGACATAGATGCACAAAGCCTATAAAAGCATCGCCTTTTTGGAGGTGCTGACCCATTTGAAAGTAAGTTGCAAATAATACCATCACTCTTCACCCGTAAATATATCTCCCAAGGAAAGGGGACATTCTCCTATATAACCTTAATACCGTTGTCATATTTAAGAAGATTAATAATAATCCCATTACATGGCCTTCGCATGCAAATTTTCCAGCTGACAAGTCAAAAAGACGCAGAAGCCAGCTTAAGGGTGTTCCTACTGATGAAATTAGGAAAAATTTGAGCATCAGAATGAATGACAATAAAGGAGTATAGCCCATTAAATGAAAGAAGGATCTGTGTGTCCATATTTATATAAATAAATGGTGGGGAGGCAAGGGGAAAAAACATTGTCCTTGTAGTAGAAAACCACCTATTAAATAGAAGGAACAATGGGATAAGAAAAATTACGGTCATAATAAAAATCGATTTAGGCAAGAATCATCAATGGATACTAAAATTAGTGGGTGGAAGCTTGAGGAGTATATTGTATTAGTTTCCTACTACTGCTGTGACAACTTACCACAAATTTTGTGGCTAAAACAATGCAGATTTATTATCTCACAATTCTGTAGGTTAGAAGTCCAATGCAAGTCTCCCAAGGCTAACGCCACCATGTTAGCAGGGCTGCATTCCTTTCTGAAGCTCTAGGGAAGAAGCCCTTTCCTTGCCATTTCCAACATCTAGAGGTATATATATAGCGTATTTTTATTTTCTCTATTTTTAATGCTTTGACATCTTGGGGGCTTGGTGACCCTGGAGCTCTTCCAAGGGCTAGCTAATCCCTAGAGATAGTAGAGGATTTGACTGCAAGTGTGCCTTTCTAATGCAAACCAACTAATCCAAAGCCCACACCCACAACTGCCTCCTCTATTGAGCTCTGACACCCTGGGCCACCACTACCCTGCCTTAATCACCCAGGCTAGGTGCCAGACACTAGAGACAGCCCTTACACCTCAGAGTCCACTGAAATTATTCAAACTAGCTGATCTAAACCTGCTTACCCTGCCTCACCCATTTCTTCCAATGGAAACCACAATAAAGGCTCTTGCCCACATTTTCACCTTGCACTCTCTGCCTCCTGACCAACTGATAATAGTTTGGATGTGTGTCCCTGCCCAAGTCTCATATTGAAATGTAATACTCAGTGTTGGAGTTGGGGCCTGGTGGGAGGTGATTGGATCATGGGGGCAGTTTTCTCATTAATGGCTTGGCACCATCCCCCTTGGTATTGTCCTCATGATAGTGAGTTCTTGTTAGGTGTGGGTGTTTAAAAGTGTGTAGCACCTCCTCCCTCACTCTCTTGCTCCTGCTCTGGCCATGTGACATGCCTGCTCCCCCTTTCCATCATGATTGTAAGTTTCCTGAGGCCTCCCCAGAAGCTCAGCAGATACAGCATCATGCTTCCTATAACAGCCTGCAAAACCATGAACTAATTAAACCTCTTTTCTTTACAAATTACCCGGCCTGAGGTATTTCTTTTTTTCTTCTTCTTCTTTTTTCTTTTTTTTTTTTTTGAGATGGAGTTTTGCTCTTTCACCCAGGCTGGAGTGCAGTGGCATGATCTCGGCTGATTGCAACCTCCATCTTCTGGTTTCAAGCGATTCTCCAGCCTCAGCCTCCCGAGTAGCTGGGATTACAGGTCCACGCCACTACCACCTGGCTAATTTTTGTATTTTTAGTAGAGACGGGGTTTCACCATGTTGGCCAGGCTCATCTTGAACTCCTGACCTTGTGATCCAACTGCCTCAGCCTCCCAAAGTGCTGGGATTACAGGGCGTGAGCCACCACGCCCAGCCCCTGAGGTATTTCTTTATAGCAGTGTGAGGACGAACTAAAACACCAAGCCCAGTGCTTCCTCATGTAGCCCCCATAATTTGGCATGTCCCTACTCTTGGGATCTGCGAGTATAACAAAGTATTTTTTCAATGGAAATAAACGCCTGGTCTGTCGGCCTCACTGTATCTGAATAATAATAAGATCCACATTTTAAAACAAAGGCCACCCATGTTTCTTAGCTCATGATCCCCTTCTTCTGTCTTCACAGCCAGCAAATGATGGGTCAAGTCCTTCTCACTTTGCATAATTCTAATTTTTGCTTCTGTCATTATAACTCCTTCTCTGATTCTGATTCATTTGCCTGCCTCTGGAACTTTTAAGGACCCTTGTGATTACCTTGGGCCCACCAGCATAATCTTCCTCTCAGCTGATTAGCAACCTTAATTCTGTCTGTAACTTTTATTCAACCTTTTGCCATGTAACATATTCACAGTTTACAGGATTAGACATGGCCATCTTTGGGAGGCCATTCTGCCTAGCACCAGGAGTAAAAGGATATTTACAGAGTCTCAAAGTTTTTCCTCACAAGATGTTCATTAATTACAAAGGGGAAAATAGTAAGTAGCTTTATAGTAGAGAAATTTGTCATACAAGGCCTTAATCAAGTGATCGAATTCAGCATCACCAGAAATGGGACAAACTGACATAAATGTGATCCACAATATGATGTACTGAGTACACATGATTTCTGTGCTATTCCTGCCAAAAACATGCATAACCTGAGTCTAATCATGGGAAAATAGACAAACTCAAACTAAAGAACATTATACAGAGTAACTAATCTGTATTACAAATGTCAATGTTGTGAAAGGCTAAGAAGGACTAAGAAAGTATTTAGGATTAAATGAGATTATAGACATAAGACAACTAAATGCTTTATAAGATCTGAAATTTTCTTTTGCTGTAAAGGACATTATTGGGACAATTAGCAAAATTTGAAAAAGGTCTATAGATTAGATAACAGTATAGTGTCCATGGAAATTGCCAGATTTTAATGATTATTAGTGTGGTTATGTAAGAGAATGTCCTTATTTCTTAGAAATTATCACTGAAGGAAAGAAGCATCATGCCTGCAGTGGACTTCAAAATGGTTCAGGAAAAAATTAAATATATAAATGTACATATTTTGTGTGTGTGTGTGTGCATGTACATATGTGTGTGAGAGAGAGAAGGAAAAAGTAAATGTAGTAAAATGTTAACACTTGGAAATTATGAGTGGAGTTTATATGTTCATTCTTTGTATTATTCTTGCAACTTTTCTGTAAGTAAAATTATATCAGAATAAAAGCTTTTTGGTTTTTTTTTTGTTTTTCGTTTTTGAGACAGGGTCTCACTCTGTTGCCCAGACTGGAGTGAAGTGGTATGAACACGGCTCACAGCAACCTCTGCCTCCTAGGCTCAAGCGATTCTCCTGCCTCAGCCTCCCGAGTAGCTGGGATTACAGGTCCACACCCCTACTACCCAGCTAATTTTTGTATTTTTAGTAGAGACGGGGTTTCACCATGTTGGCTAGGCTGGTCTCCAACTCCTGACCTCAAATGATCCACCTGCCTCAGCCTCCCAAAGTGCCGGGATTACAGGCGTGAGCCGCCGCACCCGGCCTTATTTTTTTTAATTACCTAATATTTTGGATTTCATAGCTATTTTTTCAACTAGAATCTAATCATGGTTCATAGAAACATTTGGACATTATGTTCCTTCAGTTTCAATCCATAGCACTCCTCCTCACTTTTCCTTTCATGACATCAACTATCTAAAGAGTCCATTTCAACTGCTTTGTTCTACATAATGGATTTATCTGCATGTTTCCTTGTGGTGTCATTTAACTTATGCCTGGTAGTGTGAGCTATCAGTTTTCTTACTCCAATGTCACTACTGAAAGGTCTTCTTACCATGGCAGACCAAGGTCTGCCAAACCTATAAATACTTATTAGCAAGAAGGCACACAAAACCATCACATTGTTCCATAGTACAGGGTTTGCCCACTCTCCCCCAGAACACACCGACTAGCACCTTATGTGAGAGGCTTACTCTGAAGTGAATACAAAGATATTTGGGCAGCAGGACTGGATAGACTCAAGTGATAGTCAGGGGCTGTTGAGAAGAGGAGAGCCATGGGACGTTGTATCTCAAGACCTCAAGAACTACACATATTGTTTTAAACTGTTTGGCTGAGTGCAGTGGCTCATGCCTGCAATCCCAGCACTTTGGAAGGCTGAGACAGGCAGATCACTTCAGGTCAGGAGTTGGAGACGAGCCTGGCCAACATGGTGAAACCCCATTTCTACTAAAAATACCAAAAAAAAAAAAAAAAAAATTAACCAAGTGTGGTGGCAGGCGCCTTTAGTCCCAGCTACTCGGGAGGCTGAGGTGGGAGAATCGCTTGAACCAGGAGGCAGAGGTTGCAGTAAGAGGATATCACGCCACTGCACTCCAGCCTGGGCAACAGGGAGAGACTCCATCTCAAAAAAAAAATAATAAAAATTAAAAAAATAAAAGTAAAATGTTGGGTTCGGTTGTGGTGGCTCATGCCTGTAATCCCAGCACTTTGGGAGGTCGAGGCGGGTGGATCACCTGAGATCAGGAGTTTGAGATCAGCCTGGCCAACATGGCAAAACCCCATCTCTACTAAAAATACAAAAATTAGCCAGGCAGTACTGGTGCGTGCCTGTAATCCCAGCTACTCGGGAGGCTGAGGCACGAGAATCACTTGAACCTGGGAGGCGGAGGTTGCAGTGAGCCAAGATCACGCCACTGCACTCCAGCCTGGGCGACAGAGCAAGACTCCGTCTCAAAAAAAAAATTAAAATAAACTCTTAGACATAAAGAGTGGCGCATTTTGAACATTATCCCCAACCAACTGCTTTTCATGACCACCACTCATTTTGCCAATAAAATATTCTTCACATCCCTTCGTGTCAACTAGCAAAATACTAGATATAGGCTTAGTAAGGATTCTTCAAGCTCTAAATAATCAACTCCAGCGGTATTGAGTCCTGAATAGGCCCCTTCATTGACTACTGCTGGAGTGGATACATGCACGCTCACTTATGTACACTTATCCACTGTATACACATGTAAACACGTATACACTTCACCTCATTCTGAAAACAATCACCCCCCAGGGACTCATTTTGCCCAACAAACACACACTTGTTTGCTACAGGTCATTAAAAATAGCAAAGGCTGCTGGAAGTGTTTTTATGCTCACATTCCCTATGACTAAGAAAATGCCCACCTGAATCTAATCCTGAGAAAACTCAGACAAACCTGAATCAAGAGGCATTCAATAAAAAACTGCCCTATAATCTTCAAAAGTGTCCAATCCATGGAATTCAGAGAATGACTGAGGAACTGTTTCAGCTGAGGGAGATGGAAAAGATATGACAGCCAAGTTCCGCATGTGACTCTGCACTGATCCTTTTGTGATAAATGGCGTTACTGGGATAGTCGTCAAAACTTAGTTGGCATCTGTAGATTGCAGGGTCTTAATGTATCAATGCTAATTTCCTGACTTGGATGGCTGTATTGTGGTTGTGTAGGAAAATGTTCTTTTTTATAGGATTCAGGAGGGTTGGAGCATCAGATTGGGAACTGGTTCAGGGAAAAACAATTCTGTATTCTTCTTTCAACCCTTCTGTAAGTTTGTGTTTGTTTCAAAATGAAATAATTTATTTTTTTAAAAGATAATGCCAATTGTGCATATTGAAGAGTGTTAGATAAGTGGGTGGCTTGAGAGGTGCTAGTAGAAATTGAAGGAGTGTCTGAGGATCTTTCTCTCACAAATCCACCCTTGGCCTTGCCCCTGGTTGTTCTCTGGGAATCCCTCAGATACTTCACTTCTTCTCCATGAAATCTTACATCTTCATCTCAAAGCAAAGGGATTCAAGATGATTGTGGGGATGACGTGGTGATTTCCACAGACTCCTCAGTTATCCTGTAGTATGGCCATAAGCCTCCCCACTCAAAGACAAATGTGCATGGCTCTTCTTTGTGTTCCTATGGAACTTGATTAGTTCACCCTCAATTAAGTCATGCTTACCTAAACATTCTAGTTGGCATGCTGTTTTCAAATGTAAGTTTATTATTATTCAAATATGGTGAGGCCAACAGATCCGATTGCCATTGAAAAGATGGTTGGTTACACTTCCAAAGAAGATGGAGACGCCATGCCAGTCAGGACCACGTGGAGTGTAAGAGTTCAATAAAAGAAGTGGTTGAGGGTATGGGCTTTGGATTGGTTGGTTTGTATCTAGAAAGACACACTTGCAGGTGAGCCCTTCACTATCTCTAGGAATTGACTAGCCCTGTGAGGGGCTGTCCCTCCAGGGTCGGCAAGGCTCAAAAACGTGAAAGCATCAGAAACACAAGACTAATACACAAACCCAGAGTAGATAGCTACCGTTGCTCTTCCAAAATGACTTACACATGTCTGGTGGCCTGAGGCCTCAGTTCTTCTCCACATGAACTTCTCCACAGGTCTTAAAATTTTCCCTTTCTGAACAAGAAAGACATAAATGGAAATGGCCAAGCAAGATGGAAGACCCTGAGTGAAGTGCATACTGAGGTTTCAGCAACTCTTGTCACACCCTGCAGGTTTTGATAGACTAGAAAAATGACAAGACTCCAAGTCCTTGAAGAGGAGGAAAAGTGTGAAGAAAACAAAAAAGGGAGATTTATGTCTGCTTCACCATTTTGCCCAAGACTTGACCTGTCATACACTGAAGGTACTTGAATGTTTATAATCATAAATTGCTTATTTTAAAATTAAAACTCTAATCTTTCTATATCATTAGACAGGCTTTTTCCCCAATCAGTCTGGATTGTCAAGACTTCTCTATATAAGCATCATGCTTTGTGATGAAGGATGCACTCATTCAATCAGTATTTATTGAGCACTCACCATGTGCCAGGCACTGTAATCAGGGTTGGGGAAAAAATGGTGAAAAAACAAATATGGTGTCCTCCTCTATAAAGCTTACTTGACACTCTAACAGGGAAGCCAGAAAATCAAGTAACATGAAATAGATGTGAGACTACAACAGTGATAAATGCTGCAAGTTACAGTAAGGAAACGAGTCAGGGAAGAGGTAGTTTTTCAGAAGGAAGTTAGAAGGAGGGTAAATATCAGACTGTTACTGGTGGAGGGTGTCCAGGTTCTTGGCGTTTTGAACAAAGAATTGGACAAAACACACAAAGCAAGGAAAGAATGAAGCAACAAAAGCAGAGATTTCTTGAAAAGCAGAGCACACTCCACAGGGTGGGAGCAGCTTGAGCAAGCAGCTCAAGAGCCCAGTTACAGAATTTTCTGGGGTTTAAATACCCTCTAGAGGTTTCCATTGGTTGTTTAGTATACGCCCTATGTAAATGAAGAAACTAAAGTGAAGTTACAAAGTTATTTACTCGGTGTACATCATATGTAAATGAAGAGGATAAAGTAAAGTTACGAAGTCATTGTATTAGTTCATTTTCACACTGCTGATAAAGGCATACCCAAAACTGGGAAGAAAAAGAGGTTTAAATGGACTTACAGTTCCACATGGCTGGGAAGGCCTCAGAATCATGACGGGAGGCAAAAGGCACTTCTTACATAGCGGCGGCAAGAGAAAAATGGGGAAGAAGCAAAAGCAGAAACCCCTGATAAACCCATGAATCTCCTGAAACTTATTCACTATCCCAAGAATAGCATGGAAAAGACGAGCCCCCATGATTCAATTACCTTTCCCTGGGTCCCTCTCACAACACATGGGAATTCTGGAAGATACAACTCAAGTTGAGATTTGGGTGGGGACCCAGCCAAACCATATCAGTCATTTACTCATTGTATGCCCTATGTAAATGAAGAGGCTATTTCCTGTCACAGCTGAAGTGTTTCCATTTGATTTAGTTCTAGGAAGTCCTTAGGTTCTCTGCCTTCAGGCCCTATTCTCCTGCCTCAGTGGTAGTCCCCAAAATAATATAGCTAATTACTATGCTGAAGCTACCCAGGATAACAACATGTTTTGAGGTGGGAAGGAAGACTGTGAGTAAGGTGCAAAAGTCTTCCATCAATGTTGGGGAGTTACCAGGAGGTCAGTAGGAGAGACAGAAGGTGGGACAGGGATGAAATGGCATGAGCTGGAAAGAGGTTTTTTGTTTTTAATAAGAGTTCTAATAATACCATAGAGAATGTTCAGGAAGAGGCAATGAAGAATAAGGGAAAATACTAATCGTGAAAAAATGAATGCAAACTTTATAATTTTCTAAAATGCCCATGGGCCTCCCCATGCCCCCACTGGAAAGTTAAGGCAATGTAAAACTGATCTATGAAAGGATTTGGAGTTGTTCCACAGAGCATTCAGAAGCTTTTTATTAATCATTTATTCCCCATCTCTGCCCTTCCTTCCTATGACCTCATGCTTTGTCTATTCTCCCAATAAGCATGTTTCTGAAATATATGTTTTCCATTCCAGGCTGACATTCATAATTCTAGTGCCTTCTAGTGCACAATTTGTTTCCCATTTCAGTCCACTTCTTTCAGCAAATAGATTTGCTTTCAGAAGAGCAGCCTTAAGGAACAGCTAGCATAATATATGGTCCATCAACTAGAGAGTGTATTTCTCAACAGCCCACTCATATTTCATAAATCACAGAGCAATTATTACAACTGATTTACTCAGAAAATTTCATTTTATTTTCAATTTAATTATTTTGATTGATAAAAGTAAGATGGTTAATGGCTCCTTTTCTTGGAACTCTTAAAACACAAGTATATAATATCTAGCTTTCTAAACTAGTGAAATTCATGGTACATTGCATTTGTGTTGTGAAAATCATCATTTTTGAAGCTAAATTAGCCTCTCTACCCACTGAGAGAAGGTGCTCAACTTGAAGAGCCTGTGGCAGAAATCTCAGCTAAAATAAATTTAGCCCCTCACTCTCTTTCCCAGTGAATCTGATATCTCTATCCAATACAACGTCTGCAATTTAAAACATGTACACAAAGATAATTGGAATTTTCAAAGAAGCAAGTAACTTATCAATGACTGGAGATGCCTGTTTAAATGTTCTCTCACCTTTATATCTTGCAGGAAGCTCTTGTTTGACCTTCTGAAAAAAATCTTGAAGTATCTATGAGAACAGCTATTATATGAAGCAGAGATTATAATAGATATGGAGTTTAAGTTGCAGAAAAAGAAGACTGAATTATTAAATGGGACATCAGAAAATAAAAGTCTTTCCTTTTATCTAGTTTGGAGGACCTAAAAAAATCAATAGGCAGAAATTTACATAATCCTTATTAGATTCCACGAGCTACAAATGTACTATTAGTACAGATTGATATGAAAGAAAGATTAGTTATGCTTATGGATAGGTAAGAAGAGACACTCTTGCAAAATGGTAGATTGAAACACCCACTGAATCTTCCTGGAAGTGTGTTGAAATCAGTTAAAGGGTTAATGACACAAATATGAGGATGATTTTGTAAGGGTATGATGAAGGGGGCAAACAGCCTAATCAAAAGAAAAAAGAAATAGCACATCATGCAAGGTTATCGACACTGTTCTCAGTAACCTCTTGCATCCCTGCTGGAAAGAAACTAGTAGGGTTAAGTCAAGAATTTCCTATTGTGAAAGGAAGAAGTGACCATTGATTTGTGCCTTGTCACTCAGGTTAACTGCCAAAGAACTTTGCTCATCCAGGGGTGCATAAATGAATGCCATGTGCTACCAAAAAAAAAAGTAATAAAGGATTAAATAAGGCCATGGAAAAATGAAGCAAACTGTCACCTGGCAGTGTCTCAAGCCTGCAAACTTGATATCCCCAACTGCATTCCAAAAGTAGGGTTCAGAGACCACAAGTGCTACAGGCATGGATGAGTTAATATTTATATCTAGGAAGAAAGGATTAGCATATGCCTTCCAAAGAATGTTTCAGCAAATGCATGCAGCTGCCTGGGCATTCGCAGTTGATTGAAATGACTCAGGGGTCAGGTTTTGGTGGCCAGGCCTGCTCCACCTTTACTGGAATGCATGAGTCATGTGTTAGTCGGCTGGGTGAGAAGACTACACTGGCTTTGCGCATTCTTATATTTCTCACAATCCAGACAAAGCAACCACATGACCAGATTCCAACAAGACTAACAGTCAGATAAGGAGGGAAAGTCATTGAAATAAACGAGAGAAGAGAAAACCTAAATGTGTTTTAAACTTCTAAAGCGAGAACTGAACAATAAACAGTTTTCTACAACAGGGCTTCTATAAGACCAGTAACTTCTATGCTCCCCAAAAAGTATTTATGAAACTATTTGAGTGGTTTTACATCTTGATTATTCTTCCACTTAAATATTGTCTTTAAATGACCTGCCTGGGTGCATGTCCAGAATGGAAATAGCAAAAGTTAGATGTCTTACAGTCCAAGCTCTACAAGTCCTAGCTATGTGACCATGTTGGTTATGATTAGACCAACTGCATTTGGTCTAATCCTAACCTCTGGGTGTTTTAATAAACTCTGATAGCCTCCAGGGATTATTAAAAAGTCCAGAGGTGAGGCCAGGCATGGTGGCTCACACCTGTAATCCCAGGACTTTGGAAGGCTGAGGCAGGCGGATCACTTGAGGTCAAGAGTTCGAGACCAGCCTGGCCAACATGGTGAAACCCCGCCTCTACTAAAAATACAAAAAAAAATTATCCTGGCATGGTGGCACACACCTGTAATCCCAGCTACTCGGGAGGCTGAGGCAGGAGAATTGCTTGAACCTTGGAGGCAGAGGTTGCAGTGAGCCAAGATCATGCCACTGCACTGTAGCCTCCTGGGTGACAGAGTGAGACTCAGTCTCCAAAAAAAAAAAAAAAAAGGGCCAGAGGTGGTCAGTCCAGGCCGATGTAGTACCTTAACAAAGTCACTGGGCAGTCAGAGTCCTTCTATCTGCTTCACCATTCTCATACATACATGGTTTGCATCCTCAGTGTCACAATATGGCTACTCTGGCTGCAGCCATCACATCTACATTCCAGGGAACAGGAAGGTAAAAGGGGTAAGGCAAGAAGAGGCACGTCCTATTCCTTTCTAAGGAGTCTTTCCGGAAGTGACACCCAATAGCTTTCATATTGGACAGAATTCAGTTATAATGCCATGCTTAGCTGGGAAATATACTCTTTTAGTTAGGCTGCCACCCTGAAAAATATCAGGACTCATTGACTAAAGATGTAAGGAAAAGTGAATATTAGGTAGGCAACAAGCAGTCTCAGCCAGAGTGACATTAAAGTCACCACCATCTTTGAGTCCATTGTCTGTTCATTTATAAAATGGATGTAAAATTTATAAAATGGATAGGCAATGCCTACTTGACATGATTGGTGAGGTGAAAAACACTATACAAATATTAGCTGATAACAGCCCCCAAAACCTAGCTTAGAATAATAGGTATCCAAGTGTACATTCAGTATTACCCCACTTTCTGGAAAAATCAAGTCCCTAGTCAGATAAGAGTTCAGAGACTCAGTTTTGCTTCACTACCTCATCCTAGTCCTACTACCTGGACATCTTCTCTTTTCCTTTCTTACAAATAACTTGAAGAAATAGCTCTCTTTCTTCATTCTGTCTTCCTAGTTCTCTAGTGTCTCCATGACTGGGCCCAGACTTGCTCTTCCCACTCTATATTGCCATCAACCTTTAAAACTTGAGGATCTCTCGTTTTTTATACAAATCCTTTCAGTGTTTTTTAAAAACTCACAAGTCTTCATAGGATCATTACTTTCTCATCTCACCTGTATCTTTTGCATTTCCTGGGAAACTGGACACAAGAACTTAATAGACATGTGCAATGTAATGTGTATTACTATGTAGGGGCAATTGCATTGGTCCCTACTTAGAAATGTGGTAATGACAACTAGTGTGCTTTATTCACCACCATTATTTCCACCTGGTGTTTATTTATTTATTTAGTTTAGAGACGAGGTCTCACTATGTTGGCCAGGTTGGTCTTGAACTCCTGGCCTCAAGCAGCCCTCCTGCCTCAGCCTCCCAAAGTGCTGGGATTACAGGTGTGAGCCACCAAGCCTGGCCACCCACCTGGTGTTCTAATAAGTTTCAATCTGCATATTTTAAAAGACATTTCGCATTTAAATTCTTTAATACTCTGTAAGATACACTCTTCAGGTCTCTCATGTAGTGCTAAGAATAAGTTAACATTTTACAGATGTGAAAATTTTAGTTTCAGTGATTAAGTGAATTGTTTCTGAATTTAAGTAGCTCATCCAAGACCTTCCACGCTATAAGCAGTAGTGCTAAGATCTATATCCACCATCCGTTTCCAAGCTCAGGCACTTTTTCACCAGAATAAAAATGCCCAATTTCTACTTAAGTCAATGCAAACCACACTGCTCTATTTTATGGTGCATTGAGAAAATTTAAGGTTTAAAACTTAGAAGTCTAAAATATGCTTCTATCATGATAAACTATACTATTAGCACTCATGATTTCAAACACTAAAATAAAAGGTGGTGGTGAGATAAAAATCCATGCTAGTCATTTATTTATAAAGCTTTATCCTACAGTAGTCTGTTCGACAGACAGGTCAATCAATCTTGACTATAATGAAGAATCTTGCTTGTCTTAAGAATAGGTATGTAGCCCAGACCAGGTTTTCCTAAAAAATTATCTTCCTGTAGGTAGCTTTATAAGAATAGAGACATTTTAAATTTTAGAAGATTTTGGAATGTCTGGTGAAATTTCAAGCCACTAAGGTTAAAGTAATTGTTTTATAAAACAATGCCTTTGCAAATTGGCATCTAAAATTGGTATATTGATGAGGGAAGGAAGGTTCTAATCTAATGCAGAGGCTGCTGAAGAGTCGGCATACAGAACTGACTTCAAGAATGCCTGAAGCTAAATGTATTGATTGAAAAGGTCAGCATATTAGCAGAAGCATCCATTAACCCAAAATAGTGAGCGAAACCAAGGGGAAAATGGAAAGCTCTTAAACAATGAAATGGCTTTTGCCTTCCTGAAATGACACCTGACTATCTATGTCTCCATCCCTGGAGCGTTTTCACCAGAGCCCTAGGATTCTGAACTAGGGTGGCTATCACTGCATGAAAAATGAGAAGTCCATTATGGAACACAGGTAAAATGTGGAAGGCTTGTTGAAGACTCACTAGCATGAAAAAATAAATGAATCACTTGGTCGTAACAATAATGAACAGCTAAGAACATAATAAACTACAGAAAGTGACCACCAAGCAAAGTTAATATTATACATAAAATGCATAGTGTCTTACATTTTAACCAAACATAGCCGGATGTATGACAGGATGCAAGAACCACCTGTGGGAAACAATTCATAGCCACACAATCCTTGCCAGGATAATTACATTGAACTGTCAAAGGCCATGGTTTTGGCCTTCCTTGGGTCTTTGTGATTTTATACAGACATAAGAGACTGGCAAGACACTACTGGAACCAAACCATAGTTTTGCTGATTAAAGGCTAAAACAGGCTGCCCTCCATTGCTTCTACCTCACTGAGGCCCCAAAGACCTTGATCTCTAGGATCCAATGTTTACTGGGATTTACCACTGATGTAGCCAAACATATGGAATTTGGAATCATGGCTTGCCTATTGGTCTAGATGGGAAGATAAGCCGGATGCTGTGGCTCATGCCTGTAATCCCAGCACTTTGAGAGGCTGAGAAGGGTGGATCACTTGAGGTCAGGAGTTTGAGACCAGGCTGGCCAACATGACGAAACCCCGTCTCTACTAAAAATACAAAAATTAGCCAGGTGTGCTGGTGCATGCCTGTAATCCCAGCTACTTGGGAGGCTGAGGCAGGAGAATCACTTGAACCTGGGAGGCAGAGGTTGCAGTGAGCTGAGATTGCACCACTGCACTCCAGCCTGGGTGATAGAGTGAGACTTCATCTCAAATAAATAAACAAATTAATTAATTAACAAGAAGATAAGAGGTTTCTAAGAGATAACATGAGAAGTCCCCTATTATGATACCTAACAAAGAGTAGCTGATGCCCAGTAAATATTAAATATTCCCTTTCTTCTTTTCTCTTCCTCAGCTCAGAGAGGAAGAAAGGACCGTGTGAGAGAAGAAGGGAACAGCCTTTCATCCATAGGAGAAGTTCGTCTATGACAAAGCCACTAGCTCCATGTGGCCGCTGAGCACTCAAAATGTGGCCAGTCTGAATTGAGATATGTTGTTAGTATAAAGTCCACATCGGCTTTTTGAGCACTTTGTATGAGAAAAAAGAATACCAAATATCTCCTTAATAATTGTTACATTGATTATATGTTGAACTGATAACATTATGGATATATTGGATTAAATAAAATAAATTATTAAAATCAAATAAAAAATAAAATCAATTTCACCTGTTTCTTTTTACCTTTTTAATATGGGTCCTAGGAAATTTAAAATGGCACACATGGCTCACATTTGCACATCTACCTTTAGTGGACAAAGTTGAGGCAGGAGTTAGGTTTTTGCAAGAACTCAAAAGGAAGGCAGAACTAAGTGAGTCCACTGTGAGAGGCAGGGAGGCCCTCTGATATATGAGATGAATGCCTTCAGGTTTGACCCAAACACACAGGAATCAACTCCGTAGAATCAAAGAAAAATCTCTCTGCCTCTTGAGGCATGTAGGATGAGGGATGGACTGGCAAGGGGAAATGGCTACAGGCCAACTCAATGGAACTGCCTTTCCACACATCTTGCTTCTCTCCTTTAGATCCTTGTGTCTTTGGGTGTCACCTTCTTTCACTAGAGAGCCACAAAAACCCAGGCTCACGCCACTCACATTAAAGGAATTGAGACAGCCAAGTAAAAGGGGCTCCCCAGAGAACCTCCAGCCAGCCTTTGCACTGGGAGAAGTGCGCACTAGGGTAGAGCCTTGGAAAGTTCAAGCCATTTGCAGCGGGGAGGAGCCTGGCCTCTCCTGTTCCTGGGTGGTAAGCTGGGATTCAATCAGTGAAGCAGGAAACCTGCTAGCAGGACCCTCACTTTGCTGAGAGTCCCTGTTTCCCGTTTTTTACCTTTCTGCCGAATAAATTCCATTTTTTCCTCCCTTCTATGCGTCTGCGAGCCTAATCTTTCCTGGTCTGTGACAAGAACCCAGATTTTCCTGCAACAGAATGAGCCAATCAGACATTGATTTATCACCACTCCCAGGGCCTTCTCGTCTTTTGTTTCCCCTTCTTGGATTACTCTGTCCCCTGCTCCCCCTAAATCTGTTTCTCTCAGATGAAATCCAAGGACATATGCTCAGGTGTCCCAAAGTTCCCTATGGGAATTATTAAATTTGGTTCATTCTAAATTCATCATAAAAATATAATAACAGGAGGGAGGAGCCAAGATGGTCAAATAGGAACAGTTCCGGTCTGCAGCTCCCAGCAAGACTAACACAGAAGGCAGGTGATTTCTGAATTTCCAACTGAGATACCCAGTTCATCTCATTGAGACTGGTTAGGCAGTGGATCCAATCCACAGAGGGCAAGCAGAAGCAGGGTGGGGCATCTCTTTACCCAGGAAGTGCAAGGAGCCAGGGACCTCCCTACCCAAGCCAAGGAAAGCCATGAGGGACTGTGCTACCCAGCTGATACCCACGGTTTTTGCAGTCTGCAGATCAGGAGATTCCCTTGCGTTCCTACACTACCAGGGCCCTGGGTTTCAAGCACAAAACTGGGCAGCTGTTTGGGCAGACACGGAGCTAGCTGCAGAAGTATTTTTTCATACCCTAGTGGCGCCCAGAACCCCAGAGAGACAGAACCGTTCACTCTCCTGGAAAGTGGGCTGAAGCCAGGGAGCCAAGTGGTCTAGCGCAGCAGGTCCCACTCCCATGGAAGCCAGCAAGCTAAGAACCACCGGCTTGAAATTCTTGCTGCCAGCACAGCAGTCTGAAGTTGGCCTGGGACAATTGAGCTTGGTAGGGGGAGGGGCGTCCTCCATTACTGAGGCTTTAGTAGGAGGTTTTCCCCTGACAGTGCTAAGGAGGCTGTGAGGTCTGGGATGGGCGCAGCAAAGTGGCTGTGGCCAGACTGCTTCTCTAGATTCCTCCTCACTGAGCAGGGCATCTCTGAAGGGAAAGTAACAGCCCCAGTCAGGGGCTTACAGACAAAACCCCCATCTCCCTCGGACAGAGCACCTGGGGGAAGGGGCGGCTGTGGGTGCAGCTTCAGCAGATTTAATCGTTCCTGCCTGCTGGCTCTGAAGAGAGCAGCTGATCCTGACAAGAGGCATTCTGCCAGCACAGTGCACCAGCTCTGCTAAGGGACAGACTTCCTCCTTAAGTGGGCCCCTGGCCCCCGGGCCTCCTGACTGGGAGAAACCTCCCAACAGGAGTCAACAGACATCTACAGGAGAGCTCCGGCTGGCATCAGGCCAGTGCCGCTCTGGGAGGGAGCTTCCAGAGGAAGGAGCAGGCAGCAATCTTTGCTGTTCTGCAGCCTCCACTGGTGATACCCAGGCGAACAAGGTCTGGAGTGGACCTCCAGCAAACTGCAGCAGACCTGCAGAAGAGGGGCCTGTTAGGAGAAAAACTAACAAACAGAAAGCAACAACATCAATATAAAGGACCCCCCACACAAAAACCCCATCCAAAGTTCATCAGCCTCAAAGATCAAAGGTAGATAAATCTACAAAGATGAGGAAAAACAAGTGCAAAAATGCTGAAAATTCCAAACACCAGAAGGCCTCTTCTCCTGCAAATGATCGCAACTCCTCTCTAGCAAGGGCACAAAACTGGACAGAGAATGAGACCGAAGAATTGACAGAAGTAGGCTTCAGAAGCTGGGTAATAACAAACTCCTCTGAGCTAAAGGAGCATGTTCTAACCCAATGCAAGGAAGCTATGAACCTTCAAAAAAGGCTACAGGAACTGCTAACTAGAATAACCAATTTAGACAGGAACATAAATGACCTGATAGAGCTAAAAAACACAGCACGAGAACTTCATGAAGCATACACAAGTATCAATAGCTGAATCAATCAAGCCAAAGAAAGGATATCAGAGACTGAAGATCAACTTACTGAAATAAGGTGTGAAGACGAGATTAGAGAAAAAATAAAGAAAAGGAATGAACAAAGCCTCCAAGAAACCCTGCAAGCCAGAAGAGAGTGGGGGCCAATATTCAACATTCTTAAAGAAAAGAATTTTCAACCCAGAATTTCATATCCAGCCAAACTAAACTTCATAGGTGAAGGAGAAATAAAATCCTTTCCAGACAAGCAAATGCTGGGGGATTTTGTCACCACCAGGCCTGCCTTACAAGAGCTCCTGAAGAAAGCACTAAATATGGAAAGGAAAAACTGGTACCAGCCACTGCAAAAACACACCAAAATATAAAGACCAATGACACTATGAAGAAACTACAACAACTAATATGTAAAATAACCAGCTGGCATCATGATGACAGGATCAAATTCACACATAACAATATTAACCTTAAATGCAAATGTGCTAAATGTCCCAATTAAAAGACACAGATGGCAAACTGGATAGAGTCAAGACCCACTGGTGTGCTGTATTCAGGAGACCCATCTAACATGCAAAGACACACATAGGCTCAAAATAAAGGGATGGAGAAATATTTACCAAGCAAATGGAAGGCAAAAAAAGAGCAGGGGTTGCAATCCTAGTCTCTGATAAAACAGACTTTAAACCAAGAAAGGTCAAAAGACACAAAGAAGGCCATTACATAATGGTAAAGGGATCAATGCAACAAGAAGAGCTAAGTATCCTAAATATATATGCACCCAACACAGGAGCACCCAGATTCATAAAGCAACTTTGTAGAGACCTACAAAAAGACTTAGACTTCCACACAATAATAGTAGGAGATTTTAACACCCCACTATCAATATTAGATAGATCAACAAGGCAGAAAATTAACAAGGATATACAGGACTTGAACTCAGCTCTGGACCAAGCGGACCTAATAGACATCTACAGAATTCTCCACCCCAAATCAATAGAATATACATTCTTCTCAGTGCCACATAGCACGTATTCTAAAATTGGCCATATAATTGGAAGTAATACACTCCTCAGCAAATGCAAAAGAATGGAAATCATTACAAACAGTCTCTCAGACCACAGTATAATCAAATTAGAACTCAGGATTAAGAAACTCGCTCAAAACCACAGAACTACATGGAAACTGAACAACCTGTTCCTGAATGACTACTGGGTAAATAATGAAATTCAGGCAGAAATAAACAAGTTCTTTGAAACCAATGAGAACAAAGAGACAACGTACCAGAATCTCTGGAACACATCTAAAGCAGTGTTAAGAGGGAAATTTATAGCACTAAATGCCCACAAGAGAAAGCTAGAAAGATCTAAAATAGACACCCTAACATCACAATTAAAAGAACTAGAGAAGCAACTGCAAACAAATTCAAAAGGTAGCAGAAGACAAGAAATAACTAAGATCAGAGCAGAACTGAAGGAGGTAGAGACACAAAAAACTGTTCAAAAAAATCAATGAATCGAGGAGCTGGTTTTTTGGAAAGATTAACAAAATAGATGGACCACTAGCTAGACCAGTAAAGAAGAAAAGAGAAGAATCAAATAGACACAATAAAAAATGATAAAGGGAATATCACCACTGATACCACAGAAATACAAACCACCATCAGAGAATACTACAAACACCTCTACGCAAGTAAACTAGAAAATCTAGAAGAAATGGACAAATTCCTGGACACACACACCCTCCCAAGACTAAACCAGGAAGAAGTCGAATCCCTGAATAGACCAATAACAAGTTCTGAGATTGAGGCAGTAATTAATAGCCTACCAACCAAAAAAAGCCCAGGACCAGAAGGATTCATGGCCGAATTCTACCAGAGGTACAAAGAGGAGCTGGTACCATTCCTTCTGAAACTATTCCAAGCAATAGAAAAAGAGGGACTTCTCCCTAACTCATTTTATGAGGTCAGCATCATCCTGATACAAAACCTGGAAGAGACACAACAAAAAAAGAAAATTTCAGGCCAGTATCCCTGATGAACATTGATGTGAAAATCCTCAATAAAATACTGGCAAACCGAATCCAGCAGCACATCAAAGAGCTTATCTACCATGATCAAGTCGGCTTCATCCCAGGGATGCAAGGCTGGTTCAACATACGCAAATCAATAAATGCAATCCATCACATAAACAGAACCAATGACAAAAACCACGATTATCTCAATAGATGCAGAAAAGGCCTTCAATAAAATTCAACATCCCTTTATACTAAAAACTCTCAATAAACTAGGTATTGATGGAACATATCTCAAAATAATAAGAGCTATTTATGACAAACCCATAGCCAATATCATACTGAATGGGCAAAAGCTGGAAGCATTTTCTTTGAAAACCAGCGCAAGACGAGGATGCCCTCTCTCACCACTCCTATTCAACATAGTATTGGAAGTTCTGGCCAGGGCAATCAGGCAAGAGAAAGAAATAAAAGTGTTCAAATTGGAAGAAAGGAAGTCAAATTATCTCTGTTTGCAGACGACATGATTGTATATTTAGAAAACCCCATCGTCTCAGCCCCAAAACTCCTTCAGCTGATACAAGGAACTTAAATTTATAGGAAAAAAACAAACAACCCCATCAAAAAGTGGGTGAAGGATATGAACAGGCACTTCTCAAAAGAAGACATTTATGTGGCCAATAAACATATGAAAAAAAGCTCATCATCACTGATTACTAGAGAAATGTAAATCAAAACCACAATTAGATACCATCTTATGCCAGTTAAAATGACCATTATTAAAAAGTCAGGAAACAACAGATGCTGGAGAGGCTGTGGAGAAATAGGAACGCTTTTACACTGTCGGTGGGAGTGTAAATTAGTTCAACCATTGTGGAAGACAGTGTGGCGATACCTTAAGGATCTAGAACCAGAAATACCATTTGACCCAGCAATCCCATTACTGGGTATATACCCAAAGGATTATAAGTCATTCTACTATAAAGACACATGCACATGTAAGTTTATTGCAGCACTATTTAGAATAGCAAAGACTTGGAACCAACCCAAATGCCCATCAATGATAGACTGGACAAAGAAAATGTGGCACATATACACCATGGAATACTATGCAGCCATAAAAAAGGATGAGTTCATGTCCTTTGCAGGGACATGGATGAAGCTGAAAGCCATCATTCTCAGCAAACTAACACAAGAACAGAAAACCAAACACCGCATGTTCTCACTCATAAGTAGGAGTTGAACAATGAGAACACATGGACACAGGGAGGGGAATATTGGACACAGGGAGGGGAATATCACACACTGGGACCTTTTGGGGGGTGGGGAGAAAGGGGGGGAAGAGCATTAGCACAAATACCTAATGCATTTGGGGCTTAAAACCTAGATGACAGGTTGATAGGTGCAGCAAACCACCATGGCACATGTATACCTATGTAACAAACCTGCATGTTCTGCACATGTATCCCAGAACTTAAAGTAAAAAAAAAAAAAAAAAAAAAAAAAGAATTGCAAAAAAAAAATGCATCTAGGATAGTACACTATTTTTTTCCTATTTTCTATTTATTTGTAATGCTTAACTAAAAATTCTTTCTAAAATGTTAAAAAAATATATAACAACAGAGCATTTTCTAGATTACCTGGTCAACGATCATACAACCACATACTGCTATTCAAATTCAAGGTGCACATTTGCATTTCTCTTAATCATTGCATTGGTGCCAAGTGATCTGCCTGTGTGACATGTTTGACTTTTAATACAGGATTTCTCAAACTTGGGTTAGCACAAACATCTGCAGACATAACGTTGGAATCTACAAGTCCTCAAAATTCCACTTTTCCTCATTCGTCCTCTCAGCCCTTGAGTGTTTTGTACTAGTTTATGGGATCTCTGCAGAAAAGTTTGAATGTCTAATTAATGCCTATCAACCTAATCTCTCATATAAAGATGTTCATTTTGTTGACTGACAGACACAGTGTCTTCAGTGGGTTTTTCCTTTCATTCACTTTACTACATTTAGTATGTAATAAATTTTGAAAGATCATCATGGCCAGGTTTAAAGAATTGGTCATAGGGGTTGGGAATGCCACAAAAGAAGGACTAGTGAAACAGTGAGGGGTATATTGTTCTCATCTGCTCAGGAGGAAAAGGACAGAGTGAGAGGGATTGATGACGTCCTGTCATATTGATAACTGACATAGAAAGTGCTGTGATGGGAGAAAGAATATAGATTTTGGGGTCACATGGACAGCCATGTGACTTGGCAAAATACTTGGCTTTTTCAAGTCTCAATTTCTTCATCTAAATAATGCAAATAAAAATACTAATACATCTTCAGCAAATGGCACTACACAAAGTGGATGTACATATTTTTAAAAATAAGAACTTTGACTCCTACCTCACGTCACATGCAAAAAGTTAATTCAAGATGAATCATAGACCTAAATATAAATGCTAAAATTATAAAGCTTCTAAAATAAAGGCAGGAGAATATCTTTGTAACCATGCAGGAAGTAAAGATCTCTTAGAGAGGGCACAGAAAGCTTTAGCCATGAGACGAAAAATTGATAAATCAGACTTTATCAAAGTTAAAAACTGCTTTTCAACAGACCCTATTAAGAGAATAAAAAGACAAGCCACATAGTGGGTGAAATATTTGCAACATATAAAACTGGAAAAGACTTACATTTTAAAAATATAAAGAATTCAGCCGGGCGAGGTGGCTCACGCCTGTAATCCCAGCACTTTGGGATGCCGAGGCAGGCGGGCAGATCACAAGGTCAGGAGTTCGAGACCAGCCTGGCCAACATGGTGAAACCCCATCTCTACTAAAACTACAAAAATTAGCTGAGCTTGGTGGTGGGTGCCTGTAATCCCAGCTACTCGGGAGGCTGAGACAGGAGAATCGCTTAAACCTGGGAGGCAGAGGTTGCAGTGAGCCGAGATCATGCCATTGCACTCCAGCCTGGGCAACAAGAGCAAAATTCCGCCTCAAAAAAATATGTACATATAAAGAATTCATATAATTTAATAATTAAAGGTAGCTTAATAAAAAATGGGGGAGACTTGGACAGACATTCATGAAAGTACCATGACTAATAAACGTATCTTTTAAAAAGATGCTCAAAAGCTTTAAGCATCAGGGAAAATGCAAATTAAAACCACAATGAGATGGCACTACACACCCACTAAGATGACTAAAATTAAAGACTCAGACATTATCAACTGTTAGCAAGGATGTGGAACAAATGGAACTCTCATATTGCTGGAAGGAGTTTAAAATGATACAACCATTTTGTGGAACCCTTTGGCAGTTTCTTAAATGGTTAAACATATACCTACCCTATGACCCAGTAATTCCATCTATAGGTATTTATGCAAGATAAATGAGAGCATATGTGCACATAAGTCTTGTAGAAAAATATCCGTAGCAGCTTTATTTATAATAGCTAAAAATGAGAAATAGCTCAAATGTCCATCAAGAGAATGGATAAACAAACTGTGGTATATTCTTACAATGGCTTACTATTAAGCAATAAAAAAAGAACAAATTATTGATACATGTAACAACATGGACAAATTTAAAAACATGCTCAGCAAAAAAAAAAAAGACAAACACAAAAGAATTTATATTCTGTGATTCTGAAACCACCTTTGCAAAAATTGTAACAGTGAGAAAATCAGGACTGAAAAAGATCCGACCTAACCAACTCCATCTTGCTTCTAACCTCCAAGCTGTTCTTGTTCGTTCCTGGACATAGGCCGAACTAACTTGGGAGGAACTTAGTTTATAGTTTAACTTTGAAATAAAGATGTTAACAACCCTATTCTTGCCTGGGAACCAGACTGCCTTTGCAGGACTAACAAATTAGCCACAAGATTAGAAAATATGGTTTAGGAGTCATGCAGCCAGAGGCCACAAGATTCGAAACCTCCCCAGTTGCTCCTAGGGATAACATCACTACTCTAAAACCTAAGATTAATACTTGAGATATTTTTCAGGCCCTGCACTCGATGGATCAGCTGGCACCACCCAGATCAATAAACTGGCTCATCTGGTCTTGTGGCCTCCATCCAAGTACCAACTCAGTGCAAGAAGACAGCTTCGACCCCGTATGATTTAATCTCCAACCTGACCAATCAGCACTCCCTACTCCCTGGCCCCCTACCCACCAAATTATCCTCAAAAAAACCCAGTCTCCAAATTTTCAGGAAGACTGATTTGAGTAATAATAAAACTCTGGTCTCCCGTTCAGCCGGCTCTGCGTGAATTAAACTCTATTGTAATTCCCTTGTCTTGATAAATCGGCTCTATCTGGGCAGTGGGCAAAATGAACCCGTTGGGCGGTTACAATTGGATTTTTATGAAGCTCTAAAGCAGATAAAGCTAATCTGTGGTAATAGAATCAGATAAGTGGTTGCTTGGGGTTGGGGGTAGGGAGGTGTGGCTGTTACTAACCTGAAGTGGCAGGGGAGATGCTTTCTGGAGTGATTAGAAATGTTCTATATCTTGATGAGGCAGGTTACATGCATGTGTGCATTTGTGAAACTTATGAAAGTAAACATTAAAATCAGTATATTTCATTGTAAGTAAATTACGTCTCAGTAAAATGATCTCTTTAGCAACTCAGGTACTCTATTCAAGTAAAACTGAGTTATCTCGGTAAGGATGAATGACAGTTATCTCCCAGAGATGAATGATGCTAATGGCCTGGAGGTTTTCCTTTTGAGGTGTTGATGAAGTGGAGGACGATTCAACTGGGGCAGCAGCGGGTCGGGGGAGTTGGAGGGGGGAAGGGGGTTTCCCTCGTGTGGTAATGAAAAGCAAGCATTATTTTCCTTCAATTTTACAACATCATTTTCATGTCACATTTTCTAAACCAGCTATGTGTGCCGTTGGTTTGGCAAACGGGGTGAATAAAGTATTTCTAAGAACAAAATGAAAGGCCTGTGGTCTGTTTAGAAGTAGCCAATTGAATACTTCAAGAGGCAGAGTGAGGGTTAAGCTAAATTGCTAAACTGTGCATACTTAATTTCCGTCTTAAAAATAACACTCTCGGCCAGGCACGGTGGCTCACGCCTGTAATCCCAGCAGTTTGGGAGGTCCAGGTGGGTGGATCATGAGGTCAGGAGTTCGAGACCAGCCTGGCCAAGATGGTGAAACCGCATCTCTACTAAAAATACAAAAAAATTAGCCAGGCATGGTGATGGGCACCTGTAATCCCAGCTACTTGGGAGGCTGAGGCAGAGAATTGCTTGAACCCAGGAGGCGGAGGTTGCAGTGAGCCGAGATCACGCCACTGCTCTCCAGCCTGGGCGACAGAGCTAGACTCCGTCTCAAAATTATAATAATAATAATAATAATAATAATAAACCACTCTCAAAGAAGTCTTAACAGTTGCTATGGACAGATTTGCATATTCAAAATCCCATAATGATTCCTGAAATATTGATGATTTTATATTGATATATTCTTTTTTAAAAGACTCCAAATAATTAAAATGTTTTTAGAGCAGCTGGGAACACAAAGTGAAAATAACAATTGTTTGGCTTATGGTCTTGTGATCTTGCAAAAGATCATTGAATCCTATTGAAATCATTTCATGGGTTTGATTGCGTGTTTGACAAAGTGGCAAGGTCAATGCCAATTCCAATGAACCATCTTTCTTTTATTATTGTTTTCCATATGTCCATCTAGTAAAAGTTATCCAAGGGTACAATTTAAGGTTGAATTATAGCAGGAGTTGGTAAACTTTTTCTGTAAGGGTCAGACAGTTAATATTTTAGGATTTGTGGGCCATATGGTCCCTGTCACAACTATTCAACTCTGCCATTGTGGCATGAAAAAGCACCATAGAAAATATGTAAACAAATGGGCAGTGTGCTCCAGTAAAACTTTGTTTATGGACACTGAAATTAAATTTCATATAATCTAATGTCATCGAATTTTTAAAAATCATTTAATAATGTTAAAACGATTCTTAGCTTGAGGGCAATACATAACGAAGTGACAGGCTGGATTTGGCCAAAGAGTTGAGTAGTTTGCTAATCCCTGGATTAGAGCACTGATATTTTCTAGCAGAGTTATTTTTACTAAGTCATTTAACTTTTCTGAGATTTCAGTTTCTTTATCTATGCAACTGGAATTGCCAGATATACCTTAGAAGGTTGCTGAACATTAAATGAATATAATATGGAGGAGTTCTGTGTATTCTAGAAAGCACTTTAAAAATGAAATATTCGTGTTTTAAAGTATTATTATTAAATAACATTTATTGTCATAGTTAATACATCAGATATTCTTATACAGGTGATCAGCCATATTACTGTTACCGGAAAGGGGGTCTGAATCCAGACCCCAAGAGAGGGTTCTTGGATCTCGCACGAGAAAGAATTCAGGGCGAGTCCATGGTGCAAAGTAAAAGCAAGTTTATTAAGAAAGTAAAGGAATAAAAAGAATGGCTACTCCATAGGCAGAGCAGCCTCGAGGGCTGCTGTTTGCCCATTGTTATGGTTATTTTTTGATTACATGCTAAACAAGGGGTGGATTATTCATGCCTCCCCTTTTAAGATCATATAGGGTAACGTCCTGATGTTGCCATGGCATTTGTAAACTGTCATGGCGCTGGTGGGAGTGTAGGACAACCAGGGATCACTCTCATCACCATCTTGGTTTTTGTGCGTTTTGGCCGGCTTCTTTCCTGCAACCTGTTTTATCAGCAAGGTCCTATGACCTGTATGTTGTGCTGACCTCCAGTCTCATCCTGTAACTTAAAATGCCTTATTAGCTTTATTTTACCCAGCCCCTATCCAAGATGGAGTTGCTCTGGTTTAAACACCTCTGACATTACCATGATCATATCATCTAGGAAATGTAATTACAAACACTGGCAATAGATAGCCTGAGGCAAAACTACCCTAAATCAAATGAAATTTCATTTTTAACACAAGAAAGTGTGCACTATAACTCTCCATGTTCCTGTTTTCTCTCTCTCAGCTGGGTGGACAAGATCATTTAGGGAATTGAGGTCATTTAGAGAAATCAGACAAAAGTGAAGGATAGGTAAAAATTGAGTTGAATTGCTGTTTAAAATCTCTTGCTCATCAAGTTAAGCTGCAGTTTCCCTCCCCCGCTTAACCCCCTAGATCCTTTAGGAGAGAAAGGCCATCTGTTCTGAATGCTTCAGACATTTACCTGCCTCAAGGCAGGACAAGATGATCTCTTAATGCTTTTCTTCTGTCAGTGGTAGACATGACTATTATTAACAAAAATTAAATTGCTGACCACTGATGCGATCACTGCAAGTACTGCTGCTTCTTATATAATTTCTGTTTGGGGAATATCCAAACAGAAGAGTAAACTCGTTCAAAACCTTTCATGTCTTAATTTTGAAAGAGCTAGTTTTGCAAGTCATTAGAATGTATATAGATGGAAACTTCCCAGCCTCCTTCGTTATCTTCTGTTCTTCTTAGTCCCCTGGCTAGAAAAAGCCAATACAAACCAAGTAGAGGATGAAAAATGAATTCAATCTAGAGGCTCTTCAATTTACCCAGGAGCATGTAGAGCCTTGAGCACTGTAATTTAATACTATTATGTTTGGAGGATTGCTTTTAATGAAGTAATTATTTCACACTGAATGAATAAGTAACTTTAAAATCATGTGACTCCACATTTGATATCACTACTAACCTTTTTCCTTGCCTTCCCTTTGTTTCCTTCTGTGTTCAGCTGTAGAGCCACTTAAGCCAGAATCAATAGAATGGTTTTGTGATTGAAGACGGGTCTACAGGCCTCAGTCTCCCACAATCTAGGCTGAAAAGTTTATGAAAGCCTCCAGAGAGGGTCTCTACTATTATTTGCTGCACTATGTTGGGAAAAAAACACAAAAATGAGATCTTGATTACAAATGGTTTTTTTGATTACAAATTGTTTTTTGTGGCTTTTAACAAGCCTTGCTGATATTATTTCACAATTAGACAGTGGAATAAAGCTTTTTAAATGACGTCAATTCACGCTAGCCTTAGAGCTAGCATTTTTACATATTGGCTGTAAAGTAAAGAGTTTTGATTATGCACATTTCTACTTCAGCTAACGCCTTTTATGACAAGTTAATTAATCCTACAAGTCGTAACTAGTTAGTACAGGACTGATAAGAACTGTGGGAAACACATTAAGGACATATATTTGAGATAACAGTAGATAAGGGGGTGAAACGTTTCAGACATGTGGCCGACACAGGTTTGACCGTTAATATAAACAATATCTTGTTTATTTCAGTCCCTCCCAACCTACCCTCAGACTTCCCAGGGGATCCGCTGAGCTGAAAAAAGGTACAGAAAAACTCTCAAAAAGTGTTAAAGTCTACTTCCATTTACCTGAATTAAAAATATATGAAAAGAAGCCAGACACAAAAGGTAGCGTATTGATTGCCAAGGGATGGGCGGAAGATTTTGGGGGGAAATGGGAAGTGACTGCTAGTAGATACTGGGTTTCTTCTGGAGTTGATGAAAGTGTCCTAAAATTGATTGGGATGACAGTTGCATAACTCTGTGACCACAATAAAAGTATATTGAATTGTACCTTGTAAGTGGGTGAACTGTAGGCTACGTGAATTATATGCCAATGAGACTGTTATTAACAAACAAACAGACTGGGAGCATGAGTTGGAGTTACACTGCAGAAGACCTTGACTGCCATCGGAAGGCATTTGGATGTTTGGATGCTACCATTGTCATTGGTAGCCATTATATTTTCAAGGAGTAGGGTCACACAATCAGGTTCCTGTTTTAGAAAAACCACTGTCTTAGCGATATGGAGGGTGGGTGGAAGCAAGGAAAACTTGAAGCGGAGAAAGCAAGGGAACCTGCCAGATTTGTAGCAGAGATTTTTTCTGAAGGTATTAGTTCATGTTTTGTTCTCATGGTATGTTTTCTTCCATTTTGGGAAGGTTAACCCTCATCATGTCATTAGTCCAGAGAGGTATGTGTTGTGAGGCCAAGGGCAAAATTTGTTTGGAGACAGCTTTCCAAACAGCTACCCCTCCCCATCAATACTTGCTACTGTTGTCTATTTTAATACAGCCATCCAAGCGGGTGTGATGTGTTATCTCACTGTGGTTTTTATTTGCATTTCCCTAATGATTAATGATGCTAAGCATCTTTTCGTGTACTTTCTGGCCATTTTATATCTTCACCCTCCATCTTGCGGAAGTGGAAGTTTTACAGTTAGAAATTGATTCCTTTGGTCTCTCAAAGTGAAAATACCTAAGCCCAGTGGTTCTCAAGCTAGGCAATTTTTATATCCCAAGAAGGTTTCTGGATAAAATAAAGACACTCAGTTCAATTTAGATTTCAAATAAACAGTAACTAATTACTTAGTGTATCTATGTTCCAAATATTGCATGAGACATACATAGATTTATAAATTATTAGTTGTTACCGGCATCTAGTGAGCAGAGACCAGGTATGCTGCTAAACATCCTACAGTGAACAGGGAAGTTCCTCACAACAAAGAATGATTCTGCCCAAAGTGTCAGTAGTCATCAACCATTTAATGAGAATAAACTCTGATATTGTTTGGATATTGTTCTCTCCAAATCTCATGTTGAAATGTGATCCTCAATGTTGGAGGTGGGGTCTAGTGGGAGGTGGGGCTCGTGGGGGTGGATCTCTAATGAATGGCTTGGTGCCCTTCCCCCCGTAATGAGTTCAGCAGGATCTGGTTGTTAAAAAGAGACTACAACCTTCCTCTCTTCCCTTGCTCCCTCTCGCCATGTGATAGCTTGTTCCCTCTTCATGTTCCGCCATGATTGTAAGCTCCCTGAGGCCCTCACCAGAAGCAGATGTTGGTATCATGCTTCGTGTACACCCTGCGGAACCATAAGCCAATTAAACTTCTTTTTTTTATATACATTACCCAGTCTCAGGTATTCCTTTATAGCAATGCAAAACAGACTAATACAGACTCTATGAGGTTAATAGACTCTGCTAGGAGAAAGAGCTAATGGCCTCAGGGAAGGGAAAGCCTCTGGGTGAGAGTCAATTTAGTTGACGTCTTTTCTTTTCTTTTTTCTTTTCTTTCTGTCTCTTTCCTCCTTCCTTTCTTTTCTTTTCTTTTTCTTTTTCTTTTTTTTTTTTTTTTTTTGGAGAAAGGGTTTCACTCCATCACCCAGGCTGGAGTGAAGTGGCACCATCATAGCTCACTGCAGCCTCAACCTCCTGGGCTCAAGTGATCCTCCCAACCTAGCCTCCTGAGTAGCTGGGACTACAGGGGCAGGCCACCATGCCTGGCTAATTTTTTTTTGTTCTTCTTCTTCTTTTTGTAGAGATGGGGTCTCGCTACTTTGCCCAGACTGGTCTCAAACTCCTGGCCTCAAGAGATCTTCCCACTTTGGCTTCCCAAAATGCTGGGAAGGCAGGCATGAGCCATCTCCAGCCTCAACTTCTTTTTTTAACGATGCCTAAGGCCTATCCTGGCTGCTCTCTTGGAGAGTCATATATATGATAATAGCTCTCTGCAGGCAGAGAGGAGCCCACTTGTCCATCTGAGAAGTTACCACCAAACAGGCAGAGCCCCAAACAGTACCAGGTTCTCCATCCGTCTGCTGTTGCTGCAAACCAAAGCAGATCCTCTCGTGCTGGAGCAGAAAAAGACCCGAGGCCCCAGACCCCAACTCCTGAGACACAGGGATAAGGAGGCCCCCAGGCAACTCTGTTGGTGTGAAGTGGATCTGTTTGGTTTGAGCAGCAAATGAGCTGAATGACTATTGCTTCCTCTTCCTAGTCAGAACTGCTGACTCTGTACATTTTGCCATTGTCTCTCCATTTTCTCCTCTCTTACCCAAAACACATATTATAGTGGGTATCAAGCTAGCATTTATCAAATTCCTTTGTGTGTAGATCATTTCCAGTAATCTCATGAATGCCAGCTTCCAGTCCCTCATGGAGCAGAGATGAGAAGTTCGTAAACTTGATTAACTCCAAACCCCAGCACCCAGGTTCCTAGAATATTCCTTCTTAAAAACTGCCTCTGCTTTTTTTTTTTTCCTGCTTTGTACTTTATCTGTCCCCATGGTAAATTGGTTCATGTGAGAAATTCTGTGTGCAGGAAAATGGGCAATTCAATAATTCATAGGGCTTCCCCCTAACCATATGAAGTTGCCTTAAGCAGTTCTGTCAGAAATAATTTAACTGCTCAGAGCCATGTTCCAACTCCAAAGATGTCAGACAATCGTTTCCTTCCAGTGACGAAAACAAGCCCAAGGCTCATTCATCTAGAAAGTACTCCCTACGACTCATGCTATATACATTCTTTTGAGTGATTTGGAGACTTCTTGCACCAGTGTTTGTGGCCATGTTTCATTAGAATGTTCGGCTTTTGTTTGGCTTTTGTTTCAGGAACCTATCCCAGAAAGCTGAGAGGATACCCAGAATGAGAGCTGTGTTTTAAAAATGAGTATCAGGTCAAATTGCTATGGAGGAATTGAAGAATGATTGGTGCTATGCATGTAATTTTTTCAAGAAGATAATTTATGATTTCTGTTTTTTAACCTTGCTTTTTTCCCTTCAATTCGACATTTTGTGCCTGGCTGCCTTAGAGGTCTCGTGTTTCTGTGGTATATTTGGACTACATATTGAGGGCCCAGAGGCAAAAGTTAGAAATAAATAACGTCTGTACTATGCAGAAAAGAAGCAGAGCTCTGCTCCAAAGAACTGCTCATAAGCAGGTAATTATTTCTTCTAGAGAATGGAACAATCTATGAGGCATGAAAGTTGTTACATAAATCAACTATCTCTGCTCCCACTGGCTTTCTCTTCGTGACAGCCACACCCACTCGGTGCAAAAGTGGTGCTGAATCAACTTCTATGGAGACCGAATTACAGAGTCAATGTATGCACTGTGGGATCATGGGCCTGTGCGATCACTTACCTTGGCAATAACTTTCTACTCCACGTGAACTCTTCAGCCCCCGTATCACTGTTTTAGGACTTGCCAAAACTAAGAATAACTCCTCGTTTGTCTTGACGGCACCTTCCTTTTATTCTAAAATGATGAAAATTACCGGACGCCAGGAGAGAAGAGTGTTGTCCCTTTATCCTCCATCACATGAAGCGTCACTAACATGAAGTGCTCTTGCCTCTGCCAAAAGGTGGTATTCTTCCGTGTGTAAAGAGTCCTGGGCGGTGGAGGAGATGACTCCCTCCGCACGGGGCCTGATGATAGGGTTTGCCCACTCCCAAGAGTAAGGCTATGGCCCCAACCTGACACACAGTGCCAAAGGCCAGGGGTGGTGCATCTCCTTTCACTACTCCTGCGTCCATAGGTAGAGAGATTATTTTGGTCTCGATGTTTACTTTTCCACAGACCACAGGGCGATAACTACACAAATCAATTTTAGTCCACATCAGAATCTACCCTGCCAGGAAAGAAGTTCTTGACATTATCTGTCACAGTAATCGAAGCATGTCCGTGTTTCCTCATTTTAATTTGAATATCGCCTCCACGTTGCAATGTTTCCAACTCGGTCCCTGAGCATGAAACCACCTGCTTGGGTTTTAATTTATGTTATATCCTTTTAGTTCACCCCCTTCCACATGCAGCGAGCAGAAATAAAAATCTGGCCACCTGCAAAGGATTCTTCCTTAACTGTACATAAACCTGCCACCTTTATATAATAAAAGAAAAAATGATTGTGCACTTTAAAAGCCTGGTAAAGACAAGAGGAGCTCAGAGAAGGGGCTCACCCCCAGCCCGCAGTCCCTACTCACTTGCAGTCCCCATCCATCTCCCAAAGAGATGCTATCTGCCAGTGAGCAGGGCGAATTGAAAATGGGATAATGACAAGACTGTGGGAGGAGGCGATTTCCAAGATCAGTTCCACTGAGACAGACTGTGAAACCCCTGGGGCTATTATGACCTCTAACTAAAAATGGTGGCAATGGATCTCTCTGGGCCTGTATGTTCTTGTGCATAAGGCACCTTACTCAACACAATAGACAATGATCAGACAAGGACAGTGTGTGCATTTCAAGAAGCCTACTTCCAACACTGCCTCAACAATCTGTTATTTTTAGAACATGACTAGGAATTGTCTTCAACTGCCCAATTTCTGTTTCCTTCTAATCAGCCTCTTGAAAGACAGTACTGTATTCCTAAAGCAGAATGTTAGAAGCACACAGAATACTAGGAGGGACAACACAGTCATTGTTAGGAGGGCTTAAAAGAAAGAAAGGGCTGGGGATAGTCTTTGGGCCTGTTTTGGCAGGTACCACGGTTCAGGAGTCAGGTAGGTAAAAGTTTACCAGTTGGAGAACTTTCTGTTGTGCTGAGGGCCATCACGCAAGGTCTGAAAACGGAACAAGCCTGGGAGTAGATGTGCTGTGTATACAGCAATGTGGAAATCACAGCCACAGGCGAAGCATTTGCCTGTAATGACCATACTTGCTCAGTTTGCCATAACATACATAACATATGTAAATTAGCACTTAATACACACCCATTAGGGACAAAGATCTGAAGTTGTGTGGACTCTAAATGGAAAAGGTACTATGATTGAAAAATAATAGTCTAGGGCTTGGCACGGTGCCTCACGCCTGTAATCCCAGCACTTTGGGAGACCCAGGCGGGTGGATCACCTGAGGTCAGGAGTTTGAGACCAGCCTGGCCAACATAGCGAAACCCCGCCTCTACTAAAAAATATAAAAAATTAGCTGGGCATGGTGGTGGGCGCCTGTAATCCCAGCTACTCGGGAGGCTGAGGCATGAGAGTTGCTTGAACCCAGGAGGCGGAGGTTGCAGTGAGCCAAGATTGTGCCACTGCACTGCAGCCTGGGTGGCCTGGGTGACAGAGACTCCATCTCAAAAAAAAGAAAAGAAAAGAAAAGAAAAATAATAGTCTAGCCAAGAGGGCAAGATTAAAAGAAATAAGCACACACAGTCATAATACACATCAACAAGTATATGATCATTTACTGTTGGCAAGGTCCTTGGGACTCAACCTACAAAGACCCACTTATTGAAGAAGAAACTGGGACATTTTTGGTTCTCCATTACTTTACCTTGCAAGGTTTAATGGGATAGCCTAAGAAGAAAACCCAATAATCCTAGAAATCACAAGGACTGTTGAGAGAAAAGGGCATTTCAAAATGGCCACATTCTCTCTGGTATGTTTCCTAATTTGTTTCCAGATTTATTTTTATTTCTAAAGGTTAATTAGAAATTACATGTGCATTTCAAATTTGCTTAGAATGTAAGCTGCCAAAGGGCAAGGATGCTTTCATTTTCTCTTTCTGTAACTCTTCCTTGTATGAGGACTTATCTCCGTATCTAGCAAATAATAAGGGTTATCAAGCAAAAGACAGTACACTGCAAGGAAATGCATTCTAGAGACTCATACTTCTGCACTTACTTTATTTTTTAAAATTCTGTACTCTCAGGCCCTAAAATCCCATCCACTGAAATGGGATCTAGAAGCATTGAGGCAGTGTCCCGTACTGGGTGCAAAGACTTGGTGGGAGGCCCTGAGAAGCTAGGGAAACTCAAGGACTGTGAGTGTCTGCCAGTGGGCAGAGAATGCTGCAAGATCAGAGCATCAAAACCAACTGAGCATGTTTCTTGTAGAATCTAAAATAGTCAAACTCTTAGAAGTAGAATGTAGAATGATGGTTGCTAAGGTGGGGGGAAAGTGGGGAGATGTTGGTCAAAGGCGATAAAAATTCAGTTATACAAGTTGAATAAGTGCTCAGAGTCTAATATACAGTAGAGTGACTACTGTGCTGTCACAATACTGTGTTATATACTTGAAATTTGCTAAGAGGGTAGATATCAAGTGTACTCAGCGAAAGAAAGAAAGAAAGAGAAAAGAGAGAGAGAGGGAGGGAGGGAGGAAGGAAGGAAGGAAGGAAATGAAAAGAAAGAGAAAGAGAGGAAGGAAGGAAGGGAGGGAGGGAGGAAGGGAGAGAGAGAGAGAGAAAGAAAAAGAAAGAAGAAAGAAAGAGAGAGAGAGGGAGGGAGGGAGGGAGGGAGGCAGGGAAGGAGAGAGGGAAAGAAGGAAAAAAAGAAAATATGTGAGGTGATAGATAAGTGAATTCGGTTGATTGCAATGATCATTTCACAATGTCTACATGTATCAAAACATCAAGTTGTGTATCTTAAATATATATAATCCCTATTTATGAACTATACCTCAATAAAGCTCCCCAAAACATCAAGTGAGCACATTTCTTTACAATTTTCTCCAAAACCAGCCCTGCCTTAAGTCAGAAGCTCTGATATGACACTTTGCCAAACCAACACCAGGGATTCACCAGCCTCCATTCCCTCTTCTACACACTGGCAGGGCACACTGAACACCGATAGCTAATAGGCCACTCTCTCTGTCACCCTTGAGAATTTCTCTCTCACCAGTTGGGCTGTATGCTTACTTCAAATCAGTTGTAGAATTTGTTCTCACAGCTGTGTAGGCCAGTTGTACTTGTCACTTGAATTCTGTAATTTTATTAAAACTGGTAGTTTGTGATGGTATGGTGGTTTTCAGGCAGGCAGGCCAAGCAGCAGGAAGCACACATCATGCACCACACAGAGGAGGACTTGGAAACAGAGGCAAAATGTATGGCAGCCCAGCCTAACAGCTCAGAAGAGACACGGTCTAACTACTCACTCATCTCTGCAGCGGATTCCAACAGTCCCCAGGAAAGCTGAAGACAACACTACAAGGGCATCTTCTAAGGCCTCCATGTCTCCACCACTCTTTCCAGCATCTTTAAAAACCACCAGGAGGGAGCTCTGTCACATACCCTGGAACAAGGATTTGAGAATCAGATTGAGGGCCCCAAATTTAAAACTGCATGAAGTCATATGGTTGATTGGAACTTGTTAAAAAAAAAAAAAGTAACTTTTCTTTGACTTACAAATTACAGAAGAACATTGGTGTTTATAAAAATGACTAATTAATTCATAGCTGTCACTTGAAAACACTCAAAGGGGAAAGGTCTGTGTTTGCATTTTGAAAATTTAAAACAGCGAAATTTTTAGGATGCTAATCCAAAGCTCCATTAAACCAATATTAATGAACATTTCAGCAAGATCGTGTGATATTTCTTAAAGAAAATGGCATTAGAGGTTTTTTTTTCCACATTCAGTATTAAATGTAAAAATAGTATGTCAAAGCAATAAATAGCAGAAAATCATTCTGAGTTTAATTTTATCTCACACGTATGTGAAATAAATGAAGCATGATGTGACAATCCAATGTTATCTATCGTGGAGAAAGAAAAATAGATCTTGGTAGAATCTTGAGTATTTAAAAATGATCGTTAAAATATGAATATGTCATAGACATTGTACTCAGATTTTAAATGTTCCACCGTTAGCTACTTACATGCCCTCCATTATTAAAGTGCCCTTGGAGTTAGAAATGGAAATATGCTTTTAGGATTATCATCTATTCCTGGGAGGCATCGCAGAATTGTTATTTCCAAAATGTTTCCTTGTTCTTGGTGCACTGTAGAGTCTTTTAAGAACAAAGAGTTATTCTCAATTCAGGCTGGACTAAGCTGCACCAACTGAACTCTCGCATTATTTCAGAAATTCTGTATTCAGTGGGGAGGATGGAACAAAATAATTAGGATATGGGGCCCAGAGACCTTCCGGGAAAGATATTCTTGCTGTGTTCTACAGCTTTTTCTGCTGCTTTATTTTTCTCTCTTTTACAATTCCTCCCACCCACTCTTCATGCCAGCAAACAGATGATCCGGGAGAATAAGAATATTGTATGATCACTCGTTAATTTACTTCGGATTGCTTTCCAGGCACCACAAGTCTGACCGCTCAGGGGTTTCCAGTGAATTTTTGGCAGCTACTAAGCACAGTTAGTTGCCTATAAGAACTACTGATTCTGCTTCGTTTTACACACCACATATGACAGGGCATAACTCACCATGACTGGCTTACATTTAGGCTACTCTGTATTGAATCAGACACTATTTATCACTTTCAAGTTCTAATTTCTGCATCGTGCATATGGTTATTTAAACCTATATAGTTCAATGAAAATGCTCCCATCCTGTACAGACTAGCCTAAAGGGGCACTACATGCAATGATACCAGAGGGTAAAAACATGGCACTGGCTCTTTTTTTAAATGACTAGTTTGAAATGGAGGCAATTCATTAATTCAACATTTATTGAGTGCCTACTAGGCAGCAGGCCATAAGTTAAACTCTGGGGATTTTTAAAAAGGAATGCCTGGTAGCTGCAGTAGCTAACATACATCACATTTATGCTTTATGCAAATTCATAATCCAGCTAAGAAATAGACACACGGCCGGGCGTGGTGGCTCACCCCTGTAATCCCAGCACTTTGGGAGGCCGAGGCAGGCAGATCACGAGGTCAGGAGATCGAGACCAGCCTGACTAACACGGTGAAACCCCGTCTCTACTAAAAATACAAAAAATTAGCCAGGCATGGTGGCGGGCACCTGTAGTCCCAGCTACTCCGGAGGCTGAGGCAGGAGAATGATGTGAACCCCGGAGGCGGAGCTTGCAGTGAGCCCAGATCACGCCACTGTGCTCCAGCCTGGGTGACAGAGCGAGACTGTCTCAAAAAAAAAGAAATAGACACCCATGCAAGTGTATTGGTGAAAGTGGTATGAAACAAATGCCCACAAAGAGCCCAGAGGAGGGAGGGACATTGGGACCAGGCCTTTGTTGCCTTCATATATGAATCTTTTTGCAGACGTGTTTTCATTTAAAATAGCTGGGTCAAGTGGTAATTTTATTAGAAACTGCCAAACAATTTTCCATGGGGCTGTACCATGTTAAATTCCCACCACAGTATATGAATTCCAGTTGCTCCACATCCTCACCAACACTTGACATTGTCAGACTTTAAAATTTTACCCATTCTCATGTATGTAGTGATATCTTGTGGTTTTACTTTACATTTTTCTATTACCAGCTATGTTGAATACCATATTTACATGCTCGTTGGCCATTTGGATATCCTATTTTATAAAGTGCCTGTTTAAATCTTTTGCCCATTTTTAAATTGGTTTTTGTCCTCTTTTATTGATTTAGAGAAATTCTTTATATATTCTGGTTATAAATCCTTTTTGGATGTATGTATCGCAAATATCTTCTTCCAGAAATGAATATTCTTTTGTACTCAGTAAAGAAAAAAAAACAAAAACAAAACAAAAAAACTTCAGGGTTTTTTTGAGCAAGCACTGTTCATAAGGATAGAATAAATTCTGGCCAGGCGTGGTGGCTCATGCCTGTAATCCCAGCACTTTGGGAGGCTGAGGCGGGTGGATCACAAGGTTAGGAGATCGAGACCATCCTGGCTAACACAGTGAAACCCAGTCTCTACTAAAAATACAAAAGATTAGCAGGGCGCGGTGGCGGGCGCCTGTAGTCCCAGCTACTCCGGAGGCTGAGGCAGGAGAATGGCGTGAACCCGGGAGGCGGAGCTTGCAGTGAGCTGAGATCGCACCACTGCACTCCAGCCTGGGCGACAGGGCGAGACTCTGTCTCAAAAAAAAAAAAAAAAAAAAAAAAAAAAAACCAGAATAAATTCTGCAGGTTTTCTTTACTGACTGCCCAACATACCTACATATGCCATAAATGATATGAAAATCTGATGCGTGATAAGAGACTGAGATTTAATCACGTGTTTGGTGGCTATTCAGTCATGGTCATAGTAAGTGTTGAACACATATTTGTTGAATAAACTAATAATTGAAAAAAGTGCTTTTTAAAACTGAAATTTACTTAAAACTAAGCCTCCTAAGTGGAAAAGTACCATCACAGCAGAAATCTGGAAATTATTTTTTAATGAAATCATTTGTTCAATAAATATCTGAGGGTCTAAGAAGCGCAGGATACTTTTGTTAAGCTCTGTAGGGGATGTAAGAAACATAAAAACAATTATTTTCTTTGAATAGCAACTTACAATTTATAAAATGCCCCTAGAAATTGTATTTGAACTTGAAAACTAGCTTCTTGGCCAGGTGTGGTGGCTCACACCTATAATCCCAGCACTTTGGGAGGCCAAGGCAGGAGGATTGCTTGAGGCCAGGAGTTCAAAACCAGCCTGGGCAACATAGTGAGACCCTTTCTCTATAAAAAGTTAAAAACATTAGTTGGGCATGGTGGCATGCCTGCAGTCTCAGCTACTTGGAAGGCTGAAGTGGGAGGATCACTTGAGCCCAGGAGTTCGAGGTTGCAGTGAGCTATAACCACACCATTGCACTCCAGCCTAGACAAGATTGCAACCTTGTCTCTCCATAAAAAAAGAAAAGAAAGAAAGAAAAAGAAAACTAGCTTCTCAAATTCTGCATTGCTTACTTGTTAATTCAAAAAGATATTTATCATGTGCCTACTATGTGCCAGAACTAAAGTTTTAGGACAAGGTGGACAGTAAATAAATACCTGAATGATGTGATTGCACTAAAACCATAATCTCCCATCCCTCCAACAGTGTTAACCACCTGCCTCCATGATGCTTGTGAACTTTGGACAACCCTCTTCTTCGTTTGCTTTAATTTTACTTGTTTTTTCAAGTGATACCTTCACGTGGTTCAAAAATAAAAATGGTATAAAAAATATATATTGAGAAGTCTTACTAGCATCCATAAGCTGGTCTGTCCTCCACCCTATTGCCTCATTCCTTTTATTAGTTTCTTGCATATACTTCCAATGTTTCTTTATGGAACTATGTACAAACACATATATGTTCTGATTTCTCCCTCATTCTTACATAGAGTTAACATGTTACATGCTGTTATATAAATGGGCTAAAGGTGGGGGGCCCTGGATATTGGTCCCCATGTTGTTTACATCTTCACAGCAGGCTAGGACAATTAGCTCAAAGCCCTCTGGCACTAAACTCAAATTCATATACATCTGATTGCCTTAAATGTAGCCCAAATAACCATATTTTTAGCTATTTAAAGCCTGCCTGTCTTGCACATCCTATGAAGCTGTACCCAACATCTGCTAGCCATAGATAAGATGAACCTTGGGGATACGAAAGACACCAAGCCACTGCTGCCGATTCAAGCTCTCTGACCCCAAAGACTCCCCATCTTGTTACTGGGTAACATCATCTACCTGCAGGAGGCACTTCTCCGATTTCCCTCTCCCCTGGGAATGCCCTTGTTCTCTTCCTCTTCTGGGTGGTGGCTCCATGCTGCTCTTTCTGGAAGGTCTCCTGCTGTGAAGAACTTCACTCACGTATGCTAACCAAGCACCACCCAAACAAAGTTCATTTGTGCTACTGTCATTTCGTGGTCATGTCCTTTCCTTGATCAGCTCTGAATCCTCTATCTCACCACATATACTCTGCCTTTTCATTTTGATTTTTTTTAACTTAACAATATATTCTGGGGAAGACTCCTTCACTCTTTTATACAGCTGCAAATTACTCCACTGCATTTAACCAGTCCCTCCTGATGTTCGCTTGGATTATTTCTAGTCTTTTGTTATTACAATGATGCTGCAATGAATCACCTTGCACATTCATCATTTTGTTCATGTACAGGCAGATCTATAGGATAAATTCCCGGAAGATGGATTGCTGGGTCAAAGAGTAAACAAACACATTTGTATTTTTGAAAAACATTGGCAAATCATTCCTTTTAGCAACCATGCATGAGATTGTCTGTTTTCCCATAGCCTCACTATTTACCAGTCTGTTAGGTAAAAATAAACAAACTTCTAGTCTTGGACTCCTTACACAGTAAAGATTGTTAATATAATATTTGTTAACATGCCTATCTCTGCCACTGAATTGTGACACCCTTAAAGTCTGGAACCATTTCTTACTCATCTTCATAGCCTGTTGCTTAGCTAGCAAAGTTCTTTGGACAGAATAGCTTCTGCCACTTCCCTCTCTCCCCCGCAAAAACATATTTACTGAGTTGAATCAATCACCACTTTAGCCTAGAGAGGCCCCCCTCAGACCTTCCCATTGTGGTATGTGCTGCCCCACTTTCAGCTGACTGCCAATTTCCTCTCGAGGCTGGGCCTGCTCAGCCCACCCACAGAGGGAGGAGAGCCTGAGATTGAATGCACCACCGTCCCAGCAGCTCTCAACCAATGCCTGAAGGGAGATGGTGTTTAAATAGCCAGCAAGCTCTTCCTTTGGGGGTGTACCTCTGAGGCATGGGGTGGTCTATGCTGAGAGCTCTTCGTGGGATGAAGCCCTGTGGTCCCTTTGTCCATAGCAGGAAGTAGCTTGATAGTGTATCTTTTAAGGGCTTCCCTGCCTTTCCTTCCTTTCCAGGCTCACCTTCTCACTCCATTATTGGAGTTTCCTTCAATCACCTCCCAAGTAAATGACTAGCACTTTATCAGGGTCTTTTTTGGGGGGAACTGAAATAAAGACAATACCTTCCCTTTTCTTTCTTCTTCTTCTTTTTTTTTAATAGGGTCTCACTGTGTCACCCAGGCTGGAGTGCAGTGGTACAATCACAGCTCACTGCACAGCTCACTTCGCCTCCCTAAATCTAGTGATTCTCTAGCCTCAGCCTCCCGAGTGTCTGGGACTACAGGTGCATGCCACCATGCCTGGCTAATTTTTTTGATTTTTAGTAGAGATGAGGTATCACTACATTGCCCAGGCTGATTTTGAACTCCTGACCTCAAGCAATCCTTCCACCTTGGACTCCAGCAATCCACCCACCTCGGCCTCCCAAAGTGGTGGGATTACAGGCATGAGCCGCTGTACCTGGCCAGCTTTCTTTATCAAATGAAGAAACCTAAATACTGAGAAAATAAGTGAAGTGCTCATGGCACAGCTAGTGAGTGAAGAAGCATATTCCCTGGCTCCTAGAAATGTGCTGTTTTAGAAAATGGAATTTCTCTTTATGGATGATAAGTACAACCACTGAGACATGAAAGAGCAATGGAAGAAGTGTGTGTGTGTGTGTGTAAATCAATAACAGCACAAGGTTACATAAAATGAATAGTAAATAAGCGAAACAGCTCTCACCTATGGTGCATATTATGAGCCAGGCAAGTACTTTTTGTGTGTTTCTTCATTTAACACAAAACTCTACAAGTTAGATGCATTATTATCATCATTCCCAGATCACAGATGAAGAAAATTAAGATACTGAGAGTTTAAGTAACTTGCCAAAGCTCACACTTGCCAAGATCTGACTCCTGGATTTGTGCTCATAACCATCAAACTATACTGTCTGCAGGGGCCGGCCAGAGAAGTTCTAGAAGTGACAGATTACCCTTGGCTTTTGGCAGCAGGGGTCTTGAAGAAAGAACATGGGATTATGACTAATTAAGGACTAATTCTTCCTAGGGCCATCAAAGAACTCATTTGTGTCAGTTAGAATATTTTCCAGGGCAGAAACTAAATATCCAACTAAAAATGACTTAAACAACAGGGGTCTACTGAAAAATCTCACATAATAAGAGGTCTGGAGGCAGGAGGTTCCAGACTTGGTTAATTCAGCAGTTAAATGACTTCAAAGCAGCAGTGACTCACATATTCATTCTTTATTTTCCATCCAATTCCATCTTCTTTGTAGTTCTCTTGATCCTCTGTCATGGTCTTGCAATGGCCCCCCTCAGCTCCAAGTAGCAAATATCAGAAAAGGAGGGAGGAACTTTGTCCCAGAATCCCTTAGCAGGTATTCTCTTTGGTCCCATTGGCCACGAATGGGTCACCTGCTCTAGACACAGGGGAAGCTGGGAAAGTGAGTCTTTGGCATTCTCTGTCTCCAGCATGGGAGGCAGGTTCTGCTAGAAACAAAAAAGCGGAAGGATACTGGCAGTGGGAAGGCAACCAATCTTGATGCCATATAGCTTAAATCCCACGTTGAAGCCTTCTTCTTGGCTGTGCTGTTTGGAAAAGCCAGAACCCAACAGCTTTGCAAAGATAATCATGGGAAAATAATTCGAGATGATACTCAGGTTCTGGCCAGAGATGACACCATCCGATGATGTCATATTTCACAGCAGGATACCAGACAGGCCAGAAACCAGGACCTGAAGCAGTCAGTGCCTATTCTGAACAGAGAGGCACTACATTGACCATATTTGGGAGGCCTCAGAGAATGGCTTCCACATCCAGACCAGAGCCAGGACAACTGGGATTGCTGGGCTCAGCCATATTTGATGAGTGTTTATTCTACTTATGGCAGCGTATTAAGCATTTTGGGGAAGGGGTGATGCCGAGATATCAGATGTGCATCCTGACCTCGAGAAACAAATAAAAAATCTAATAATAAACATCAACTGAGCACTATCTGCCAAGTCTGTTTAAAGCAACTTACATATCTCTAGACACCTTAAATATACGTCAAATCTTCACAGTAACCCTATGAGATAGGTTATATTTATGATCCTTATTTACCAATATGGGAACTGAGGCCAGGAAGGAAACTGAGGCATGGAGAGTTTAAGCAATCTTGAGATTGTTACCCAAATATTTGCTGTAAGGACACACCACATAGGCGCTCCCAGGAGTGCTTAAAACATTTTCTCTAAATTTACGGTGATGAATTCGTCCCAGGTTGCTTGGGACTCTCCCAGTTTTAGCACCGAAGTCCATGTACTGGGACAACCCTCAGTCCTGGGCAAATAAGAATGGTTGGTCATCCTACAAATTATAGGCACACTCAATCTAGATTGCCCTGACAACCCAATTAATGGATAATGGAAAAGGAAAAGTTAGAGAGAGTTTTCCCTGCATAGTCAATTCCCATAACAAAAGCTCCTGTAGTCAGAATAAAAGAGTTTCCTTAAACATTGGGTTTTCTTGGAATCAAGAGATTATTCTACCCAAGGGGTAGAAGAAGAACTACCCAAGGGGTTCTTCTTACCCACTGCAATAAGAAAGACCATGGCGTGTAGTAGAGAGTTTAATAGACACAAAGCTGGGCACGCCACGTGGGATGCAGAGTTAGTACTCAAATCATTCTTTTCCAAAGCTTGTAGGTTAGGGATTTTTCTTTTTTTCTTCTTTTTTTTTTTTTCGAGACAGAGTCTTGCTCTGTCGCCCAGGCTGGAGTGCCGTGGCGCGATCTCAGCTCACTGCAAGCTCCGCCTCCTGGGTTCATGCCATTCTCCTGCCTCGGCCTCCCGAGTAGCTGGGACTACAGGCGCCTGCCACCACGCCCGGCTAATTTTTTGTATTTTTAGTAGAGATTTTTCAAAGGCAGTTTGAGGGAAAGGGTGGGGGTGGCCAGGTAAGGGATGCCTGCTGCTGATTACATGTTGAAATAATATTCCAGATATATTGGGTTAAATGAAATATTCTAGATATATTGGGTTAAATGAAAGATATTATTAAAATTAATTTTACCCATTTGTTTTACATCTTTTAATGTGGCTATTAAACAAATAAAATTACATGCATGGCCGGGCACACTGGCTCACGCCTGTAATCCCCGCACTTCGGGAGGCCAAGGCGGGTGGATCACCTGAGGTCAGGAGTTTGAGGCCAGCCTGGCCAACACGGTGAAACCCTGTCTCTACCAAAAATACAAAAATGTGTTGGCACACACCTGTAATCCCAGCTACTTGGGAGGCTGATGCAGGAGAAGCACTTGAACCCAGGGGGCAGAGGTTGCAGTGAGCCCAGATTGTGCCACCGCACTCCAGCCTGGGCAACAGAGCCAGACTGTCTTAAAAAAAAAAAAATTACATGTATGGCTCACAGTATATTTCATTGGACAGCACTCTTCTAAAAAGACACTTCTAGAGAGTATGTCTCTATTAAGAGGGTTTCTCTTTGTGTAATATTGTTTACAAAACCAAGTTAAACATTAATTAGTTAAAATTCTGTAAACCGTGAAAAGGCCTCAAGGAGATTTGCAAAGGGAATCTCCTTGTCTTGGAGGTGTTGTCTTGAAGCTGCTTAAGCAGAAATGCTGCCCAGAACACACTCATGCTTTCTTGTGACCAGTGGCTCTAGGCCAAACTACAGTACATGTAAAAATAACTCTGATGAGTTCATTGTTCTGAACTTAAAGTCAAATGGGCTGTTGGCTCTTTTCACATAGTTTGAATCTTTTATGACCAGAAGATGCAAAACACATTTTTAAAAGCAGTAACTAATGCAGTCCAAGTCATTTTTTTAAAAAAACTTTTGGGTATTGAGCAATTTGGGGCTCTCCAAGGATTGTAATGATTATATTTATATTTGTATAAATATTTTCAAAGTTCTTTACAGTTTTTCTTTAGTATTTCCACTTGAAAGTGACTACATATCCCCATGAGGTAATCTGAGCTGTTATTTTATGCACATTTTACAGATGAGACACTGTCCCAAGTCTTCTTAATTCTGTTTAGTGTTCTTTTGGCTACACCCAGTGTGATGGAGCCAGATCCTACCCACTCATGAGAGCCAATTGTGCATCTCTGCACAGCTCAGCAGTCACATTATGTTAGTAGCTTGAAATCATCCACAGTGTGAGCGTTTATACCATGAGAATTGGCAAAGGCTACATAGTCCGTTTATTTGTTTTGTTGTTTCCGTTGTTTATTTCTTGAGTACCAGTTACTAAACATTTAATGGCACACTGCTAGATACCTCCAAGAATGAGAAAACTTGGGGATTAAAAGACATTTGCTTAGTCTGTTTTGTGTTGCTATAACAGAATACCATAGACAGGGTAATTTATAATGAATAGAAATTTATTTGGCTCGTGGTTTGGTTCAGGAAGCTGGGAAGTCCAAGAGCATGGCATCAGCATTTGGCAAGGGACTTCGTGCTGCATCATCCCATGGGAGAAGGTGGAAGAGCAAAGGAGAACAAGAGCCACAGAGCAAGAGGGGGCCAAACTCACTTTAATAACAAACCAACTCTCAAGATAACTAAACCACTCCCATGATAATGACATTAATTCATTCACAAGGGCAGAGCCCTCATGACCTAATCATCTCTTATTAGGCCCCACCTCACAACACTTGCACTGAGGATTAAGTTTCCAATACACAAACTTTGAGGGACACATTCAAAACATAGCAGATGCATGTTACAAAACAGGAGCAGAAACACAAGTTCTCTGAGTTCAAGAACTGAATTCTGTAGATAGATTTTTTGGTTTTTTTTTTGAGATGGAGTTTCTCTCTTGTTACCTAGGCTGGAGTGCAGTGGTGCGATCTCGGCTCACTGCAACCTCTGCCTTCTGATTTCAAGCGATTCTCCCGCCTCAGCCTCCTGAGTTGTTGGGATTACAGGTGCCCGCCACCATGCCCAGCTAATTTTTGTATTTTTTTTTTAGTAGAGATGGGGTTTCACCATGTTGACCAGGCTGGTCTGGAACTGCTGACCTCGTGATCCGCCCGCCTCGGCCTCCCAAAGCTCTGGGATTACAGGCAAGAGCCACCGTGCCCGGCCAACAGATTTTTTTTTTAAATGAAAAGATCCATGGTATCTTCAGTTTGCATATTGCAAGAAAATGAGGATGCTACTTCTTTAACCTGACAAGGCAAGGCCCAAGCCACTTAAACCTAAGCCAGCAGCCAGCCCTCCTACAGAAGAAATGGAAATCACCTTCACTGCTCCAACACAATTGTATGCTCCTGTCTTTCAGTTGTTTCGGTGTCTCTCTCTATCCCTTTTTCTGTCTTTGTGTGTGTGCATCATACATACACAAATACACACACCACACATGATTTTTACTACCTAAGTTACTATAGCAGACAGCTAGAAATTCAAGAAACCAAGTAACGCCTTCATTCAAGGAAAGGTGGAATAATATACTTCATTTTCTTTTATGGAACAACAATCAAGCACTAAATTTACTGATGAAGGGGAAATCATTGAAACTGGAGAGGAAAGGGGATACTGGATGTGAAAAACATCTATATATACCTCAGATAAAATCACTTCAATCATCTCTGATTGTCTCATATCAAATCAAGCCATTTTTTTCCAATTACTTTATTATTCTCCAACAAGAGAGCTAGATTAGATAATCACATATGAATTTCAGATTGTGCTTGCTAACTGACGTTTGCCAATAGCAGTCACTTGAAAAGAGCTGCTCTAAGACAAACTATTCTAAATGAGTGGTTTGGCATGGGGGGGAGGTCGCTTTCTTTTAACTCATCCCTTCCCTCACCACACATCAATGAACTCAGTAAAATGTTTACCAGATGGCTCTATCTCTAAACTTTGGTTAATTTTCCTCAAATTCACATATTAGAGAGCCTGAAAATCAGATGGTGCTGAAAAAGGAACCAAGAACCAGAAGTCCCAAACTGTAGGACATCAGTCCCCAAGTCTAGCAGATCTCAGTCCATTAGGTCTCAAACTGTAGACCATTAAAGTATGGCTAAATGTTGTGCTTTATTACAATGTCATTATTTTAAAAAGAGCTAACATTGAAAAATTAGAAGTCTTTCAATAAAAATACAGATTTCTGGATTCTTTTGAGTAATCAGAAGCTGTCACAATGGGCAGATGCTCCATCAAAGCAACAATAGGTAGAGCTTCACTCATTTATGCTACTTTCTTGCCATGGACACATTTGAATTTGCACCCTACAATAGAACAACAACAAAAATGCATCTTAACACTCTAAACTGAGAAAAGGTAAAGGAATAAGTCACATCATGTGGTTTTTTTTATTCTCAAGACTTTCTCTATTTACCGGCTGTTGTTCCCAATGAAGTTTCTCAGGACTTAGGGAGCACTCTAATGCAGCCATGATACGGAATTACTGTTATGGGTTCACTGCTTCTATCTGCCCTTCTGGAATCAAAAGGTTATGCAAGCCAAAAGCTTTCTCATCACTCCTTTGGTGGCAACACCTGATGTGAACTGATGGGAGGATATTTACTGTTTTTATTTTTCTTACTTAGTGTGAAAATTCATGCATGAAGCTAGAGAAATATTAATGTGTTTGACTCTATGGTGTTGCACCTGATCCTGCCAGTGGTGTTTGGTAATAGGCATAGGCACCATATTATCTTTCAAAAATCCCCTAAATCCTGCTGTCTGAGCACATGCAGCCCTGAAGGTTTCTAACAGAGGCCTTGGCAATCGTATATATAAATATACATACTTGCTCCCCATGCCAGGGAAAACGTGCATATTCTAAGGTGCATAACCAAACAGTGCTTTCACTTAGGAAATACTAAATGAGCGTTTGCTATTAAAGCTATTTGCTAATAACACTGTTTCCAATCCTTAAAACGTTCATGAATGGAGAACATGAGGAAGAAATGTAAAAAAAAAAAAATGACAATATTGTGGACTATGGCAGCAGGAACAAAGGAGGCAGAGAGCATGGTACAGCTAACTCACCTCAGGACTCTAGAGTAGATGTTCAGAAGAGATGCTTGGAATCCGGAAAAGAAAGTCCAGCTTCTTCCCAAGTTTGTAAATAGAGGTACAGAAGAGAGGCAGCAGCAGCCCCTGACTATGGTGTTGAAAGCTGAGGCTCCATTTGTCTCCCACCACAGGGAAAGTGTACCACGATTTGTTCAGAAGGAATTTCTGAAGGCAAGCTGTCCTCTGTGGGACACTGTGTGTGCTCTCAACTTGGGTGTCCTCCCTTCTTTCTTTGTGCTGTGCTGGAGGGAGGTGCCTTGCGGCAATCTGTGAACCTTCAAAAATCAAAACTCCCCAAAACCCAATGTCTACCCCCACAAACACCAAACTGGAAGGCCCAAAGCTGCCCTTGGTCTGTCCCCAGGTTGTTAGGGCTGCTTTGTGGTTAAAATAGGGCAGGGGGACTAGTAGGTCAAAGAGAGAAAATGTCTTGGAGGCAATAATATGCAGTTATGTTAGTCTTCATCAGCCAAAACTCTGAAGGACAGTGTGTAAGCGCACAATTATTCTTAAACAAAGCAAAGACTCATTATTTGTCTTCCTAGATTTCCTTAGTTCTGTCTTTGTGTGTTGCATCTCTATCATACACATACAAATACACACACCATTTTTACTACACAGGTTACCATAGCAGAGAATTAGACATTCAAGAAACCAAATAACCTCTTGAGGCCTCCTGTAAAGCAGATGCTACCTTGTGGGGCCTGGGTCTAACTAACCTTCTCCCAGGGGATAAATCAGGCATTTATAAACATTAACTCTTTCTGATCACCAGTGGCATCTTTGACGGTTCTACCATGTATGAAATAGTGACCTAATGAAGAGGAAAGAGTTACAGAGCCTCCTCTGGCTCTCTCTACTTCCTCCTAGGTGGTGCTTCAGGTGCCAGGGAAAATGTGCATATTCTAAGGTGCATAACCAAATTCCCATGTCAGAAAAAACAAGTGTCATTCACATTACAAAAGATACAGAACCAACCTGTGTCCATTAACAGATGATTGGATAAAAAAAGTGTGATATATATACACAATGGTATACTATTCAGCCATTTAAAAAGGAGTAAAATGATATCTTTTGAAGCAACGTAAATGGAATTGGAGGCCATTATCTTAAGTGAAACAAGTCAGATACAGAAAGACAAATATTGCATATTCTCACTCATAAGTGGGAGTTTAAAAATGTGTACACATGAACATAGAGAGTGGAATGGTAGACATTGGAGACTCAGAAGGGTGAGGGGATGGGAGTTGGTGGATGATGAGAAATTACTTAATTGGTACAATCTACATTATTCCAGTGATGGATACCCTAACATCCATCTGACATAGCCACTATGCAATCTGTGCATGTAACAAAGTTGCCCTTGTGTCCCATAAATTTATACAAATAAAAAATAAAATAAAAGGCAAATCTAAGCATGCTTTCTTTAAAAAGAAAAAAACAAATGGGTATCTGTAGTCCTGTGAAAAGTGTAATAGAGTAACAGGTTGCCCCCACGGGGAGGGCAATCTGTCCCCTCTGGCTGGTCCCCTCTACAGTCAGTGCCCTGGGAAATAGGCACCCCTTTCTGGCAGTGGCATTGGCAGAGCAACTACACTCTCCAATTTCTTATCAGCAGCCTTCCTCCTACACTATGGATATTCTTTGCCAGCCTTGCAAGGTGTAATGACCAGCTGTATTAAAAGGAAAGGATTTATGGTACAAACTGTTGTTAAGAAGAATTATCCCAAATGGAAAAAAAGCAGATTGGCTATTGCATGCCTTAACAAAGTCATACTAGAGCATTGCCTGATAAGTTCCCCCTCAGGATCAGCTGATGCTCTAGGGAGAGGTAGCTTTTTGGTTGACATACTACTTACTATTGATTAGAATCTGTCAGGAAAAATGGGAAAGACTTTGAAATGGACAAAGAAAGATTTCTGGATGTACTGTCTAGCTTATTCTTCCAGGCTATATGTGCCTTTCATTGTCTTTGAACTACTTTACAACTCTGCGCATTGTAGAAAACTGATAATAATCCAAATTACGCTTGTTCATGGAAATGCAAATAAAACTGTCCAGGCAATTTAATTGATCATTGCCTTATGGATATTGATATGTTTTGCATCAGTTTATATATTCATCTCAGTATTCCTGGTTACCAGTATATCTTTGTGTTCTTTAAATTCTCCTTTGAACTTCTTACGACATCTAATTTATTCCCTCACTAGTTAATTAGTTTATTTTGTATTTGTTCAAAAGTCATGGTTTTACCCTTAAAAAATTATCCTTTAACAGGCCCAAAGATTGTGTAAAGTTAGATATTAATTTTTAGAAGACAGACAAAATGCAAATATGATTTCTATTGGGTATAAATGATAACCCCAAAGGCTACAGTTTTATTCCCCTGTAGGAAGTGGTTAATCAATTTTGTATTTTAATTTGCAATCTTATTCCAGTGTTCTCTTTTAGATGAAGATATGTAGTCATTCATTTATTCATTTACCATTTCCTTTTGTCCTTGAACCTGTTGGTTCCCTCACTAGGGAATTAAATACATCTCTGACACATATTTGTTAAATATTTATATGAGACCATGTTTTTAACTTTTTTGAAAACTGTACTTGACGTTGTATAGCATTTGGCAAGCAATTCGAAGTGTGAACTAAAAAAACAAGTGTTACTTTAAAGCCTGACCGTAAGATTTCACTCCAGAGACAGCGCAATTTAAGCTAACCCCTAAGTAGGCATAATTGGCTATTAAGCAAAAGTCTCTGGGAATAAAAGTCAAAATGGTTTGGGATAAGATGATAAGATAAATTACTCAGGATGTTTAAAGCTTCGGGGTGCCTACAAGCTGAGAGGAAAAAGAAAGTCATCTAGAAATTCTTGAGAGAGGGCCCAGAAACATAGCAGGAGGCTAGAAGTGGGGTAAAGTGCTGGTTGGTGATGGCTCCTTGGTGCCAAGTAGAGGATAGGAGTTTTAAGGATGAGGTGTTCTAATATTACATTTTAAGTTGTTTGCTCTACTGGTCTGTGATGTAACCAACACACACACACACACACACACACACACACACACACACACACACAGCCATTGCCTATAGCATTCAGTAAAATCTATTATAAACAGATCCTTGACTTGGGAGCACTTGGATGGGGAAGGGAACAGGACCACTGAATTCAGAAATGAGTAGTCATGAACAGGGATGAATAACAGAGGGAGGTCAAGGATTCAGCAGAGGCCTAAGCACCAGAAAGGAGGGATGCTGGGCTTCCAAAATTATGTGGGCATTTTCACTTCAACCATACGATGCAAGCTGAAAGATTAGCAGACTTCCTCATGTTGACACTAGGGTTGTTCATGCAAATAGCATTGTTTCAGAACCAAATGTGTGGGAAAACTTTAAGAGTTCCACCCCACTGCACCAAAGGACTGAACCCTCTCTCCTTAGAGCTTAAAAGCACTTTTAGCATATTTAACTCCAACACTAAGGTGCATTATAAATATTTGTGTTTTATATGTGCTTATATGTGTATATGTGTACTAATGTGTGTGTGTGTGTGTGTGTGTGTGTGTTCCATAGTTTTTTCCTTTCCTGGACTAGGATATAAATTTCCCAAGGCAGAGACCACTTCTTCATTCATTTATCTTTCACTAGAGAATGTCATACAATGCCCTGAAGACACTCAATAAATGTTCGTTGAATGACTTACAAAGCCAGCCTTGACCTGGCTCATCTTCATTTCACTCCACCTCATCCCTAAGGACGAGAAACTCTAGTCTCTTTCTAGCGGGTCATAGACAACACCACATAATCCAGGCTGAAACTGCCTTGCTGGAAGCTCCCTAATTCTCTGGACTTGGTTTAATCTCACCTGGTAACAACTTATAAAATAGCTCAAAAAGTCAAGGGTCTCTTGCTTATCAATGCTCCTTCATTCTTTCTCTGATTCATTTTAGCCCATCTCTTGCTGTTACCGTGCCTTTATTCCTTTTCCTTTGCAAGAATTTTTAACACTTTTCTGTTCCTTTTGTCCTCATTATTCTGTTCCTTTTGTCCTCATTATATCCTCTCTGCTGTTATTTAGTTTTATCGTACATAATTTGTAGTCCGATGCAAAAATCCATCCCCCAAATCAACAGTCATTCATTCATTCAATCAGTCATTTATGCTGTATTTCTTCAGCACCTACTATGAATGTGTTGATAAAAAGAATAAAAATATAAACCTGGTCCCTGCTCTCATGGAATTTACAATATCATGAGGGATCTAAACATTAACTAATTAAATACACAAATCTGTGTATAATTGCAAACTGAACAAGAAGAAAGCAAAATTATTTTGTGGAGCTGACCTAGACCAGGGAATTCCCAGCAGTGGGAAGACTGTACTTAGGCCCTGCAGCAGGCAGGAGAAAGGAATGACTAAGGAACTGAACGGTTAATGTGGTGTGAACCTATAGAGCAAAACAACAAGGAAATATGGGCCAGATGTCGCTGAGTCTTACCATCATGCTAAGGATTAATATAAATGAGAAAGCTCAAATGCACTACAAAAGTAGTACAACTGCAACACTCATACAATTACTGAATGGCACTGCTTGCTTCAGAAGGAAGAGTTACTAGAGAGTAGAAATTCATCTCTGCATTTTTTTCTATGTAATTATGACAGATTTGCTTTCTTCCTTGTGTGAAAAAAGATTCTAGACAATTATTGGCTAACTTGCTCTGAAAGTACTCTGTTTTATTCTGGTATGTTTGAAATGCTCAGTAGGAAGAAAGCTTAAAACCCACTTACCACTTTTTAAGATTCAAATTGGCCTAGCATACTGTAAGATTATGGGCCCTAGCAAAATAGAGACTCCATACTGATTTCCTATTGATGAAGGAAGGGAAAGAAAATTAAACAAATTATTAACATCTTTACTAAGATAGTTTCTGTTTTCGTCCATTCAGGTTGTTATAACAATATACCTTAGACTGGGTAATTTATAAACAACAGAAATTTATTGTTCACAGTTCTGGAGGCTGAGAAGTTCAAGATCAAGGTGCCAGCAGATTCAGTATCTGGTGGAGGCCTGTTCCTCCTAAAGGGCACCTTACAGAGGCAAATGGGCTCCCTCTAGCCTCTCTTATAAGGGCACTAATCCCATCCATAAGGGCAGAGCCCTGATGACCTGATCACCTCCCAAAGGCCCCACCTCCTAATACTATCACATCGGGTATTAGATTCCAACATTTGAATTTGCAGGGGGTGGGGGGAACATTAACATTCAGACAATAGCAGTTTCTTTTGCTGATTGAAAGGTAATTATAACAAGATGAAATATGAACATTTTATATACATAGCATGACTTTGGTATGGTTTAGTGAAAACTCTAAGTGGGAGAGGAACAAATCCACATTCCCTGGTGACTTGGTCTGGACTAGGGAGGATCAATCTTTGTAATGTCACCCTTTTACCTATAAAGATGTGTCAGGAAGGAAATCTTAGCTAAAAATTCTTGATCATGTTTAAAATTTTTTTAATTTCACAGCTTCTACTGATTTTTTCTGCTGCTGGGGAGTCAACACTTGGTGTTGGAGGCTATTTTATTTATAGCAACACCTGGCTATGCAAAGTGTAACCCTAGAACCTACATGTGAGAAACAAAATTGTTCTGATTAATAAAGTAAAAGTCTGTGTACTAGTCTGTTCTCATGCTGCTAATAAAGACTTACCCAAGACTGGGTAATTTATAAAAGAAAGAGGCTTAATTGACTCACAGTTCAGCATGGCTGGGGAGGCCTCAGGAAACTTATAATCATAGCGGCAAGAAGAAGAAAAATGAGAGCCGAGCGAAGGGGGAAGTCCCTTATAAAACCATCAGATCCCATGAGAACTTACTATCATGAGAATAGCGTAAGGGAGACTGCCCCGATGATTCAGTTACCTCCCACTGGGTCCCTCCCACCACATGTGGGGATTATGGGAACTACAATTCAAGATGAGATTTGGGTGGGGACACAGTCAAACCATATCAGTCTGTCACCATTGAGGGCAAGGAAAATCCTGTGGACTGTATTGACTCTGAGAAAATGTTTTTCTTTCTTAAAATGTATCTGAAGTATAATGTCTATGATATACTTTGTTTATCCTTGGGAAACATGTTTTGTTCAAGAGCAATACACAGGGGGCCATAAGTAAGTCTGTGGAAATGTATTTTTACCTCATCCTAGGGAAGAGTGTCAAATGAGTGCTAAAGTCCATCCATTCTGGACTGTTCTACTAAAGCCCTGTACCCTCCTCTAGTGTTATTTAAACTGAGAAGGTCAGACTTGGGGGAACTATTTTGGTTTAGCATATTTTATCTATGGGCTACCCAGGTGGGAAATAACAACGGATTGTAAAATTAAACCAAACCTTATGAATTAAGAAAGGAGTTACCTTGGAATACGGGTGGTCGAGATTCATACAGTAAGTAAGAGAGGAGTTACCTTGGAATAGGGGTGTTTGAGATTCATACAGTAAGGAAAGGAAACTCTCTGAAGATGGAAGGAAAAGATTGAGATACTGGGCTGGGGACTGGGATGCCCAAATGGGATGCACAAATCTGCCATAAAGAGTTTAACATTTTGGTTTTCAGTGGACTCTCAGAAGAGTCGTATTAACTGTCAAAAAACAAAATTTCAACAAATTGAGTTTAATGGTCTAATTGGTTTTTATTAGTGATTCATGAATCAGGCAGTATCTCATCTATGAAAGAAAAGGGTGTTTCACCAGGCATGGCAGAACAGTTTGTTTTTGTAAGGTAGCTTGAGCTAGAACAAGGAAACAGCACAGTGAAAAAAAGCAGACTGGCCATTTCAAAGTTACTTTCTTTAGAGGGTTAAAGCAGAGGGGACTTCCTTATCATGCCAGCTCAGATTGACTGGGACCCTTATGATTGCTTGCTATGAATCTCCAATTTTTTTGGAAAACTGGACCATTTCTAAGTTCAGATTGATAATATAGCACCTAGCACAGTGACTCCATGTTTGTTTGGTCTAGTCTTTTGGAGCCTAGTGCAGGAGCCCAATCCAAAACAATGGCCTCCCATAAATTTTACGTAATGTGACCATGGTTTCAAGTCCTCTACCTCCAAAGTTGTAAATCCATCTTATTATCCTAAAACATTCAACAGCCAATAATACAAGACATAAGAAGAATGACAAGCTTCTCTGTATCATCAGTCCTTGGAACCCAGTGTGGCATTAAGCATTGTGTCTAGAGAGAATGGTAGTACCGGGGTTCCAGTTGGTGGTCAATGCAGACCAAACAGAAGCCTAAAGTGTGGCTAGAAGTCCATGCTGCCATGGAGATCCTGGCCTGCCCCAGAGTGAACAAGGGATAAATCCTGTCTTTTTTCTAAGTTCACTGGAAAAAGGTGACCTTTAGAAGCTAGGCAGATATTTGCATTTCCAGTAACTCTAGACAACACATCTTATCCACCTACTTTCTTTTCTGCCATTCACTAGTCATGAGATTTTATACACACACACACAGAGATATATATATGTATACACATATACACAGACACACAATATACAAACACACACATATAGCCACACAAATAGACACACACACACATGCACACACTCTCTTTCTTTTTGATGTGGGAAAAGTTGTAGAGTGTTTGAAGACAGTATTCATGTTCTCCCGTGTTTTTCTCATCTCCAGCTTCTCTAAATAGATAAAGGTCTATTTAAGGGGGCTGCAATCAAGAGTAGTGGGCTTAAGCTTCAAGGAGTGATAAAGGTTGTTACTTAGGGGCCAGGCACAGTGGCTCACGCCTGTAATTCCAGCACTTTGGGAGGCCGAGGTGGGTGAATTGCTTGAGCCCAGGAATTCGAGACCAGCCTTGGTAACATGGTAAAACCCCGTTTCTACAAAAAATACAAAAATTAGCCAGGCATGTTGGCACATGACTGTAGTCTCAGCTACTCAGGAGGCTGAGGAGGAAGGATTGATTGAGCCTGGGAGGTTGAGACTACAGTGAGCCGTGATCATGCTATTGCACTCCAGCCTGGGTGACAGAGCAAGACCCTGTCTCAAAAAAAGAAAAAAAAAAAAGAGTTGTCATTTAGGAATTACTCACAGGGCCATCTTCACAGATGAACACGTAGTGTGATTTGAGGTTAATTCACAAAGTCCTCCAAGTGCCCAGATATCTTTCTCCCAGGCTCTTTCTTGGTTCCTAAACCTCCAGTTACTTATCCTTTGCAGTCTCACTTGCCCCTGGGCCCTATCGCCTGCAAGTTTAATCTTGCATGATTCTTGAGCCATAGTAATCAAGGCTGTTAAAGCCTGAGTTTGGTCCTGTGGGTGTGCCCAGGGTAAACTCTGCTATGGTTTTTATGTTCATTAAGCTATAGCCATTCTCCAACACCAGTTGTGTCAGATCAGTCCGGCTGCAATGTTCTGGGTTTTGTTTTCCTAATTGACCCTCCAGTTTTCTCTACCGGAAATAAAGTTCATCTCTAAACCCCAGTAAGCCAGGGTCTTTATTCCTGTCCTACACCACTTAACACTGACAGTGATGGAGTCTCCTGAACAACCATGACCCTGCCCTGTCTACACTCCCATTTGAATGGAGATATTTGTCTTGCTCTGCCCTACACCCTGAACAGGATAGCCAATAATTTTACCAAAAGTCTGAAAAAAGTCCGGGTTTGATTCACCCTGGCGAAGTATATTTTGGACTACTGACTATCCACTTTGAGGACCAGCTCTTCAGCCCTATCGATTCATGTAATTCTAGCCTTAAGCCCTTCCAGTTTCTTTCTCTTCCCCTGGGCCTGTGATACTTCTCTCTGAACATCGTATTCAGCCAAACCTTCTGAAATATGGTCATGGGACTCATGAAAATGCAACTCAGAGAGGTATAACCAATTGGAATTTTCATTCCCCAAGAAACAAGGTAGGAAATTTGAATCCCCAGAATAAACAAAAAGGAACTTACTAGAGCAATTTTATTTGAACCATTGGTGAAAAATTAAAGGTATTTAAGTGATAAGCAATCAAAAACATAAGTTATTGGTAAAATGCAAATGTTGCACATATTTTCAAAATAAAAGCAATTTATTGCTGTGAGAAACCATTTCTGGTAGTCTCTAGCCTTCCAGACATATACCTCATGCCCCTCAGCTGTTAGATCTGCTTGGAATCTGTATTAGTTTTCTATTGCTATATAACAAATGACCACAAACTGGGCAATTTACAACAACGTACATTTGTTATCTTGTAGTTTCTGTGGGTAAGGAGTCCAGGCATGGCTTAGCTGGATCCTCTACAAGAATGCAATCAAGGTGTCAGCTGGGCCTGGGTTCTCATCTGAAGGTTCAACTGGAGATGGATCTGTTTCCAAGCTCACATCATTGTCAGCAGCATTCAGTTCCTGGTGGATTGCTGGACTGAGGGCCTCAGTTTCTTGCAGACTCTCAGCTCCTCACTGTGTGGTCCTCTCCACATGACAGCATACAAAATGGCAGCTTGCTTCTTCAAAGCCAGCAAGGGAGAGAGAGTCTTCTAGCAAAACACATTAAAATCTTGCTTATGTAACATAATCACATATGTGAAATCACATACATCTGTCACGCTTGCTGTATTCTATTGCTTAGAAACAAGACATGTCCTGCCAATGCTCAAGGGGAGGGGAATGTACAAGGGTGTGAATCCCAGGAGGTAGAAATCATGAGGGCCACCCTAGAATCTGTCTGCCATAGGTAGTAAAGTTTGAGAAGCAAAGTCTTAAGCCATTACTGGCCATTAACATCTCAGCTGTAATAACTTACCAATCAAGAAACAGCAGAACTAAAGACCATTCCCTGGTATGGATCAGGAGACAATCTATTCACAGGGGAAGTTAACACTATGCCAGCTCAAATAATAATTGTGTGTGTCTGAATTCTCTTTTTTTTTTTTTTCTCTGAGACAGGGTCTTGCTTCATCACCCAGGCTGGAGTGCAGTAGTAAGACCATATAGCTCACTGCAGCCTCAAACTCCTGGGTTCAAGTGATCCTCTCACCTTGGCCTCCCAAAACACTGGGATTGTGGGCCTAAATTCTTTTTATTTCAAAAATAAAAGCACTGGAAAATAAAGCCCTTGGAAATACAAAAATGAGGGAAGGACAGAAGCTATAGGAGGTGTCCAGAATTGGTTGGAAAAATGAATAAGAAAACAGTAGGGAAAAACAGACTCATCTCCTCTCTAAAAGTATAAGCATCCTGCCCCCATCTCTGACCTTACTGATTACAAGACCCAATTCATTTTCCTTGCTAGATTGTATCTCACTTCTAAGATCTGATGGTATCGCTCATCCATGAGGTAGTTTAGCATGGTAATTACTTACATGGACTCTGCTACCCACTGCTTGGCTCTGATCCCTGTACTACCCCTTCTCAGGTAAATTATTCATACTCTCTGTGAATGCTTCCTGGCTGTAAAATAGGATCTTAGTAATGTCTACTTTGAAGAGTTGATGGAATGAAATGAGTTGCAACATGGACAGTGCTTAGAATAGTATCTAGACACAGTAAGTGCTTCGTACATTGTAGCCACTACTATTCTTATTTATTTATTTATTTATTTATTTATTTATTTATTTATTTTTGAAATGGAGTCTCATTCTGTCACCTAGGCTGAAGTACAGTGGCACAATCTTGGCTCACTGCAACCTCCACCTCCCGGGTTCAAGCAATTCTTCTGCCTCAGCCTCCCGAGTAGCTGGGATTACAGGCATGTGCCACCACGCCTGGCTAATTTTAGTATTTTTAGTAGAGACAGCATTTCTCCACATTAGCCAGGCTGGTCTTGAACCCCTGACCTCAGGTGATCTGCCCACCTCAGCCTCCCAATGTGCTAGGATTACAGGGGTGAGCCACCGTGCCCAGCCTACTATTATTCTTTGAACAGGTATTGATTGGGGGCCTGTTAAGTGTATATTTAGACCATCTCTTTCACCAACCAAATTAGTCTAGAGCCACTCACAGATTTCATCATGTGTTCGTATATTTGACAATGCCATTGTGATAGCCTTAGCAATGCAGTGCATGGCTTCTCTTGTTAAAAACAAAGGGATCTGGCTGGGCGCAGTGGCTCACGCCTGTAATCCCAGCACTTTGGGATGCTGAGGTAGGTGGATCACCTGAGGTAAGGAGTTCGAGACGAGCCTGGCCAACATGGCAAAACCTTGTCTCTGCTAAAAATACAAAAATTAGCCGGGCATGGTGGTGGGTACCTGTAATCCCAGCTACTCGGGAGGCTGAGGCAGGAGAATCACTTAAACCTGGGAGGCAGAGGTTGCAGTGAGCCGAGATCGCGCCACTGCACTTTAGCCTGGGCGACACAGTGAGACTCGGCCTCAAAAAATAAAAATAAAAATAAGGGGATCGAATGCATTACAAAGTTCTATATTGATCAACAATTACTGTAATTAATTGAAACAGAATTTAATAGCAGTGGTTCAGCCAATTTATTTTCTCCTTCTTCAAAAATAAGGAGGAAGACTCTCAGTCCCTCATCTTTCATTAGGAGTGTAGTCAGCCTCTAGAAAGCCTGGCCTGTAATGTAAAATCACCCACATCCACAGTGGTAGTCACCTTTTCTGCATTCCGACCATGAAATTCAGCCTCATGTTTATCCTTCATTTTCTGTCTCCTTTAGAATTTTTTTTATTTTTAAAGCTAGAGTCATGATAATGGTTCCAGTACTTATTTATTTATTTAGAGACAGGGTCTCACTCTTTCACCTAGGCTGGAGTGCAGTGGCACGATCAAGGTTCACTGCATCCTTGACCTCCCGGGCTCAAGTGATTCTCCTGCCTCAGCCTCCAGAGTAGCTGGGAACACAGGCACACACCACCATGCCTGGCTAATTTTTTTTTAGTTTTTGATACAGATGGGATCTCACTATTTTGCCCAGGCTGGTCTTGAACTCCTGAGTTCAAGCAGTCCTCCCACCTTGGCCTCCCAAAGTGCTGGGATTACAAGCGTGAGCCACTGAGCCCAGCCCAGTGCCAGTATTTAAAAGCATTTAGTCATAGTAACCTCTAGGGCCCAAAGAAAGCTATGAGATCTCATGCTTGTTACTCAGTTTGGGGATATATATAACTCCTGACATAGCACCCCCCTGCTCAATCTGGTAGCTCTCAAATTCTATTCACAGCTATATTTTTGTCTTTGCTTTACAAAATCCCTCACCTATTGCACTTCTGCAAAGATTGGTTTAAAGCAGTGTTTTTCAAACTTTAATACACACACCATCCTCTGTGGATCTCAGTGGAATCAGATTCTGATTTAATAGGTCTGAGGTGGGGCCCAAGGGTTGCATTTCTGACAAGCTCTCAAGTAATGCCCATGCTGCAGATCAAGGGACCACACTTTGAGTAGAAAGGATTTAAAGGACAGATGCCAAGCCCAGTTACAAAATCAAACTCAGATGAGCCTCTTGAAAGATTCCAAACCAATCTCAACTGTGAAGCCTGCTCTCAATGCTGAAATTCATCCCTGACTGCCCTGTGAGAACCACCTGTCATGGCATCACCTGAACAGAGGAGTCCTGTGGGTGATGGATTCCAAGAAAAAGTATTGGTCTCATCTATAATCAGCCTTTGAAAAGCAAAAGCTGTTGTTAAGCCAAAGAGGATCCTACCTTATATTCCTGGTTGCGAGTGTTGGGTTTTGGAGGAGGTTGAGTTTTGGAGAGGGCCTGGTGTCCACTGGAGAATCATCTGCAAAATTGCTTGGTGTGTGGGGAAAACAAACAAACAAACAAACAAACAAAAACAAAAAACCCTTTATACATCTGGGATCCCAGAAGTGTTTTTCTGTTTGTGCTCAGAAGAGAAAGCGCATCCCACTCTCCTACTCTGATTTCGAGACTGTTTCCTGAGGGTGGCATATGTTTTCTCACCTTCTGCCAAGCACAGAAAATGACCACAAATGGGCCCGGAGATGGCTTTGAGCTTTGATCTTTCGGAGCTCATATTAAGTAGTTGAAAAATATGCCCCATGAATCAATCAATGGGTCCAAAAGATTTGAAGCTAATTCCTCAAAATGGGAACGAGATGATGACTAGGGCACAAATATGCTTGAAGTAGCTCATTTCAGTAAGCCTTGAGAATAAAGGGGCATCCCACAGTGCTTTGAGGTCACTGTGTCACAGCCTGGTTGCAATCAGAATCACTGGGAACTGTAAAAACACTGAGCTTGAGTCTCATGTCAGCTGTCTGGGGTGAGTACAGAGAGTTCTAATGTGCAGCCAAGGCCGAGAAACACTTCTAGATGAGTGGTTCTCAAAATTGAGCAGGCATCTAAATCACCTAGAAGTCTTTAGAAAACAGAATTTTAGGTCCTACCTGCAGAATTCCTAATTCAGTAGGTTTGGGATAAGCCTAAAAATTTGCATTTCGAATAAGTAAACAGGTGAAGGTGATGCGGCTGGGCTTATACCAGACTATAGAACCATTGTTCTCCATCAGGGATCAGCCAATTATGGCCCTGGGTCAAATTCAGCCCTCCACCTGTTTTGGTATAATAAATAAAGCTTTATTGAACACAGCTGAGCCCATCATTTACATAATGCCTATGGCAGAATTGAGTTCTTGCAACAACCTATAAAATGTTTTAGACTTTAGCTGGTGCATCACCATCAGGTAGAGGGGTTGTAAAAACACAGATTGCTGTGCCTCACCCAGGGTTCCTGGTTCAGTAGGTGTGGGGCAGGGCCTGAGAATTTGCAGTTCTAACAAGTTCCCAGATATAGTGATGCAATGACAACCAAAGTGATTTTCCTACTCTCTACTCTCACACAGCTACTCAACACTTCTATAACCCCATGTGTAAAGGGTTTTTTTTCCTACACACCAAGCAATTCTGCAGATAATTCTCCTTAATTGAATTAAAGGACACAAGCTGGGTGACCTTTATTTAATTCAATTCAATTCCAACACTATCTACCTGGAGACAGCGTCAGATCCCACAGGTTGAGGGCTCAGTTCCACAAGACTGCCCCCACTTAAGACGCCATTCGCAAGTTTAGGTTATAGCCTGTGCTTCTGACTGACCAGGGTCCCCATAACCCCCTCCTTGGGTTCAATTAATTTGCTATAGTGGCTCACAGAGCCCAGGGAAACACTTTTACTTACATTTACCCATTTATTATAAAGAATGTTACAACGGATCCAGATGAACAGCCATATGGAAGAGAAGCATAAGGCGAGGTATGGGGAAGGGGCGTGGAGCTTCCATGCCCTCTGCGGGTGCACCACCCTCTACGAACCCCCATGTGTTCAGCAATCCAGGCCACCTGAACCCTGTCCTCTTGGGTACTTATGAAGGTCTCATTACATAGGCATAATTGTTTACATCATTGGCCATTGGTGATCAACGTAAAGTTCAGTCCGTTTCCTCTCCCCAGAGGCCAGGGGGGTGGCCCTGAAAGTTCCTTCCCTCTAATCACATGATTGGTTCCCCTGGCAACCAGCCCTCAACCTGAGGCAGTACAGGAGGCCACCAAGAGTCTCCTCATTAGAGCAAAGGATGCTCCCATCACCCAGGAAATTCCAAGGGATTTAGGAGCTCTGTGTCAGGAACCTGCGTCAAAGATCAAATATTGGAACAAAAGATCCTCCCAGCACTCCAATTGTTCAGACAATTACAAGGGTTTAGAAGCTCTGTGTCAAGGACTGGGGGCAGAGACCAATATGTGTATTTCGTGTTATTTCACGGCAGGTGATACTGATGCTGCTGGGCCAGGAACCACACTTTGAGAACCATTTAGTTGGTTCTTTTTAATATAAATATAATTTCAACTTTTATTTTAGATTCAGGGATTACATGGGCAGGTTTGTTACATGGTGATATAGTTTGGCTCTGTGTCCCCAGCCAAATATCATGTCAAATTGGAACTTTCAATGTTGGAGGAGGAGCCTGGTGGGAGGTGATTGGATCATGGGGGTGGATTTTCCCCTTGCTGTTCTCGTGATAGTGAGTGAGTCCTCACGAGATCTGGTTGTTTAAATATGTGTAGCACTTACCCCTTTGCTCTCTTACTCCTGCTCCAGACATGTAGAACGTGCCTGCTTCCCCTTCTGCCATGACTGTAAGTTTCCTGAGGTCTCCCGAGCCATGCTTCCTGTACAGCCTGTGGAACTGTGAGTCAATTAAACCTCTTTTTGTATAAATTACCTAGACTCAGGCAGTTCTTTATAGTAATGCGAGAACGGACTAATACACATGAGTATATTGAATGATGCTGAGGTTTAGGGTACAAACGATCCTGTCACCAAGGTAGTGAGCCTAGTACCCAGTAGTCTTTCAGCCCTTACCCTCTTCCCTCTCTCCCGCTCTTGCAGTCCCCAGTGTCTGTTGTTTTCATCTTTATGTCCATGAGTACCCAATGTTTAGCTCCCAATTCTAAGTGAGATCATGCAGTATTTGGTTTTCTGTTCTTGTATTAATTCACTTAGGATAATGGCCTCCAGCTGCATCCATGTTGCTGCAAAGGATATGATCTCATTCTTTTTTAATGGCTGCCTAGTGTTCCATGGTGTGTATGTACCACGTTTTCTTTTTCCAATCCACCATTGATGAGCACCTGGGTTGATTCTATGTCTCTGCCATTATGAATAGTGCTGGAGAGCTACTGAGTTTAAGTATTTGGCATTCTGTAAAAGTGGGCTTTCTGATGAGCTCTGAGTGACTAAGGAGAGGAGTGTGAAGGGGTATGTGGTGGGTCCAATGAAGACCAGTTCTGTCCTTCTGTTGAGTGGGATACTTTTTCATAAATTTTTGTGCAAGTGAGTGAGAGCAAAAAAGAAAGGCCGAGACGTTACTTTGCAATTTGAATCAGTGCCTGTAGGCACTAGACTGAAAGTCAGAATATGAGAAACAGAAGACAAGTTATTATCTTCTTCTCAGGGAAGCTGTAATTAATGGTGACTTGACTTTATCCAGAAGCTCAGGCTGGCTTGAACAGCTGTTTTACATATAAAAACGGCTTGCAATGCAGGAGAAGTTAGGGCAATGAGAAATCAAAGTCATAATGCAAGAGGAAAGTAAGAGTTCACATAGGTAAAGATTGACGGCCAGGTGTGGTGGCTCATGCCTGTAATCCCAGCACTTTGGGAGGCCAAGGTGGGCGGATCACTTGAGGCCAGGAGTTCGGAACCAGCCTGGCCGACATAGCAAACCCAGTCTCTACTAAAAAGTACAAAAATTAGCTGGGCATGGTGGCACATGCCTGTAGTCCCAGCTACTCAGGAGGCTGAGGGAGGACAATCACTTGAACCTGGGAGGCGGAGGTTGCAATGAACCGAGATCACACCACTGCACTCCAGCCTGGGCGACAGAGCGAAACTCCATCTCAAAAAAAAAAAAAAAAGAAGAGAGATTGACAACAGATGAGTCCTGGTGAGTAGCAGCCTTAGTGAGTTCATGTGTTTCCTATTTTAATTGCTCTCTACTCTCTGAACATACTATTATATGACATCACTTTCAACAGTGTCGTTGGCAAGCCTTCTCTCACTGTCTGTTGGCTCTGCTCTCTTTCGTGTTCCCTGCATCCTCAGGCATGCTCGTCGTGGCCACAAGCTTTGCCAAGTTACGTCTTCACAGGATAGCAACCCTAGTCAAAAGAGAACTTTTGTCTCCCAGGAGTTGAAATCCAAGTCCAGGGATTGGGTTTAATAAAAGTGACTTTGGTCTTGCCTGTCCCCAAGTCATTCACTCTTGTGTAGAAAACCCTGATTGTCCCTGGGAGCTAGAGTGGTGTCAACCTTACCTAACTCTTTTAAACTGGGGAGTGGCACAGGGGCAGTCCCTAGAAGACAACCGAGGGGAAGGGAAGGAAGCTGGGAAGTACAACCGCAGAGGTCCACTTCAGCCTCTCTTCACTGAGGAAGTGGACGTGTCTGCTTTCCTGAGAGGCAGGAGCAGTGTCCCACGTGAGCCTTCATTTTTAGATGCTCAAGTATGAAGCCAAGCTGGGTGTAGTGGCTTACACCTATAATCCCAGCACTTTGGGAGGCTGAGGCAGGCAGATCACTTGAAGCCAGGAGTTTGAGACCAGCCTGGACAAAATGGCGAAACCCCGTCTCTGCAAAAATTAGCTGGGAGTGGTGGCAGGCGTCTGTAATCCCAGCTACTTGGGAGGCTAAGGCAGGGGAATCGCTTGTATCCAGGAAGTGGAGGTTGCAATGAGCCAAGATCATGCCACTGCACTGCAGCCTGGGGAACAGAGAGAGACTCCATCTCAAACAAAACAAAACAAAACAAAACAAAACAAAACAAAAGGTATGGAGCCAATATGCAGAGGTCTTTGAATGGCAAGAAAATGAGAAAGAGCTTGGACTTTTCTGTTACTGATAGAGAGCTAGTAACAAGGCTTTGGAGCCATGTATTGGTGTAACAAGATATTTTGAAGGAATTGAATTCGTTTTATGAGGAAGTTTGAAAAGCAGGGAAATCATTTCAAGCCTATTGAAGTAGGTCAGAAGTAGGGTGATATGAATAGGGCTATGAAACTGATGGGAAGAAAAGTACTTAGGTGACAATCTTGTGACTCCAGGAAGTTAGTAAACATGTTAGAGACAGACGCCAACTCCATGCATTCATTCATCTGGGCTGGAATTGATATGCTGCAGGTTTAGATCTGCCTTGCTTGGCTGGGACACCAACCACTGAATCAAGCTCTGGTCCTCAGCCTCCATGGGCACTTCTGCTCCCTTAAACCCCCAGACTCCTGTCCCACTCTGCTTCTGGGCCCAGGCTCAACCTGGATCACCAATGTGTGCTTCTGCCTGATTTCTGTCCCCCAGAGATGCTTACTTTATCCTTAGTGTGGTGTTATGTCTTTTAATATTATTTTTGTATTTTACTTAAAGTAAAATGTTTGGAGCCAAGGAGCCCTCAAACTATCAACTTACAATGCTATCTTCACCAAAAGTCTGCCCACTTATTAAGAATTTCCCTGAGCATTTCATAACATGTTCCCATCCCGGTTGCCTAATGTTACTTCTTTGTCTTTTTCAATAGTAAAGGGAAAAGCAGAGAAACGATATATATATATATAATGTGTATATATATGTATAATATATATATAATGTGTATATATGTATAATGTATATATAATGTATATACATATATAAATATATATAATGTGTATATAATGTATATACATATATATAATGTATATATAATGTGTATATAGTGTATATACATATATATAATTATATATAATGTATATACATATATAAATATATATATGTATATACATTATATATAATGTATATACATATATAATTATATATAATGTATATATAATTTAATTTGTAAAGAATTTACTTTTGAAAAATAGTTGGACAACTTTTATATATATATATATAATACGTGTTTAAAAAAAAAACTGATTACAGCCAGAGCTGTAACGAGTCATAGTACAGTAATTTTCAAAGCTTGTTCTATGATTTGTGAATAGTGTGCTAGCAGTGTAATGGAGAGGACATGGAGAATTTTACTAAAAATATGAGAAAGCTTATGGTTTTCATTAGTGGAAGGAATGAAACTAGTGTAGTGTGTCCTGGAGGGGAGAGAAAGTGCCAATCAGTATTACCATTGAGTTTGCTACTTTTGTTATCATTCAGTAGCAGGTCTCGCTAGGCAATTTTCAGATGTATACTAAAAGGGATATGACCCTCTACCTGGTGGCAGGACTCAACGGCTGTCCTGTTGTATCCCCATTAGTGCCTTTGGCTTTTGCTGTCTGTTCACCCACAATATACCTGTGTGGGTGAGCTTAAAGGAAGGAAAAAACTGGATAGGTTATATCGTGGGTGTACTTTTGCAAATGTGGTATTTCAGCAGCCTGGAGAATTACCAAGGCAAAAGAGACGATTCTGCAGGCAAATTTAATTACTTTTAAAGAACGAGCAATTCCAAATTCCAAGCCTCAGATGAGGTTCTTATCTTCTTTCTCAGGCATTTAAACAGGTTGCTTTCACTTGGAAATCTTAGCTTAGGGGAAAGAATTAGAGATGATTTAGAGTTTCTTGAATTTTTTTTTAAATTACAGAGGTACTATAGGCTTTTAAAATATATTCAAAACAGTGATTTAGAAATTATAAAACGTGAGTCTTCGGCTTGCCAAACGATTCCTTCATCTCATTTTCTGGGGGAAATTGTTAAAGAGCTTTCAGTTCATTTACTGGGAATATATCTATACATCTGTAATTACATCTGTAGAGCAGTAGTTCTCAGCCAGGGGTGATTTTGCCCCCCAGGGGACTGTTGGGAATATCTTGAGACTTTTTGGTTGTCACAACTGAGAAGTGCTATTGGCTGAGTAGAGGCCAAGGTTGCTGCTAAACATCCTACAACACACAGGACAGCCCCACGGCGGAGAACCATCCTGCCCAGAATGTCGAATGCCACAGTTAAGAAACCCTAACCTACATATTTTCTTCATATAAGAAAGCATGAAATAGGTACGATGTTATAGAAAATAATTCTGAGAAGTAAAGCACCATTGTTTCTTAGACGTTCTTATGGGGACTCTACCCACTAATGATCCAGAAGAATTTTCTTTCTCTTTTTAAAAGTCTTTAAATAATTTTTAGAGCAAGCATTGAAGTAACATTTACTCCCAATTCCACTCACTCAGTTAGGCAAAGGTCATCTTGCTGATTCGGCCAGGTTGTACCCTACCTTGGGGAAAATCAGGACAATAGGTTGGAAGCCTGAAGCTGCTTAGATGAATAGCTCCTTGGCCATCACCAAATCAGGATAGGATGTCACTGGGGACAGGGGGTCCTGGCTGGGACTAAACGAGATTCGAGGCACAATTAGCTCATAATGACAATTACCTGCTTAATAGCTAGAAAAAGCCAGCAGTCCCATCTGCACCTACCTCCCACACCTCCAAAAGACATGGTGATTGGATGCCTTTCTGCTTTATAATAAGCCCTTTATGCTTATTTTGATCTGCCTGTCACTTGAATAAAAATGTCAGGAGGTGGAAAAAACAAGAAGTTTGAAAGAAGCAGAACCTAAAGGTTTTTTCCCCCTAGGCTGTTCCACAGTGTGTGCTGAGAACCGCATCCCAGTGTAGAAATTCCTATCTTGGAAGAGGGAAGACTCTTTGAGTCCAAGTTCACGAATATAAACAAGGCCTACTCTGCCAATGACAACAAGATGGTTGCCTCTCAGAGACTTCCTTCCTTTGTTTCTTTCTTCCTTCTTTCTTTCCTACTTTTTTTCCTTTCTTTCTTCCTTCCTTTTCTTTCTTCTTTCCTTCTTTCCAAAAAATCATATCTTAGAAAACCTCAAACTTCTTAGAAAATGAATTATTGGAAAAGTACAAATATATAAAATTTAAAAATTTTGGTATGCACCAGTCTACATAGTGGAGATTATAGGAACAAGACAGAAGAATCAAGTTTAAGGCCATTCATGGTATTTTGAAAACCTCATTCTATAAATAACATGTATACTTCTATTTCAAAATATATTAAGTCATCAATTAGCATCTTGTCACCAATTGATATTTATTAAGAAATTAATGGAGGCCTAGCATTTTGCTAGACACAATGCATATTTATTCCGGGCAAGTAGACATGAAAATCTTTCCTGTGGCCTTTATCATATGCCATGATTCATCATGCATGAAATCTAAATATTCTTTATCCTGAGCTTAATTTGAATCTTCATCATTGAAAACAGGTGCGTGATTGAAGAGACAAATGCAGTACTATGAGTAGGGCAAGCAAGCTTTGATTCTAAATCTCACCATTAGCTTGCAGTAGGACATGGCTGCATTTTCCTGGGACAAAGACATCCAAAGTTTACCCCAAGATAATATCATTCATGACACCTTTCTCCCAGATTTTTGCTTCCTCCTTTTGGCTTCTAAGGAAATCAAAGGAAAAACAAATATATTTTAAATCCAACCGTTTCCCATTACTCTCACTGGGACCCCCTGGTCCCAGCCTCAGTCTTCTCCAACTCAGTCAGTGCAACAATCCCCTCAGCTGTCGCCCTGCTCTTGCCCTGGCCTCCTGCAGCCTCTTCTCTGTGGAGCGGGCAGAGGGATTCTCTTAAGAAGGAACAAAGATCATACCACACCTCTGCTCAAAAACCTCCAGTGGCTCCTCATTTCACTCAGAGCCAGTGCCCCGTCTTCGGCCACTGTCTGCGTAGGGCCTTTGCACATGCCATTCCCTCCATCTGGAGGGCCTCCTCTCCCTAGATGGTCAGGACTTCCTTTTAGCTCTAGTCTGTTTCATCCTGTAGGCCTTCACTAACAGCCTCCCCAGCAACTTCTCCGCATTGCCACAGCACTCCCTGTACTTTTTCTTGGAATGTTTTCTCCATGCCACTTATAACCCACCCAAGACACTTTCTTTATTTGTGTATTGGTTTACTATCTGTCTGCCCTAATTGAATGAAAGTTCTAGGCAGGCAAGAATTTTTGTCTTTCTAAACTACTATATCCCCCATGCCCAGAACTATATCTGGTACAAATATTTAATGAAGAAAAAATAAAAACCACCTGCTTCAATCAGTGCTTCTGTTTTTCTAACCCATTGAAAAGGACTACAAGTCCACCCAAGCATGAGGAATGCTAAGCAGATTAGGATCCATCCAGATTTCCTTGTATCCAATTGCACATTAAAAATCTACTAGCGGCCGGGCGCGGTGGCTCACGCCTGTAATCCCAGCACTTTGGGAGGCCGAGGCGGGCGGATCACGAGGTCAGGAGATCGAGACCATCCCGGCTAACACGGTGAAACCCCGTCTCTACTAAAAAACTACAAAAATTAGCCGGGTGTGGTGGTGGGCGCCTGTAGTCCCAGCTACTTGGGAGGCTGAGGCAGGAGAATGGCGTGAACCCGGGAGGCGGAGCTTGCAGTGAGCCGAGATCCCGCCACTGCACTCCAGCCTGGGCGACAGAGCGAGACTCCGTCTCAAAAAAAAAAAAAAAAAAAAAAAAAAAAAAAAAAATCTACTAGCCAGGGGTGGTGGCTCACACCTGTAATCCCAACACTTTGGGAGGCCGAGGCAGTTGGATCTCTTGACCTCAGGAGTTTGAGACCAGCCTGGGCAACAACAACAACAAAATATATATATATATAAATTAGCCCCGTCTCTTCAAAAAAACACAGAAATTAGCCGGGTGTGGTAGCACGTGCCTGTAGTTCCAGCTACTCAGGAGGCCGAGGTGGGATGATCACTTGAGCGCAGGAGGTCGAGGCTACAGTGAGCCCAGATCGCACCACTGCAGTCTGGTCTGGGCAACAGAGTAAGACCCTGTCTCAAAAAAAAAAAAAAAAAAAATCTACTTAGGGTTTTTGATTAGGTTACTAATGACAAAATATTTTGATAATTAATACATACTTGCAGCATGCATAAAAGTGCGACCACATGCAGTAAGCATGTGCAACTAACTACACATACATCTAAATCAACTTCATATTTACAAACTCTAGTTTTACCACCAATAAATTCAACTCTGAGGTATAGGCAATGTTTTGCTAACCTGCTGGAGAGAGGACCAAGTATCAGTTAATCTGGCAAGAATTTTTTTCTGTTTTATGCATTACTATTTCCTCAATGCCTAGAACTGTACCTGGTACAAATATTTAATGAAGAAAAAACAAAAACCACACCTCTTCAATCAATGCTTCTGTTTTTCTAACTCATTGAAAAGGAGTACATGGCTACCTGACGACAAGCATATAGCCCAGCACTGTCTAACAGAAACCTAACAGGAGCCGTATTTTAAATGTTCTAACCCTGTCTCTAAAAAAACAAAACTAGTAGTTCATTTAAAAAGTAAAATGAAAGAGGTGAAATGTGATTTTAGTAATATATTTTCTTTAACCTCATATATAAAAAATATTATTTCAACAAGAAATCAATATTAAAAGGATTAATGAGAAACTTGGCATCCTTTTTTGCACTAAGTCTTCAAAATCCCATGTATATTTGATACTTAGAGCATGTCTCGATTTGGACACATTTCCAGTGTTCAGTGGGGCTGCTGGCTACCATATTGGATGGCACAGACAGAAACATTCTCTGTTAACTGCCTCAATGGCCCATATTAATGTTACTATTAACTCATTCAAGCCAATCAAATTTTTGAGTGCCTGCCATGTCTCAGGAAATATTCTAAGGTTTAGGATACAAACAGAACAGACAGATTTCCCTTCCTATCCAGAATTTCTATTCTAGTCAGGAAACATGAACCATGAACAAAGTAAGGAGTGAAATATTTGCAGCAGGTAAGATGCTGGGCAGTGCTGTGGAGAGGGGTTGTAGGGAAGGGCCTGGGGTGGGGAGGACCGCAACTGTCAGAGGATGATTCTAGGAGGCCTCACGGAGGCAGTGGCCCCTGAGCTGCCTGAGGGAGGTAAGGGAGCAGGCTTGGGACATGGAGAGGAAGAAGGCTTCAGGCAGAGGAACAGCAGGAGCACAGACCCTGAGATAGGAGTGTTTTTGGAGTGTCCAGGGATCTGCAAGAGGGCAATTGTGGGCTGGGGTGGGGACAGCAAAAGGCAGCATGGAAGGTAATGAGGTTGGAGAGAGAAGGGGAGCAGCGTAAGGGCTTGGTGGAACTTTGGCTTTTGCCCTGAACAAAAATGGGAGCCTTGAGAGGGTTTTAAATGGAAGGGTCATAAGACCTAGATTTTACTAGCACCTTTTGGTTGAGCCCATACCTTGCTGCAAATCCTTGTGCACTCCTTTTTTCCCACCATTTCCTTTTGCACATTTGCCCTGGGCTGCAGCACTAGAATGCTCTGCAGAAATGTGGTTGATCTCGTCAAAGAAGACCCTCATCCTATCCTCTGTTCTGCAGCAGCTCCTTCTTTGGCCATTTAGCCATGTAGACAGACAGAAGGACTATACATTCAGCTCTCAGGAAGGCCGCCACGTGGGAGGAAAAAGATCAGTTCTGGGCAATGGCTTCCATAAAGCAGATGTCTCGTGGAAATCAAATACACCTCCTCCCCAGAGTGCATTCCATTTGTTCAGATTAAAATATATCCTAGCTGAAACTAAGACTTCATCCTTCAAAGGCCTGCCTCCATGTTTCAACATGGAGACCATGAGAAATGCCCTCTAGAGCATCATTTTCGTTTGTCGGTGGTATATAAAATAATGTTGTATCCTACAATATCTATATATTGTGTCTTAGATTCAATAAAATATTGTATTAGCCCATTTTATAAATAAACTGAGGCATGGAGTGGTTAAGATACCTCCCCAAGCTCACACGGCTAGTAGGGTTACTGATGGAAACTCAGAGACAGAATTCAAATCCAGGCACTCTGACCCTAGAGCCAACATACTTCACCTATACTATCTTGGAAGGTAATTATAACAAGAATAAACATAGTATTTCCTATGCTTAGCATGGCATTGGTGAGATTTAGTGAATCGTATGTAACTAGGAGACAAACAAGTCCCTATTCTCTGGGGTCCAGACCCAGCATGCTTAACCTACACTACATTACTTACACAAACTTAGCATTCTACGTTCTGTGGGTATACCTTCTCTGATCATAAGATGATATGAATTAGAAAGTTCACAGGAGCAACAAACTCAATTGCTTTTTGATTATAAATTCTAAACAGCAGTGTGCTGCATTTATCCAACTGGTGACTGAGCAGAGAACTGGTACATACTTTACTTACTGATGCAATGAGACTGCTTTCCTTAGTAGATAGAACTCATTCAACTCTGGATTTAATCCATCCTCTGCAAGGATTAAAAATGGAATAGGGAAAAGTGAAATGGAGAAATTAGGAGGTGATTAGATTTTTTATTAATATAGAATGGAAATAATGTAAATTCTGGAGGCAAACTGAGCACTTATGGTATGAAAAATTGTAAAGCTGTTTCAACTGCTTCTTAGATGGTACCCTTTTTATGTACTACCAGAAAATGCAGAAAAAAGAAAGAAGGAAGGAAGGGAGGGAGAGAGGGAAGAAAAGAAGGAAGGGAGGGAGAGAGGGAGGAAGGAAGGGAGAGAGGAACGAAGGAAAGATTTGTTCAGGGGTAGGTTGGAGTTAAATATGATGTTTACTGCATAGATCACCATCAAGAAAAGAGGAAATTAGCTTAAACAGATGAGATATATACAAAAATAATTACAGCTCACAAGTTTAAACTTTGCTCACCAGGCAGCTCTTTGAAATCCTAATTTCTAACTTGGGGCTAACAACCAAAAACCACTTCTCATTATTTAAGAAATCAGGGTTTGGACTCCAGTTGCCTCACATTCTAAATTCAATGTCAAATGACAGAGTTACCTGGTTTAAAACATACTCGTTCTTCCTTTCAACATTTTGATATCAGCTGTTTTGTGGGTCATGAAATGTAGCAAAATCCAGAAAAGTTTAAGTCTGTTGATAAGGTAAAGGCAACTTCTGGACCAACTGGAAATTTGTTGGCTTGGATTTGACTAATCATTTCTGTATATTCAGTTACATCTTATCTCTGTTTGTGTGGTCACATGGTATACTTGAAACAAAAAAGAATGATTTTATCAATTGAGATAAATAAAAAGGGACAAAATACATAGAAATCTTCCCAGAGTCAAGATCCACCTTGTAGAACTTGAAATAAAAATGATGGCAGAGGACAAGAGAATAGCTATCATTTATCTGACACTGACTGCCACATCATCTCATTGAATTCCTACCATAACCCTCTGAGGTAAATATCATCATCATTCCCATTTTACAGATAAGAAACTCTATCTCAGAATGGTTAATAATTTATTTAAGGCTACACAACTAATAAAAGGCAGATCAGGCTTCAAACCATTCTATCACATGTGACTCACTATATGTGTAATTATCTCCAAACATATGAATTTCAAAACATATCTGGCCACAATGATTTGGGGTAAAGGATCATTGGCCTGTATTTTATTAAGATTCCCACTTACATTTCTAGTGGTCCAGGAGTTAGATTTCAGTGAGGTAGAAAGTCCTGTCATGAGGTAATAGAGTTTATTTTCTGCTATGAGGTCAGATAACTATGGTGTTTTTCAGAATTTGCATCATTAGAATTAACTACATAAAGGTAGTGCCTACCCATATAGAGATGAGTATTTTTATATTTTAGAAAAAGACAATACAGTGTACATAATGTCTATTATTAATTCCCTCAGCAGGTCTTGGGGTAGCACCCTATAATCAAACACATTAACATTTCTGCAATGTAATGTATGAATATTCACCCTAAATGGGAAAAAGACTGTAAATAGCCTCTGGATAATTGAAGTCAAATTTTGCTAACAAATCACTGATGAAAAAACACTTCAGGTTTTCAAAGCATTTAGATCATGGAATTGTGCATAAAGAACTGTGAACCTACGTATTACATACTTCTTTGCCTTTAGAAAGAGGATTCTGAGCGATATCTGTCACTGGCTCCAAAAAGTTCTCCCTTTTAAATAAGGCAACTTCTCTGAACAAGATTAAACAGGATAAATATTCCCTTCCCTGCTTTCCATATAAATATACAGTGCAATCAGCTTCCAGTCTATGGGGCCCCTTCCCCAGCATATGCAGCTCAGCTATGTACCACCCCCTGTGAGATCATGAGAGCTTGGGTGGATAGAATGTATACAATCTGCTTTTTACTTTTCTGGAGTCTTCTCTGCAACCACCCTGGTAAAGCCTATTTTATATTTATACCTTCTGGTGCCAGTGGTGTATGCATCTGTGTCCCCTTTGCACAAGACCACATAACCACTTACCTAAAAGGAACTAGAAAGTTCATCTAGCCTAATTCTCTATCATAGTAGCCTCTAAGATGCCACAATGGAACCAACTGCCTGGTATTAACACCCTAGTGTAGTCCCCTCCGACTTTGTACCAGTGTTGGTTCTTGTGATCAACAGAATACAGGAGAAATCATAATACATTGCTTCAGAGATTAGGTTATAAAAGACACTGTGTGCTTTTGCTCATGCTCTTGCTCTCTCTCTCATCACTAAGCTCCAGGGGAAGGGAAGTGGCAGTCATGAAGACACTCAATCAGCCTTATAGAGTCCATGTGGTAAGGAGTTGAGGCCTCCTGCCACATGAGTGAACCATGTTAGAAACAACCTCCAGCCCCGGTCAAGCCTTCAGATGACTGCAGCCCTAGCTGACATCTCAACTTCAACCAAAAGGAGACCCTGAATCTGATTCTGATTCAGTGGTTCTGACCACTCAGCTAAGGTGCTCCCCAATTATCAACCCACAGAGTAAGTGTTTGTTGTGTTAAGCCACTAGATTGTGTGAGTATTTTGTTACACAGCAATACATAACTAATACACTCTCCCATTTCACAGAAGACCAGATGGTATCTTAGAGACATCAGGAAATGCTCCAGAACCCTCCCAGTTCTATGACTCCTAGGGCCAGCCCAGCTCACTTGTTATGTGGAATGGGCAGAAGGCCTCTTAATTTTTTAATTTCCCAGGATCTTCTATTTTTTCACATAGATACTGGAAGCCCCTGGAAAATCTGGCCAATAACTCAGCTGTGAAAAGAAAAGTTTAGCACGGATGTCCTGATTCAGAAGGGATGCTTCCCACTTGTTAAATTTCCCAAAATAGCCCTTGTTTGTAGGCTTGTTTTTCAGGAGTGACTTTTGTTTTTTCCTATAATGGTGAAACTTTCTAGACTGCAGTTGTTAAGTCAGGAAAAATGAGAAAGCATTTAGCCCCTTTCCTTTCCCTGGCGTTGAAGAGCATGTTCTTAATGACTGGGCTACTCTCTGAAGGGTTTTATGACAGTATTGACTCTGGCCTAGCCTTCCTGATTGCGTCAGACCCCAAAGCTGCAGCTGTCCTCCTGCTTAGGTTACGTGATGAATGATTCCATTCCCTGTTCTAATGCTGACTGCCTTCTCTCCCCAGCTGCAGTTTACATACAGGATGTATTTCCTGTCTGAAGCCCCCATCTGCCTATCATATTTCCATATGCCACATGCTTATGTGTTTTAGGTACAGATGGAGACATTAGTCATGTAATTCATCACATGGGAAATTCACAGGCTGGCTATTTTATTTCAGTTTAAGTATTAATTTCTACCTTTGCTAGTAGTAGAAAAATCCCAGAACATCAATGAGAATTTTAGGTAAAATATCTGCCACCATTTAATATTACTGGATCCTTCCTTTTAAGGTTAAAATGAGGCATGACACATCCAAAGTTATAGAAAAATACACAAACCTAGTATGGTAGATTAATTTTAACAATGTCCCCAATTCTTCACCCCTTTGTTCTTTCACCTGAAACTTTGCTATGCCTCTTTCTAAGTAGGCAGTGTCTATTCCCATCCCTTGAATCTAGGCTGCCCTTGTGACTTGCTTTGGCCAATAGAATATGGCAGAGGTGACTGCGTATCAGTTCCAAGCCTTGGCCTGAAGGGATCTTGCAGCTCCCATTCTTTCTCTTGGAACATCACATCTTGCATCCACCATGTTAACTTGCCCAGGCTAGCCAATGAGCAGCTGACAGACATGTGAGAAACCCCAGCCAAGATCCCAGAACCACTGACTTGACATACATCTGATCACAAATGTGTACATAAACACAGCAAAAATAACCACTCAGGCATCTTATAGACTCATAAGCAATAATAATTGATTTTTATGTCACTGAATTTTGGGATGATTTGTTATGTGGCATTATTGTAGCAATCAGTAACTGATGCACATGGGCCAGTTTTTGTTGCTGTTGTTTGTATTTTGTGGCATGCTTAGGCCCCCAGGCAGAAGCCAGGCTATGAGAGAGGCTTTCCAGAGAGGGTATTTTCCATATCCTGTCTGAGGAATGTAAACCTGGCTGACTGAGATCCCAGTTGAAGGGAGGGGCTTGGGTACTACCCAACAGTGTGCAGACTTCTAGATAATCTTCCTGTTTCCAGCACAGTACCATTACCCTTGACTGAATTTAGTTTCCTTCCAGAGTCTAGTCCCACTGATTCAGCATTTCCAGGGTACAAAACTCCTACCCTCTGCTGGGGGTTCTAACTGCTTCTTATACAGATGTTTAACAAATCTGCTTGCTTTAAGCAGCACTTGCCTTCCATTTTCAGAGGTGTCTAGTTCCATGAATTCCTGAGCATTTGCTGGGGGTTCTTGTTCTGACTTGAGCTGGTTTTCAGCCTTCCCTACTGCCAGGTTGGAGTTCTCTGGGCAGATGAGGCAAGACCTTAAGGCAGAGCAAACCGTCAGGCTTCCTACCATTTGCACAAGGTCAGGGAGAGGCTAGGCTGGGCTGGGTGGGTTCTTGAGATCATAAGTAAGGATGACCCACAGGGAGAAAGAGGCTTGATTAAAGCAATGTGAGGGAAAATAGCTATGGAAGAGATAGTGATATGGTTTGGCTCTGTGTTCCCACCCAAATCTCATCTCGAATTGTAATCCCCATGTGTCATGGGAGAGACCTGGTGGGAGGTGATTGGATCATGAGGACAGTTTCCCCCATGCTGTTCTCGCTCACCAGAGTTGATGGTTTTAAAAGTGTTTGGCAGTTCCCCCTTTGCTCTCTTCTCTGTTTTGCCTGCTACCATGTAAGACATGCCTTGCTTTCCCTTCACCTTCCACTTTTTTTTTTTTTTTTTTTTTTTGAGATGGAGTCTCACTCTGTTGCCCAGACTGGAGCGCAGTGGTGCGATCTCGGCTCACTGAAGCCTCCACCTCCCAAGTTCAAGCAATTCTCCTGCCTCAGCTTCCTGAGTAGCTGGGATTACAGGCACACACCACCATGCCTGGCTAATTTGCTAATTTTTTAGTAGAGACAGGCTGGCTTTCACCATGTTGGCCAGGCTGGTCTTAAACTCCTGACCTCAAGTGATCTGCCCACCTCAGCTTCCCAAAGTGCTGGGATTACAGGCGTAAGCCACCGCACCCGGCCTCAGGTAGTATCTTTATAACAGTGTGAAAATGGACTAATACAGACAGTCTTTAAATTTAGCTTCAGCAGAACTTTCAGGGACTAGCAGAAAAAATGCTAATTTGAACCTGATGAACAAAGACCTGCATTGATGAAACCTCACAACCATTTATATCTCACATCTTCCCAATTCTATCACAAAGACCTAAAGTTCCTTTATGCCCTAAAACTATCAAAATGTATTTTGGGGCCTGAGTTTTTCCAAAAGTTGAGTTTCCATATCACTGGTTATGGTTAGATTCCATGTGGGAACTGGTACCTGCTTAGCATTTTAATTAATTAGTATTCTTGTTTGTGGTTTTCTTTTTCTTCAAAAATATTTCCTGAGTACTGTGCTGAAAAATGAACAAAAAAGAAAAAATTCATGCTCACTGCAAAGTATAAATTCCCCAGCTCTCTTCCTCTCATAATTCTTCCTCCAGAGTTCTTTTTTCACTGGCTCTGATTCCTCAAATAATCATTTGAAAGTAAACGGTATATGAAGAGGAAAATATGTCCCACACGAAGGTGATCATACTACCTCTCACAAATATCTATTGAGAGATACACAAATTGTTTGGGATTAATTACACATTGTTGTTATAGTCAGTGCACTCTTGATGTCTTATAGGCTTTTGTGGGGTCATCCAGGAGACCCATGCTACAAGGTCTGACAGGATTTTTCCCCTAGCTGCTCTGCATATCCACAGTCCTCTGACCTCATTGCAGTTCTCATTTGCAATGTTTTCTTAAATAGGTAGAAATGTTTCCTGCTCATTTTGCTTTTATACATTTGGCAAATACTATCTTGGCTTCCTCAGTGATCTTGTGTCTGGGTCTTCCCTCATCTTGGAACCAGAGCTGGCATTTTAATTATCCTGTAAATTCTGACCCCATTTCAAAGTGTAAGCTACCACATGATTTATTTAGTTCTTTTTCTTTTTTTAAAGGTAAGTGAGGGGTAGTTTGATAAATAATTTTTTAAGCTTAGGGGTTATTAGAATGTTTATGCTATATTTACTCCCTGCCTTGATACATAAAGTATTCTAAATGGCTCCATAGATCTGCTAAGATGAAATAGGTATAAAACTTAAAATTTGGGCCTTGCAAAAATACACATGGACAAAACCAAGGGAAAAATAGAAAAAAAAATTTATGCAGGCTCCACTCCAAAGATGAACCCAAAATTTGGCACTGAGCTTTCTTATGGCCCACTCAAAAAGGGAAAATATAGTCAAGTGCTTGATTCATGTTGTCTAAGAAATAAAGCTTGCCAGTAATTCTGAGGAAATAAAGTTTTTCCTAGCACATAGAATCTAGAAGAACGTTTCCATGCAGGTCTTCACATGGGCCACATCTTCATCACTTTTAGAATAAATGTGATTGCTGCTGTGCTAGGGGTGTTTATTAAAAGATCCCTGTGTCTGAAGCTAACAAGGGTAAATATCAATGCACTTCCCAGCAAAAGTAATTTTTCATGCAGGCCTCCGACAATGTGATCTAAATGTTTAGCTCTCCAGTGGTCTGCCAGGAATCAAATGTAGAGTGTCCAGATATGAATAGTCAGCTCATCCTTAAAATAAACTTCCATTAATATCATTTCTCTCAACAGAGTTCATCTTTTCATCATAATGTGTTAAACCAGGAAATATCAGTAGACAGTTCTGCAAAGGCTAAATGAAAAGGAAATTAGCTTAATTTGCAGTGTAAGACTTTCAGGTTTGTTACAAAGAATGTTGGGAGAGTGAGAACTGGCTTTTACAGTGGATTCCTATGAGAACAGATTTTTTTTTTCTTCCACACAACACTAGTGGAAGATTTCTTTTATTTTTTTTTTTTCTTTTGTTTTCGTGACAGAGTCTCACTCTGTCACCCAGGCTAGAGTGCAGTGGCACAGTCTTGGCTCACTGCAACCTCTGCCTCCTGGGTTCCAGTGGTTTTCCTGCCTCAGCCTCCCAAGTAGCTGGGATCACAGGCATGCGCTACCATGTCTGGCTAATTTTTCTATTTTAGTAGAGATGAAGTTTCTCCATGTTGGCAAGGCTGGTCTCAAACTCCTAACCTCAAGTGTGATCCACCCACCTAGGCCTCCCAAAGTTTTGGGGTTATAGGCATGAGCCACCATGCCCATCTCATAAGATTTTCAAAAAATAAGGTTTTTTTTTTTATCATTAAATCTTAAAGGATGGAAAAACCTGCATAAGGCCCTTCCTAATCCTACAACATAGTGATTGTGACAATTCATTTCCATTGTGTGAAAACATATGACATTTAATGATGATCGTCAACTCCTATGCGGGGTAGGGTGAAAGGCGCGAAAGGAAACATATTAGAAAAAGTGGCTCCTGGCCAACCCAGAGGTGATTTCATTTGGGGCTGGCTCAAGTTTCATAAGCCTAGAATCAAACTTGCAACCATCTGTTTGAGGTTCTGTGGGAACCAAGAATTCCAGAGCCCAGGGAAATGGGAGAGCATCCTAGGAATAGACCCTTCACTGAATCTTGTTTCCACTTCATGATAGAAAGCTCCCTAGAGCTGCCTTTCCCCTTGATTTTAGGGCTGGAGGAGGAGCTTAAGAAGCACCTTTGGAGCTCAAGCTTGGACTTCCTGTGGCCCTTTCCCACAGAAGAGCTAACTCTTGGAATGAGATCTTTGAACATTCCATATGAGCCTCCAAAGACCAAATGATCCAAAACAATTGCAATAGATCTGTCTAACGACCATATTGAATCCACCACCACTTCCAGTGTCAACAAAACCAAACTGCATACTACACCAGCAATTCTGTCTGGTTAAAAGAAGACCAACCATCTTCCAGTTTCTCTTGCCTAGAATCTCTCTCACCTAGCATCAATCTGTAGGAGACTGAATTACCAACTAGTCAAGGAAACTTTCAAAAATATAGGTGGGATGTGACAACTGTGGATATAAGTCTTAAAGCAATGTGGAAAATGGGCTGCCCAAATTGGAGTAACTTGCTGAGAATGTTCTCTCCATATGCCCAGCCCCACAGGTTCATCTACAAGAGGAGTATCTCTGATGTGAACTGCAAATTGTCTTGGGTTGGGTTCCTCAGAAACAGAGCATAAGATGGTGGTTCTTGGGCAAGTAATTTATTGGCAGATGGCTTGCAGGAGAAATCTGCATGGGAGTGAGGGAAGCAGGATTGGAAGAAAGCAAGGATGTGGTTTCAGGAGAAGTCCAGCATCTCTCTGCCTAATCACACTGGGAGCTCTGGAACATAAATAGGATAGTGGAGTCTGTCCCATCTTGAGGCAAGAGGGCTTTGGTAACCTGCATCTGTCATTCATTGGCTTCCAGCCACCCTGCATTCATGTGGGTGAGGGAGACCCCAAAGCATCTTCGGTGTAAGCAGCTTCAGTTGCTCAAGGACAGCTTCAGGAGCAGGCTTCAGGTGTGAGCTCTTAGCTGCAGCACCTATAGCAGTTTAGTGAAAGGAACCCCAAGTGTATCAGGCAAGACATCAACAGCAGCTACTAAACTAGCACTTCTCAAACTTGAGTGAGCACCGGAGTCCTCTGGAGCACTTGTTAAACACAACTTGTTGCACCTCACCCAGTTTCTGATTCAGTAAGTCTGGGATGAGGCCTAAGAATTTGCATTTCCAAGGTGATGCTGATGCTGCTAGTCCAGGGACCATGCTTTGAGAACCACTGTGCAAAGCTAACATTTTTTTAAAGCAATCAATTGCCTTTGGAAAGCTAGCTCATGGACATGTTCACTCACTCGGTCTTCGTGCATCAGCATATTTACAAAGGTTAAATAAAGTGAGGTCTGATTATCAAAAAGGAAGACAGGTTGATCTTATCAGGACATTGACTCAGTTAAACAATTGCCGCCTTCTGAACAGCACCATAAACCCCAATTCTCTAAAGAGAATGTCATTAAAGAATGGAGGCGCTGGGTGCCATTGCTCACGCCTGTAACCCCAGTAATTTGGGAGGCCAAGGTAGGTGGATCGCCTGAAGTCAGGAGTTCGAGACCAGCCTGGCCAACATGGTGAAACCCCATCTCTACTAAAAATACAAAAATTAGCCAGGTGTGGTGGTGCACACCTGTAATCCCAGCTACTCAGGAGGCTGAGGCAGGACTATCCCTTGAGTCTGGGAGGCAGAGGTTGCAGTGAGTCGAGATGGTGTCACTGTACTCCAGCTTGGTTGACAGAGTGAGACTCTGTCTCCAAAAAAAAAAAAAAAGAGGGGCTGGAGACAAACCAGCAGTCCAGCAGTTGAGTGGGAAAAAATGCTGACTAGGGAGTTAGGAGGCCTGGGTTCTAGTTCCTGCTCTTCCCTGAGTGGCTGTGCAGTCACTGGAAAGGAACCTCAATCTGCTATGCTTCAGTTCCCTCAAATAAGTTGTTCTACCAGTATTTAGCTCTGGGACCCCAGGCAAGCCACATGGGTCATAGGCCTTAGTTTCTTAATCTGGTAAACGGGTACAGTGCACTCAGTAATCCCTTTGGCACTTCCACCTAGCCTTCTTTGAGTGTTCTACCCGGAACATATTGATGACCTAGAAAATGAATGCCAAACACTTTCTCCCCATCTGAAAAGAGTTGGTAAAATGCAATAAGACCTAAAAACACTTGTTTGAATTTCCTTTGTGTTACAAAAAGAGGAAACAGAAAGAGTCACTGCTCTCGTGTTAGATGCTATCATTTGATACAATCACATTTCCTGGAATCTTATGAACTGGGATCACCAATTGCCAAGATGACTCAGAGGGCCTAACAGATCACAAGACTGGGGCAACTCCTCTAACCTTCAAGGCTTTATTTTAATCCTCTGGGACTCCACATGGAAATCCATAATAGTTTCTTCAAAGAGATGTGGTCCATTGTATGAAGGCAACTTGGGAATCCCTAATGAATGGATTAGGAGCACAATGGACTGCATCACACAAATGGAGGCACTCCTGTTTAAAAATCAATACACTGAGTAATTCAGAATGGGCGCTGCAATGCAGACCTTGAAGGTCATCGTGAAATAGAAACTACTATGCATCCAGTCCCTCTATTTTTCATATCGATGAAGGAAAGTCACACAATGTGCATGGAATGCAGAATTTTTCTTTATTGAGCTGTTCAGTTGGACCTCAACTCTGTGTGTGTGTGTGTGTGTGTGTGTGTGTGTGTGTGTGTGTTGGTGGAAATATTAGTTTGGTGCAAAAGTAATTGCAGTTTTTGCCACTGAAAATAATGGTAAAAACTGCTATTACTTTTGCATCAACCTAATAAATAGTGACAGACAATAAATGTCTATTATGTGCTATGTAAAAGTAGCCACGTGCAAAGTGTGATGAAGGAAAAGCAGAGTAAGGAGGGTGGAGAGCGCTGTGCCAGCAGGACTCTCTGCTTGAGAGTCAAACAGGACTCCCAGATGCAGAAGAACTTTGAGCAGAGCCCTGAAGGCAGTGAGGGATGAGCTCTTTGGTTTCCAGGAGAAACAGTGTTTCAGGCAGAAGGGACAGCAGTACACAGCCAGTGGAATCCTTGAGAAACAGCAAGGCCTGGGAGCTACAGCAGAGTGAGCCTGGGGTGAGGGGCGTGCAAGGACATCAGAGCAGATGGTGAGAGGAAGGCGGGCAGTGCATGCTGGGGCCTCACTCCAGTGAGATGGGAGCCCCCTGCAGGGTTTGGGGCACCAGAGTGACATGACCTGATGCTCCTTTGGAAAGGATTCCTCTGGCTATATGTGAAGAATATGTTGTAGAGAAAAAAGAGAGGGAAACAGGAGACGAGTGAGAGGATAAGAATCTAGGCTACTAAGATGTGGCTTAACTGGCTGATACCCCTGCAGGCGAAGAGATATGTCCATATTTCGGAGGTCGAATAAGCAGAATTTGCTAATGATCTGGATGTAGGATGTGAAAGAAAAGAATCAAGGATGAATCCAGTGTGTTTGGTCTAAGATACTGGAAAAATGAAGCTGCTGTTTGCTGAGATGTAGAAAACTGAGGAGGCCAGCATGTGTTAATAAAAGGAGGGTAGAAAACAAGGATTTGATTGGGAATACTCTAAATTCAAAATGTGTAGTAAACACCCTTGGGAAGATGGACACATGAATTCAGAGTCCAGAAGAGCGGTCTGAGCTACAGACATAATATTGGGTGGCATCAATTACATACTCCACTCTTTCTAAGTAACAGCATATTCTAAGCTCCAGTGGTAAATAACATATTCCAGCCAAGAATACCTAGATTTATAATAGTACACTTTTCTAACATAAAGAAAATCTGTAGACAAGTAAAATACAAAATTATAATGGTTTTAAATGAAGCATCTTCAAATAAAACCTGTGGGTATAATTCTGTAGCCAGGACAAGCACAGCTCAACAATATTCTGAGGGTCAAATTAGTTCATAAGCTAGACCCAGGAACAACTAGACCTCTTCCATCTGCACCTCCATGCCTTTGTGTAAAAAAGGATTGGGGAAATTGGGCTTCATCAAAATTAAAAATGTTCGTGCATCAAAGGACATTTATCAAGAAAGTGAAAAGACAACCTAAAGAATAGAAGAAAATATTTTCAAATCTTGTATCTGATAAGGGTCTAGTATACAGGGACTCATATAAAGAACTCTTAGCACTCAACAACAAAAAAGACAAACAGCCCATTTAAAAAATGGGCAAAAAACTTAAATAGGCATTTCTCCAAAGATATACTAAGATATACAAGCTTCCAAAAATATGCTCAACATCATTAGTCATTAGGGAAATGCAAATCAAAACCATGATGAGAGATTACTTCAAACACACTAGGATGACTATAATCAAAAGAATAAAAAATAACAAGTGCTGATGAGGATGCAGAGAAATGGAAACCCTTGTACACTACTGGTAGGAATGTATAATGGTGCAGCCACTGTGGAAAACAGTTTGACAGTTCCTCAAAAAGTTAAACAGAGTTACCATATGATGCCACAATTCTGCTCCTAGGTATATACCCAAGAGAATGGAAAACAGGCACTCAAACAGATAAGTGTACACCAATATAAATAGCAGGACTATTCACAATGTCCAAAAGGTGGAAACTATCCATTAACAGATGAATGGATAAACCAAATGTGGTATATACATATGACGAATATTATCTGGCTGTAAAAGGAATGAAATACTGACACACACTACAACATGGATGAACCCTGAAAACGTTATGATAAGTGAAAAAAGCCAGTCACAAAACATCCCATATTATATGAATCCATTTATATCAATAGGTAAATTCACAGAGACAAAAAGAAGAATGGTTGCTGTTAGGCGCTAGGGGGCGAAGGAAGAATAGGGAGTGACTGCTTAATGGGTATAGGGATTTCTTTGGGGGTGATGAAAATATTTTGGAACTAGACATAGGTGGTGGTTGCACAGTATTGTGAATGTACTAAATGCCACTGCACTGTTCACTTTACGATGGTCAATTTTATGTTATGCACATCTCAGCTCAATTTAAAAACAACTAAAAACTTGAAAAGATCAGTGAAAGAAAAAGTTTTGAAAAGCAAATGTCAGAAGAGGAGCCCCCCTCTGCAGCAGGGAGCTATTCTTCCAGAAGTTCTCATAAGTAAGCCCTGGGTAACTCTGATACGGACTGTTAAGTCAACAAAACAATCTCCTTTATGCCAGAGCAGCCAACACTTTCCAAAAGAGCAAGCATCGAAAAAAGTTGGCTGTTTCCCTGGTTTACGTCCGTTGCATTTATGTATTCTGTTGCTTACCATGGTTGAAGTGTTTTGAAAACAACTTGTAACCAACTAAACAAAATAGCCTGATTCTTTGTTTACCAGAAAGAGAAATGAAGGCAACTGCAAGGCAGAACTGAGAAAACTGTGCCTTTGAAAGCACAGACCGTACAGGGAGGGACATGGCTGCTATTTTCAGACTTGTGTGGGTGTGAGGGTAACAGGCCTCTGGAAACAGCTGTTTAACAACAGAATATGAGAAGTCTCCCAGGACTCCAACACCCACCCTCTACAGTGAACCAAGGGAAAGTTCACGAGAGCCAGGGGAGTTCAATACATTGAAAACAATCCGAAATGGGGATTCAACACTGGGGTTTCAATGAGCTGCAGTATTTAGCAAGGCTTTGCCCGCTCTGTTCAAAAGAACAACTCCAGGAAACTGAAAAGCCAAACCAGAAACAGACATGGTGTACTTGCTGAAAGAACTACCCTCAAAGCCGTTTCTGCAGGGATCCAGCCTCCCTCTGGGGGCCTGACAAACTGCCTGCTTCTGGAAGGAAACAGGCTTAGGTAGAGGGACAATTGACTCTTGGGCAAACTTTTGTTTCAGGATCCAACATTAAATGCAAACTCTTTGTTACAATGAAGGAAAGAAGATGGTTTGGAGACTGAACTTGCTTTCATTTTTGTTTTAATGAATCTTGATACGCACTTTTCACAGCTTGTCCCCATGCATTGGAAAGTAAAACCAACCCATTTCCACCCAGCTAGAGAGAACACACTATAAATAGGACCCAAATGGTGGTTCATTAAAAGCTGGATGACAAGCTGAACCGTGTCTTTTTGTTTTTCCCTCAAAAACTGTACGTTCTAGTAAGGAAGACGTCTTGTAATTTAAGGTACAGTTATTCTAAGAATGCTGTATATTTAGCCATCCTTTGGTGAACATTTTTAGTATTTGTTCATTCTATCATTCACTTAAAAAAATCTATATTCATTGCTTGCTGCATGTTAGACATCATGCTAGGCGTGGGGGTAAAGTGATGAGCAAAACAGACACCACCGTTTCAGGGAATAAGTGACGCACAGAGGGATACAGACAACTACTTATCCAGTTGAGGGCTGAGAAGGAAAGGAATATTTTCCATCACCCAAGTTCAAGATCTCCTTCCCCAGTTTTTTATTTTCTGTTCTAAAATTAAACTCTATCCCGGATTAAATACAGTGGGACCACTCCCTAGAAACATGGGCCCCCCAAATCATCAGAAGGCAATAGTCTAATTATCCATTTCCCAAGGTCATCAGGATGATTCAGAGTTAAATAACGGCAGTGGTCCAGGCTGAAATAGAACTCATGCTGTCAGGCCTTATTGCAGTTCTCAGGTTCTTCCCTTTGGATGTCCTGCAAACAGCTCCTAGGACGAGAACACACGTGCATCCTCCCAAACATAACTTACAATTAAATTTACTGAGAAAAGTAGCAGCTCGTCCCCTAAAAAACTGTGAAGTCCGCAAAGACATAACCCAGCTAAAAGATGCACACAAATTATATTACTAAAATGTATGCAATGTATGCAATCAAATTGAAATAGGGAGATTTCCCAGTAAAATCTAGTTACTTGACCACAGCAAAGGCCTTCCTCAATAACAATAGATACCACTTGCTTTATATTCATATAACTAAAAGAAAGTTTTCTCAAAACAAAGGGATAGTTTGCCTCAAATATAAATCCACATCTCCCTCTCTTATGTAGCAAAATACACACCCCCAACATTTAACTACCTATTTGTTCAGTATTTGTTCTTTGAGGTCCCCAAAGCTGTGACTAAGGTCCAGTCCTAACCAGGATCACCTTATTATACTGGTTTACAAGATTTGCAGGTGGCGCAAAGCTGAGTGTGGGACGGGGAGTCTCTGAAAGAACTCTGATCAAAGTAAACCTAAATAAGCTGAATTCAGACACCAATGTTACCCAGATGACAGGTAACCGCCAACTCAGGGTCCTTCACTTCAGGCGGAAAATATTAAGTGCAAAGGGATCAGATTGGGAAGCTGTCATCTAGTAACAATACGTAGGACTTGAGGTCTAAATTGACAGTAAGTTCTATATGAAATAACAACTTAATGGAAAGATCACAATTTTGGGGATTACAAAATAGGGTTCCCATCCTCTAACTTCTATCATACACAGTTCCTTTAAGCAACATTACTATCGCCATTTAAGGGTATTTTCTCTCTTTTCAACACTTGAAAAACACAAATCGTTCTTTACATCTTAGCATGAAATTAAAATATTGAATATTTGGGTTGAAGTGGTGGAGAGGCAGCTGTCTTGAGGTTAAATGGTCTAAAGCCAATGGAGCACAACTGAACAGTTTATCACAGCAAACAACATTCCTAAATGTAAATTTCAGAACGGCTATGGGAGATTGTAGGGAAGCTTGGGGACAGGGTTACACAGGCTGCAGAGCCTCCATTAAAAATAATTTGTATTAAAAAATAAAGACACAATCTTATTTTTACAAGGGGCAATAAATATGTATGGCTGGTTTTATTGACTTTCACTCAGAATGGAGCATGTATGCTTTGGAATTCCATTCTGTAAAGTTTCATTGGTAGTTGATAAGTCAGATCTGAAACCAGAAATTCACGCACACTCTCCTCTTCTTTTAAAAAGAACATTGAATATGCCAGTGTCCAGGGTTTTCTCTTTCGTTGTCATCCTCTCCAACCCTTTCTTCTTCTTCCTTCTAATGATATCAATCCCAAACAAATACCTTGCATTTGCTGCCTTGTACTCTTGCAACAAATACTTTGCCTGTGTTGCAGAATCCTTTTAGGAAAGCTTGCAAGCGGACAGCAGAGATCAGAACGGGACACTGGGGAAATCACCTGAACTGACACCTCACTCAGGGTGCCGGACAGCTTTAGGGAGATTAATCTCCGTGAAGCTGTCCAGCAAGACAAGAATGATGACTGACCATTTACATACTGGGCAGCCTTCCCATCTGGGTCATCAGCCTGGATTTATTCCCAGTTGTCAGGAACCCCAGAGGAGGTGACCTCCATTCAATTTGTCATGGACAACTGTTCTGATCACCCAGACAGCCTTCTCAATTTCCCTTTGGCTGGGGGCATGAGAATGATCAAAGACCAAATAGGTGCATGTAGAGTGGCCTCCATTCTATCCCTAATGGGATAATCCTGATGATTAGAGTCAGGCCTCCAAGAGATCATGGGCCATCTTTGATAGATTCACCACTGATGCCTGGACATCCAGAACTTTCAGAGATGATAAATCAGCTCTGAAGGAACAAAGGCTGGCACTATGAAACAAAAATGGGTGAAACATCAGTGCGACACTAGCAATGGTGCAGCGTAACAGAGTCAGGAAACACACCCAGTTCTTAAAATTCTGATGTCAAATCTGCTGCTAGCAAGAGCGTTCTGATAAAGCAGTTAACAGTTCTGTGCATGGATTTCTCACCAACTCTATAATCACACCACCTATTTATCCCAAAGGAGCAATGTCAGGTTAACCCCACAAACAAATCTTTTTTTTTTTTGTTTGTTTGAGACAGAGTCTCACTCTGTCGCCCAGGCTAGAGTGCAGTGGTGTGATATTGGCTCACTTCAACCTCTGCCTCCCGGGTTCAGGTGATTCTCGTGCCTCAGCCTCCCTGGTAGCTGGGATTACAGGCGTGCGCCACCACACCTGACTAATTTTTGTATTTTTAGTAGAGATGGAATTTCACCATGTTGGCCAGGCTGGTCTCAAACTCCTGGTCTCGAGTGATCTGCCCACCTTGGCCTTCCAAAGTGCTGGGATTACAGGTGTAAGCCACTGTGCCCAGCCAGACAAATCTTATTTTAACACTACTTATTTATGCTTGTAAAGACTTTGCAATATCTGTACCAGGCAAATCTAAGGCTGTTTGCTCAACTATGAAAGTGTATTTTCCCTTACATGGTCTCCTAGACCTTAAACAACCTTATTACATTACCCATATTCACCAGGTACTTTACTTTTAAAATAATTCTCATTTAGTTTTCTCATCAAACTTAAGTGGAAGAACTTTTTATTACCAGTTAACAGAAAAGTTACGAAGGTTTACAAAGACCCAGCCAGTGAGTGGTAGAGCTGAAATCCAGCCCTAATTGGGCCTAACCCCAAAGCCTCCAAGACAATAAGACCACCTCTGCCAATTTTGATAAGGGGTAGTCTAGTTTCCGCTCTTCCATGGATGAAGTCCATAAATCCAAGAAAGCCTACCACCCAGAAAAAGAGATCATTTATCCCCACCATCCAGAATAAAGGCAGGACACTGAGGCCAGGCACTGGCACCCATGCACAGATATGGCATGAGCTGTCTGTGGAAAATCTTCCCCATCATTACCAACCCTACATCATGGGCTTGGAAATTGCTGAATGTCTCTTTAGGCAAGAGCTGACTTAATACTTTGGTTTCTTAAAGGCTGTCTAGGAGAAATCAGAGCACTACACAGAGCCTCCATCTACTGCCCCGGAGCTAAATCCCCTTGGAATATGTCTTAGCAGGTTTGCTTTCAACCCCTCAAATTCTTTCGCCTGAAGTCTTCTAGATGCAAGAAACAGATGCTCCTTCAGCCTCCTGAAATAAGAGAGGTTTAATACTGGAGTGCACCTGGAGCAGTGAAGGGAGATGGAGGGTCCTAGATGCCAAGATACTTCTCTGACCATCTCAGAGCCTGCAGGTGGAGGAGAATTCTAGAACCTCAGGCTGCTCTCCCAGTCCCCAGATCTTCATCCAAGTTCTCCACCATTAACACAACCCAGCTGGTCTCCACAGATAACCTCATCTGTTTTTCTGTGCCTGCAACTTGTGCATCCTTTCTGTATTACCAGTTCAAAATCCTGAAGGGTGAAATCTACCTGGCCCAGTTAATCTGTTCCCAGCAGGTCCCACCTTAAGGCTCTGGCTGGTCTCTGGGTTGACTGATTCCTGAGCCCATCTACTTGATGCGGCTTCCCAGATTAAGAATGGATGTTGAAAAGGAGTAATTTCCATGAGAAGAGCCAAGCTTTTCCGCATCCATGCCACGCACCAACCTCTCCCCAAGTTTTTCCTGATATGCGATTCTCACTATCGCTTCATTCCAGTCTCTTCTGATGTCAGCTCTTTACAAAGACCTTCCTTCCCTTCAGTGTCTCCACTCCCTGACCCTGCTTTCTGTGCCTCCGGGCGCTTGCAATGACCTGATATTCTATTTCCTCATCAATTGGCTCTCATGCCAATCTCCCCAAGAGAGCAGGAACTGTTATCTCCCCCAGGGGAATGGAATGGCCCTACAGGGAGAGACTGCCTGTTCTCTGCAGTATTTCCAGGCCCTGGTATGCTGCCTGGTACAGCTGGCACTCAGAAGCTTGGGGAGTGAATTTGTATTTCCCACGTCATCATGACTGCTTTTCTTGCAATAAAGATCCCAACTTCTGCTCTCACCACTACACCTGCAACAGTATTTCAGATATTTGATGCTGGAGATGGCGAGTCCTAGTATTTTACAGTTGGCACAGACTCTACAAGTCATCGAGTTTCCTCATATCAACAGATTGCTCAAAAGCAACACACGTTCATAGTCACCTACCAATAGCAAACACAGTGCTTGGCACTGGAGATAAAAAGTGAATTAAGAAAGTGGTCATTCAAGTTGCTCCCAAGAGGAAATAGAGAGATACACAATTAATGTCAACACCAAGAGGCAAACATGACATATCCATGAGACTCTGGAGACAGAAGTGGCACTTAACCTGAGAGGAAGAGAGGGTATCAGGGGAGACTTCACAGAGGAGGTGATTGCTATTTGGAAGAAAGATTGCAAATTGATCCCAAAAAGAAGGAAGGAAAGGGTATCCAGGCAGAGACCAGAGCAAAAGCAAGGCGCAATGACACTTCAAATAATCCAGCCGGATGCATTTCAGAGCAATGAGCAGGAATGGTCACTAGACTGGAGCAGATTAGGAAGGTACACAGTAAGTTCTGTTTTGACAAGTGGAGTTGGCATAGCCTGCAAGACAACCAAGGGGAGAGGGTTCCAAAATAACTTCAGCTGTGAATGTTTGGCTCAAGAGAAGGCTAGAGCAAAGAATCACTGCATTAGAGATGAGGAAACAGACTCAGAGAAATGAAGCAATTGGATCAAGATCACACTGGAATTATGAGTGAATGAAGCCCAGGCCTTCTCCCCAGCAGCCCAATGATCCTGCCATCACCTGGCTGGCTTTCATCAAGCCAAGCCTCCATGCTGCACTGGAGAAGATGTCCCTGCCCAGACACCTCACCATTTGCACTTCCCAGGCCACCCTCTGCTTTTCTGTAGCGTGGAGAGTTCACCGTGATCATGGGAAGGCCAGGGCTTGTCCAGGGATTGGGCTAAGATGCTCCCATCACTAACTTGACTTGAAGAGTCATTATATGTGGGTGACTGCCCACACACCAGTAATTATCCAACCTGTTTTAAAAAATCCCCTGTAATAGAACAGGCTCTGTTTCATTCTGAAGGATGTCAGATTTAATTAAAATATTGTTCCACGTGTGTAAATATAGGTAGAGGAATAAATATAAGCATAGCACAATTAATCTTCTCTACTGTCTCTGATTTAGAATCTGGAAAGTCATCATTTTTATAGAACCCCCAACTTATCACTGGCACATACAGAGGACAAGTAACAGTCTGTTAAAAGCCATTGGGGAAACAGATATCATATTCCCTGGGAGACAAAGACCAGACTGCTGGTAGACTCTCAATATTTCAATATTTGTTCTTCCTTTCTTCTATAATAACAGAATGCCCAGCCTTTATTTGATTCATGGCCAGAGGGATAAGAGAAGAAATGATGTGACAAAATAAGGCAGGCACAGAGTGATAAATATCACACGTTCTCACTAATATGTGGGAGCTAAAATAAAAATGATCTCATGGACATAGAGAGTAGAATGATGATTACCAGAGGCTGGGAAGGGTAGTGGGGCATGGGGGTATAAAAGGGAATTGTTAATGGTTTTTTTTTTTTTCTTTTTGTACTTCAAGTTCTGGGATACATGTGCAGAATGTGCAGGTTCGTTACACAGGTATACACGTGCCATGGTGGTTTGCTGCACCCATAAACCTGTCATCTACATTAGGTATTTCTCCTAATGCTATCCCTCCCCTAGCCCCCCACCCACTGACAGGCCCCAGTGTGTGATGTTTCCCTCCCTGTGTCCATGTGTTCTCACTGTTTAGCTCCCACTTATGAGTGAGAACATGCGGTGTTTGGTTTTCTGTTTCTGTGTTACTTTGCTGAGAATGATGGTTTCCAGCTTCATCCACGTCCCTGCAAAGGACATGAACTCATCCTTTTTTATGGCTGCATACTATTCTATGGTGTATATGTGCCTCATTTTCTTTATCCAGTCTGTCATTGATGGACATTTCAGTTGGTTTCAAGTCTTTGCTATTGTGAATAGTGCTGCAATAAACATGAATGTGCATGTGTCTTTATAGTAGAATGATTTATAATCTTTTGGGTATATACAGACACTTCTCAAAAGAAGACATTTATGCAGACAACAAACATGAAAAAAAGCTCATCATCACTGGTCATTAGAGAAATGCAAATCAAAACCACAGTGAGATACCATCTCACGCCTGTTAGAATGGCGATCATTAAAAAGTCAGGAAACAACAGATCCTGGAGAGCTTGTGGGGAAATAGGAACACTTTTACACTGTTGGTGGTAGTGTAAATTAGTTCATCCATTGTGGAAGACAGTGTGGCAATTACTCAAGGTTAATTGTATTTTAAAAAATACAGTTAGAGCCCGACACGGTGGCTCGTGCTTGTAATCCCAGTATTTTGGGAGGCCGAGGTGGGCAGATCACCTGAGGTCAGGAATTTGAGACCAGCCTGGCCAATACGGCAAAACCCTGTCTCTACTAAAAATCACGCAAAAATTAGCCAGGCATGGTGGTGTGCACCTGTGATGCTAGCTACTCAGGAGGCTGAGGCAGGAGAATTGTTAGGACCCAGGAGGCAGAGTTTGCAGTGAGCCAAGATCGCGCCACTGCACTCCAGCCTGGGTGACAGAGTAAGACTCTGTCTCAAAAAATAAATAAAAATTCTAAAAATAAAAAATACAGTTAGAAGGAATAAGATCTAGTGTTCGGTAGCACACTAGAACAATTATAGTTAATAATTTATTGTATATTTCAAAATAACTAAAATAGTAGAATTAAAATGTTCCTAAGACAAATAAATGATAAATGCTTGAAGTGATGGATATGCCACCTATCCTCATGTGATCATTATACATTGTTTGCTTATAGCAAAATACCACATGTACATCATCAATATGTACAACTATTATATATCCATAATGATTAAAAATTTAAAAAAAAGAAAGGTGGTGCCCCCCTCTCCCCTTTTTCCTTGTTCCTTTCCAGGGAGACAAAGATAACAAGCTAAGGTAGCAGAGCAAGTGGGGGAAGGAGCCTGGGTCCCTAATGGGTGGAGCCACAGTACACAGAGAGAAATCAACTCTCAAGCCACTGTGGTGGATCCCTGTTACAGGCTGCTGCATCAATACCCTATCTATTGCAGACACCAATTTTAAAAGGATTCACCAGAAAATCTATGACACTATGCTTATTAAAGAGAAAAGTTGTATCTCATTTTTTTAAAATGGAGGCATAACCTAAATACCAATGTGCAAAATCCTAAGCGGGCCAGAGCTTGGTGAAATTTGCCATATCTATATGCTTATGAAACTATCATTCAGCTCAAGATGTAAAGCAGGCATGAGCAAACTCCCGCCCACAAACAGAAAATCCGGCCTCCTTTTTGTAAATAAAGTTTTACTGGAACACAGTTGTGCCCATTTGTTTACGTATGATTACGTATCATCTGCTGCATTTGCACTTCCATCAGAGTTGAGTAGTGATGACAGAGACCACATGTCTGTGAAGCCTAAAATATTATCTGGTCCTTTACAGGAAAAATTTGTCGACCTCTCTTATAGAGTATTCTGGAGCACACCAGAAGGCTCCCTCATGCCGTAAAAACGAATTTTTCCATCAAATCTTGGACTCAGGAAGCAAGAATGATTATAGAAAGAGGAATATGCAAGGAAGATAGCATTTGCCATACAGGCTAGAACCCTCTATTGATTTTGTCTCTTACTTATGGGCTAGATTTTGTAGCCTCCGTTGATTTTCTCCATTTCTTTGGAACAATCAAGCGTCTGACAGTTTTAGCTTGTCAACAAGTAGCCTGCCAATGGATTTCAGAGCTTCTATTTTTAAAATTGTCTCACAAGAGTGACTAAGAATTACATTTAAATGAACAGGAATGAAGAGGGAAACAGATTCCCTAGGCAGTTGTGGTCCTTTGTTTGGTCTGTAATTTTGTAGTCACATCTGACTGTGGTCCAGTTCATACAATCCTTTGTTTAGGTATTGGATCGATCTTGCAGGACATGGAAAATGAGAAGGGAGGCTGAGATTTCACAAGTTTGCCTTGGCCCCATTTCTTTTTTTTTTTTTTTTTTTTTGCCCTTACGGCATCCATCTTATGATTTTTTTTCTTGCCTTTTGAACTTTCTTCACCTTCAGTCTGTTCCTTGAGTTTTGCACAAGTTCTCTAAGGTGTCTGCTCTCTTGACAATACCAGGAAAGAGCCAAATAAATCAACCCAACAGCTCAATTGCACCTCTTTTATTGCCTAGGCAAGAACACATGCACGCCCACAATAAATCACCACCGCCCAAGAAGAGCATGTCCCAGATTAACGAGAAGCTCGGCCCTCTGTCTAGAACACTTCAAGAACATTGGATGTTCTTGAATTGGGATGGTAAGATGGTTCCCCTTGAATAGATGGTAAAGAACAGGTGTTCTCCTCCACCACAAGATCCTGGAACGGAGGCCTCAAATTCTGAAGCATTTTATCCTGTGCTCCACCCCATTTATCCAAATACAGACAACCAAAGGGCCACTGTGATAATGGAGAAGACACCCTGGACACACATACCCCAGAGGACAGGCAGAACCAAGACCACACCCAACTCACAAAGAGAATCTCTTCCAAAAATTTGTATTCACGTTTTAAGAACTCTAAAAGTAGGCTTACATTGGAGCAATGATTTAATGGGTGGCAGGCTCTCAGCCTAATTCTCCAGTCAATTCATTCTCTCCAGTCAAGTCATTATGGCGAGATCTCATAAAATAATGATCTTGCCAGTGTCTCAGAAACCTTAAGAAAAAAAGACTTTCTTGGCTAGCCCAGAAAGCAAATGACTACGTGTGTCACTGTTTCAATGAGTGTGAAGAGGAAAGCAAGATGTGGGCACAGAGGGTAGTGAGCTTTTTCCTCTTCCGAGCCACAACCCAGCCCTGTGCTGAGAAGGTGCAAAGTTTGAGGGGGGTGAGGACCTGAGGGTGAATAGTCATGGGGCTGAGAGGGATCTAGAAGGAGAAGTTGGGGCTCCAACCATACCCCTTGTGCACTCTGGCCTGACTTCCAATTGCCAGTATCTCAGCTCTTTGCCTGATGGTGGCCCAAGTCTCTCCCAGCCACAGCGGGCTGGAAGTACCTGAAAATAACCCCGCCTGGAAGTAGCTCTCAGGTATGACTGACCTCCCTCAACCTTTAAGAAGTCTGAGGCACATATTCCACACTGGTACCCCAGTGGGAATAAGACCCTGTTGCCCACAGTGAAAACTGCCTGATAAAAGCTCTTCGTATTAGCCTCCTTCCATTACCTATCTCACTTTCCCACTCCCAACCCAGTACTTCCTGGGGTCACCCCTCAAATAAATGACTTGCACTTGAATCCATATCTCAAGGTTTTCTGAGGAAGTGCTAACCAAGGCATTCGGGACAATGAAGGTACAAATCCGGAGGGGTGTGGGCAGATAGGCAACCCCTCTATCACCCACCCATCTCCAGTCCATGTGTGAACCCACGTCCTGACCCATCTCAGCAAGGGTCTGTAGACCCTCCGGTGCCACTTTGCAGAGCCACTAAATTGCAGTACCCAAAACACGAAATTATTTAAGAAATATGCTTGACTACATGTGAATAAGGTAGTGGGACTAAATACAGCCCACGACTGTTGCTTTTTGGCAATTACACAACGCCCTGAAATTGCAAATTGAGTGCAATAAGTTATTGAAAGTGCCAAGTTACTCTTAACCAGCTAGGGAGTTTTAATACCACTTTTAATTTTCTCTCTATCCCTATCTCTATCTTTCAGACAAAGAAGCCATACTATTCTTGCTTCAACAAGAGAAGTGCCATTTCCTTCTGTGGCCCTTGCTCAGGTGTTAGGGGTTGCTTCATTGCGATCTTTATTTTTTTGCGCCACCTCCCTAGGTCCCATCCTCCTAGTGAAAGGCCCCCCGCCAACTCCCCCACCCCGCCAATCTATCCACATGGCAGCCATCTCCCCAACACTGCCCCCAGCTCTTCCTTGACTGCACTTTCCCTCTGGGAATGCAGAGACAGCATCTTCCCCTCTCTATGTAAGTCAGGGAAATCCAAGCTCTCCTACTCCACTCTCTCCTTAATTTCACACATTAACACAAGGCTGTGTGTATGCTGTCTGCCTTACTGAAAGGTAGAAAAATGACAGCCTGGAAATAGCTTGTATGGGGATTCTGCATCAGGCTGTTCCCAGAGTTTAACAAAGTTATAAGGATAAAGTCACACCTTTACCACAGTACCTTCAGGAATGTGAGAGGCAGGTGGCATAGTCTTTATGGGTGTGGCTCTGAAGCAGCTGGAATGCATGAATCTAAGTCTAATCTATCATTCCTATGTGACTTTGGGCAAATTGCTTCAACGCTCCATGCCTCAGTTTTCCCATCTGCGCATCAAGGACAATAACAGCACTTTGCTCATAGGGTGTTTACAATATATAAATGAGTATAGAGTGCTTAGCACAGGGCTTGGCATATGGCAAGCCCTTAATAAATGTTAAGAGTTGATATTGCAAACCAAGCTCCCTGCCTTGCTTCTCTCTTCAAGACAGAGTCCATTCTTCACATTTCCATTTTCAAGCCTTCTCCCTATGGACAATATTTGGACTTGTCTAGGTCCTTTCTCCACCATGGCCACCCTCAGGACATGATAATGCCTAGAAACATTCAGTATGGAGGAGCCACAGTCTGGGCTACTCTGAAAACCCTCTGAAGCACCTGTCAGTGGCAGGAAGGAGACTCTGTTATTCTTCCTGCAGTGTCTCAGTTTCCTACGAGTAACTACTTCTTGGTGGACTTGTATTGTTACATGCATGTGCACATGTGTGTACACACACACACTTGCAAAGGACAGTGATTCTCAGAAACTGGGGAGTCTCAATCCATGAAGGGACAATTGAATCTGCCTTGGTTCTCCTTCCCACGATGGAAACACCAACATATATTACTGCTGTATAGAAGGTGGGTTCTCTATTCACATCGTCCTGCTTCTAAGAAGAATATTGCTAGGGGCATCGTAGTACACAAGAAGCAAAGCCTATAATAGCACCACTTCAAACAGCAGGGCCATTTACCTTTAATTTCTACTTTTAGAAATGAAGTATACAAAGGCTTGGCACAAGATCAGAATCAGACACTATTCTTTACCTTGGACCAGAAAAAATTCTAAGGCAGGGTTACCACCCCCTTCTAGTTTCTGAAATGGAAAGGAAAAAGCATAGAGATGTATTTTCCCTTGTCCGCAGCAAAGAGCAGGGGTGGCTCTTCCAACTGTATTTGTTCAACACATGTTAATTGGGCACCTATAATATGTAAGTGGTGGACACTGAATGGAAATCCAAAAAACATAAATCTGGTCTTGTCTTTAAACAGACGGTAATCTAGTCAGAGGCAGGGGAATGCTTCAGAAGGACAGGCGGAGAAAAAGAGGTGGTGCCCTGATCACTACTTTACACCACCAAGTGCTTGGTCCTTGGTAGCAAAGTTTAAACTATGGTTTTAAAAAGAGTTGAAGTCTGGGGCAAGCCTAGTGTGTGTGTGAATCCATTCAGAGCCCAGAATTCATCTTAGCTATGATTTTCAAAAACCACCCATACTATGGGCTTTTCCTTTATATAGCTCTTCAGTCCACACATATCTGATAAAGTCTACAACTACATGCATGCATCCTAGATAGATCGTCTGTGCTGCCCCATAATTCCTACCAATCCCCCATTCTATTGTCAACTGCCATCTAACATCTGAAGGGGTTTGGGGCAAGAGTTTTTAGGAAAACATTTTGAAGTAAGAGATTGAGTAGATGATTCTCACTTAGGACATCACCATCATCCTGGCACATTTGTCTTCTGTTAGCAGACAATGTCACTATAAGAAAGAGAATACCAGGCAGTCCAAGGAGAGAGAATGCTGACCACAAAGCATTTTTTTTTTTTTGAGACGGAGTCTCGTTCTGTCACCCAGGCTGGAGTGCAATGGTGCGATCTCGGCTCACTGTAAGCTCCGCCTCCTGGGTTCACGCCATTCTCCTGCCCCAGCCTCCTGAGTAGCTGGGACTGCAGGCACCTGCCACCACGCTCGGCTAATTTTTTGTATTTTTAGTAGAGACGGGGTTTCACCTTCAAAACATTTCTTACGTGGTGGCTCTCCAAATTAAAGAAAAGGTTTTAAATGAATGATGATGAATACATACCCTGCTCTGATTGGTAACTTTCACCATTAAACCTGCAAATTAAAAGGCATTTAAGCCAAAATTCATCCTCCCCACAACCTTGAGGGAATGAGTCACTGAAGCAATTCTCACGTTTCTCCAGGCAGAAAGACAGGAGACTTTCCAAAAAAGGTTGTAGTTTTCCTGTTTCCTTGGCTGCCTCCACACATAGCCCAGCCATGACCACATGTGGTGATGGGCAGGAACCTATTGCCTTATTTGGCAATCTTGAGCCCTCTTTGTAGGGCTATTGGGGGCAGGATGAAAAGTCCAGATCAAAACCACAATCGTGAAAAACAATGGAGAGTCAGATAAAGGAAGTAGGCATTTTATCTAGATTAAATATAAAATATTGACCCAAGAAGTAAATGTTTTCATATGCATTGCTTCTTAAAGGACTCGTAGGAAAATATTTAGAATCTGCCATTTTTCTGTAATAATTTCACTCATTTTCCTTCTAGCCATGATGCTGACTGCATTTCCCAGCTGCTGCTGAAACAGCTCTTCTGTTGGGGGAGATTATGTGGGCTAACATTCACCCACGATTCTCTAAACTGATGTTTCTCAAGTATCCTTCATTCTGACCCCAACATGTGCTGTGTGCATTCATTACTGCTGACAGCAGGAACAGTGTGGGTCCCAAACAAGGAGATTGCACAATGAGAAATGGAGGCTAAGGGCATGAATGTTCTGAATTTTATAGCTTCCTGTCTGCTTTCCCTTAGGGGAATATAATTGGGGGACTGGACCCAACACAAATCTCAACTACGCATTTAGGCCTCCACAAAGAAGCAAGACTTCTAGTCCTTTCTGGAGCATTGCAAGCTGTACAGAAAAAAATACATTCCTCAGGGATTCTGCCGGCAACCACTCCTTTTATTCTGTGGTTCCCCAAAGATAAGGTCAGTCAGCTCAGAGAGGAAAGGAAAATGGAATGGGGAGAGACAGGATCAACCAGTAACGGGTGTGTCATCTCAAACTGGAGTGTGTGTCCATTGTCAACCCCAAGAAACCCAGAAAAACAAAATCTTTTTCCCCAGGTGGTGAGAGTGTCAACTGCATATGAGAGGGAAGGGTGCCCTCTGCTGTCATCTGTGATTTTTGGTTTTTAATTTCAAAGGAAACGTTCCAGCTCCATGTAAATCAGACTTAAACATTTTTGCCAGGCACGGTGGCTCAGGCCTGTAATCCCAGCACTTAGGGAGGCTGAGGCGGGCAAATCACAAGGTCGGGAGTTCAAGACCAGCCTGGCCAATATGGTGAAACCCCATCTCTACTAAAAATACAAAAATTAGCTGGGCATGGTTGTGGGCACCTGTAATCCCAGCTACTTGGGAGGCTGAGGAAGGAGAATCGCTTGAACCCGGGAGGCAGAGGTTGCAGTTAGCCAAGATTGTGCCACTGTACTCCAGCCTGGGCGACAGAGCGAGACTCCATCTCCAAACAAACAAACAAAAAACAAAAAAGGAAACATTTTACACATTAAATAGGGAAGCCAAACTTGGGATTTTGACCGTCTTAACTAGGCTGGGTTCTGTGTCGGATGAGAGAGACTTGAGGGATAGCACAGGCAGCAATCACAATTCCATTTCAGATGTCCTGCTGAGAGAAAATTGTGGTTTGGAAGAGGGCCTGTGAGCTTTATATATTCAGGACAATTTGCTTAGAAATAAAACGACTTCTTGGGAGCAGGGTTCTCCTTGGGTGGCAGCATACTTGGACAGCATCTCCATTTGTTTCCCTGTCCTTTCCCAGTAAACCAATTTGGGTTCATTATTAGATTCCTGAGTTTGTTTCTTTGGGAAAGAAAAATAAAATACAGTTCTCACTTAGGGAGATGGAAGGCAATGGCTTTGCATGAAGATACGAATTTAAAACAAATAAATACAAGTGTTCAACTCTGATGAAAGATGAGTTGTATGATTTAATGTGCTTTCCTAGGGACATGTAAATTAACTGAGATATAAAATAATGAATCTGCACATCTGCCTTAGAGTTCATCCAAATGCAATCTACAAGGCAAACTTAATCACGGTTATAATTAATACTTTGCAAATGGAAATGACTGGAAATGAAAGGCCGCAAACAACATCGATATTAATGCTTCAGTATTTGTTCTCTCCCTAGTTTTTACTTTCAAAAGTGTTTTTATCATCTTCTACAAAAGTCATACCTTGTACTTTATAAGGCATTTTGTTATATAGCCTCTTTATAGCTGAATTCATCCCATTATCAAAGGGTCATAGTTGGATTACCTACCTACTTAGATGTTTCTAAACATTTCTGATTTCATTTTGCATTCTAGCAACCGGCTGACTCCACCCGAACTCGGGACTCATGACTCAACCAGTCCTTTGGCCCCCACCCAGAGGCAGGCTTAGCTCACAAGGACTATTTTCCACACCCCTATGATTTTATCATTAACTAATCAGCAGCACCCATTCCCCAGCCCTCTGCCCACCAAATTATTCATAAAAACGCTACCATCTGAATTCTTGGGGAGGCTGATTTAAATAATAACTCCAATCCTTCTGCTTCGCTAGCTCTGCATTAATTAAACACTTTGCTGAAAAAAAAAATCTGGTTTCAAACATCTATCACTTGAACCCTTTTGGATTTAAGTAACGGAACCCAACTTGACCAAGGGAGGATTTATCTGCCTATGTTAATCAACATTAAGGTCAGAAGTGCAGCTAGATCTCAGAGAGGACAGGAATCAAGAGGCTAAATTGCATCAAAGTTTTCTCCATCTTTCATCAGTGCTAATTTCATTCTCTTTTCTCTTGAGATTGGCTTTTCCTATGAGAAAGAAACCATGGCTGCTGGCCACTTTTGGGTTCATATTTCCCCACCTCCATCTTCCAAAAGAAAAAAGGATGCCTTCTCTTAAATCCTATGTTTTAAATCCCAAGGAAAGTTTCCGATTGCCTTTGCCTAGGTTATGAGTTCATATATGTGGCCAGGGTGGATGGGGTACTAAGATGGACAATTAGAAGAAAGTAGACCTGTATAGACAAAATAATAGAACTTTCTTTCATGGGGCTTTTCTTGTGTGTCAGGCACTGTGGTAAGCATTTTTTCATTTTTTGTACATAATTTCCTTTAATTCCCCAAACAATCCTACAAGAAAAGTGTTATTATTAGATTCTGGAATTGAGATTCAGAGTTTAGCAACTTGTCCAAATTTGCACAGCTGGCAAATTGCAGAACTAAACCCATCCCATTTGTCTGATGATGTATGTTGGTTTCTGCTATAGAAAAAATGATTTCTGGAGTTCTGGTCAAGATTACATGCAACCTATTTGTACGCAAATCCTGAATATAAAAATTCTGTTTTTGAATTGAGGACAAATAAGCTATGATCCATACTTTCTTCAGCATAAGGGCTGAGTTTTGTTCAGTTTTGTTTTCCTTTTAACATCTCATCTAATGCCTTGGACATAGTAGTTGCCAAGTAAAAATGATTTTTAGGGTACAGTGAAAGGCCTTCTAACTACAACTAAAAATGCGGATGTAAGAAAAGATTAATAAATTTGACAACATAAAAATTAAAATATTTTTTGCACAGCAAAAAATGATGTAAAGAAAATCAAAAGACAAAGCGCAAGAAGAAGCTCTTCTTGCCCTATGAGGAGAAGCTTGCCCTGGGAGAAGCAATTTACAACAAATCTTACAGCTAAGGAGCTAAAATTCCTACCATGCAAAGGACTTTTTTAGTTGACTTTTAAAAGGCCAAAAATGCTACAGAAAAATGTGCAAAAGTCCTGAGCAGACAATTCGCAAAAAGAGATGTAAAAATGACTCTTAAACTTACAAAAAGATGCTCAGCTTCATTCATAACAAAAGAAATGCAAACTAAAACTACACTGCGACACCATTCTCAGCTATCAGAGTGGCAACAACTCAAACCTGACAACATGTTCTGTTGTTAAACTGTGGGGAAATAAGCACTCTCATTGCTAGAGGAAATGCAAAACTGTGCAATATCTATGTAGGGATATTTGGCAATATCTAACAAAACCACATATCCATTTACCCTTCCACCTAGCAATGCCACTTGTAGAAATTTACACTGCAATACACCTCTAACGATATTAAAATGCATATGCAAAATGTTATTTATTGCAGTAATATTTGTCAAAGCATAGGACATTGGTTAATCAACTATGGTGCATCCACACAGTGGAATACTATGCAGCTAAATTAAAATCACCAATGAAGGGCAGCTAAATTAAAATATGGTATGCCTCCAGATGTGTTACCCTGAAAAAGATACAATATCATCTATATGATATTCTGCCCAAGAATGCATAACATCTTCAGATTTTCATATCTGTGAGTACAGGACCCTCCTTTCCCTGTGGATCCCAAAGCAATACCTGGAGGGCTTAGGGAGGGGCACCTTGTTTGTATAAAAGAGAACCTGCCTGTACTGCAGTCTACCCCATTCTTAATAAAAGAAACTCCAAGCTTCCAGTTGTTCGGGCTAAAAGCTTTTGCTCCTCAAGATTCAATATCTCCTTCTTTTATATTTTTAAAAATTATTTTATTTTTATTTTTCTTCAAGACAGGGGCTAGCTCTGTCACCCAGGCTGGAGTGCAGTGGCATGATCATAGCTCACTGCAACCTTGAACTTCTGGGTTGAAGTGATCCTCCCGCCTCAGCCTTCCTGAGTTGCTGGGACTACAGGCACGTACCACCAAGCCTGGTTAATTTTTAAAAATGTTTTATAGAGATGGGAGTCTCATTATATTGCCCAGGCTGTTCTCGAGCTCCTAGCCTCAAGCAATCCTCCCGCCTTGGCCTCCCAAACTGCTGGGATTACAAGCGTAAACCACCAAGCCCAGCCAGTATTTCCTTCTTGATAAATTGTAAGAAAAATATAGAGGACTTACTCTTTGTATATCAACATTTGTCTCAGAGGCCCTCTGCTCAGGCACCTCAGGTTTTGGGGAAATAGGAAGAGGATCAGAGGATAAGCAGATTAACACCTACCCCAATCCAAATGTTGGGACTGTACAGCTGGTAACGCTTACGAATATGATATCTTAATAAATTATTAGTTTTGAAGCCCACACTAGAAACCCCTCATTCATTTTTGTAGAGCCAGAAGCACCATTAGATAGTGATAGAGCCCATACTTCCCCTCACCTTTCACTCACCAGCACTCAGTCTCATGGCTACACCTAACTGCAAAGGAAGCTGGGAGATGTAGTCTGGTCATGTGTCCAAGAGAGGAAAGGAAATGGTTTGGTGAACAACTAGCCAGTCTCTGCCACTTTGATAGTAGACTACAAAGAATGTCTTCCCTTTCACTAGTATGAATCTATTATTATTAAATATCAAAACTTATTCTTTATATTTTTAAAATTATGATGGTTTTTTAAAAATGTATTAAATGGGTAACCTACATGAAACTCCTAATGGTGCAGAAAACCCATTAAGTAAACTATAGCTGCCAAACTTTGAGTAACATGGCAGAAAAGTCATATCAAGACATTTCTCAGAAATTTTCCTAGGTAATGGTAATTGAGAGACTGTAGATAGCAGGCTGGTTTCTCCATAAGGAGCAAAATTAAGTGTTGCTGAAGCAATTCTGAAGTTCTAGCTGATAATAACTGCACACCAGCTGTTCCCATTTTATAATACTTTTCCATAAAGCCCCATATTTTAGCTTTTGCCTTTTTTTTTTTTTTTTGAGACAGGGTCTCACTGTGTCACCCAGGCTGGAGTGCAGTGGCACTATCTTGGCTCACTGCAACCTCTGCCCCCAGTTTCAAGTGATCCTCCCACCTCAGCCTCCCCGAGCAGCTGGGACTAGGGGCGCATGCCACCACGCCCAGCTAACTTTTCTATTTTTTAGTAGAGAAGGGGTTTCACCATGTTGGCCAGGCTGGTCTCAAACTCCTGACCTCAAGTGATCTGCCCGCCTCAGCCTCCCAAAGTGCTGGGATTACAGGCATGAGCCACCACGCCCGGCCTTAACTTTTGCTTTTTAAAAAATCTTTTTCCCTTATTATGGAATTTGTATCTTTTACCTGTATGGTGGCTCAAAAGTGAGCAAAGTAAAAAGAAGGAACGCTAAGATTAGAAAAAAAAATAAGAAAAAATCCACAGGACTTCAGAAGTGACAGGCAGCACTTGTCCTTTCTAATGAAAGGTTGGATCATTGTCTGTTGTTGGGGCTGAACCCCATCTGGAGCTAGGGGTGGGAGTCATGAGAACACGGTACAGTTCCCATGATTTTGCCATTGGCCATCTTCTCTCTTTGCTCTTCCACTATGGTCTTTTTCAAATTGCATTTATTCTGCAGGTTCTTGACTCTGCTGGGAAGCCTTAAATCAGAGATCCTGATTTAGTTGGTCTGGGAATTGGAGTCGTAGGCATCAGTATTATTTTAAAACTCCCCGATTTTGAACAATTGGTATTGTTCAAAAATCCTTATGTGCACCAGAGGTGAGAACCACTGATTTCCTCTCTGCATTGCTGTTTGGTTGACTAATTTGGGGCACTTGACCATACTAGCTCTGATGAAACTGACTCAAATGAAATTCAAAGTTCATTCATTTCAAACATATGACGAAAAAAAAGCAGGAATCCCTCCCCTACCCAGGGCATAGTTTAAATTGTGACCAGTGCTAAGAACGGCCTCTGGGTAGCCAAAAATAATGATCACAAAGTTCCTGCCCTGAAGTTGGTCTGATTTCTTCTCACAGGGAACTCTACCGGCCAGGACATTTCTGAATTAGCCACTTGCCTCAGTTATGCCCTTGAACAACTTTGTAGAAAGTTGGGACAGAGCTTATTATCCATATAGATGAGTTGGGTATGTTATCAAGTAGACAATTTGGGGACCCTCTTGGCATTCTCAGTGCAAACTATGTTGGTTCCTCAGTAATACAAGTAGAACAACTGGTCACCCAGACTTGGAGTGAGTGTCCTGCATTGTTTGTAAAGACTGTTTTGCAAGTGGAATTCAAATGTGGTGAATTGCACTAAGACTTCCAATCAAATCCAATTGAATGACATGCATATAGACCAGGGTTTCTCAGCCTCGGCACTATTGACATTTGGGGCTAATTATTCTTTTGTGGGGGCTGTTCAGTGGATTGTAGAAGGCTTAGTAGCATCCCTGGTCCCTACTCACTAAACACCAGTAGCATCCCCACCTCCTGGTTTTGACAACTAAAAATGTCTCCAGACATTGCCAAATGTCCGCTTATGAGGAAAAACTGTTCCTGTTGAGAACCACTAATACAGACTCACTGTTAGTTTGTCAATTAAAAAAAAACCAGTGTTGTTGTTTTGAAATTTCTCAGTTTCAAAAGAATCAGTTGAGAAGGGCTCCCTTCCAAAATTCTTCTCTGTCTGCTTCCTTCTAGTCCCTTCTGCTCCCATCACGCCATGCACACCAGCAGCAAGAGTGAGCATTGCTCTGGGACCACAGTTCTCAACCAGGCGTTGCTCCCCAGGGGATATTTGGCAATATCTGGAGACATTTTTGTTTGTCAATACTGGGAGGTGGGCAGGTGCAACTGTCATCTAGTGGGTGGAGGCCAGGGCTGCTGCTAAACATTCTCCAGTGCACAAGACAGCAGCCCCCAACATACACAATAAAGAATTACTGGGACCAAGATATCAATAGAGCTGAGGTTGATAAACCTTGATTAAAAACAAACATGTCCACAAAGTCCAAACTGAAGAACCATTTGGGGAAATCTTTAATAATATATATGAGTGGTTCTCAATGGGGGTGATATTTGTCCTTTCGGGACATTTGGCAATATCTGCAGGTATTTTTCTTTGTCACAGCTGGGGAAGTGGGGTGCTACTGGCATCAAATGGGTAAAGGCCAGGGCTGCCACTAAACCTCCTATAGTACATTAGAGAGACTCCCACAACAAAGGACCATCAGGCCCCAAATTGCAATAGTGCCAAGGCCTATTACTCTAGGATCACTTCCGTTGTGACCATGGGACCCCCTAGTTTTTCCACCCCTGTTGACTCAGTGCTTTGGCTTCTGTTTTCTATATCTGCCCTAGTGTCACCCATCCAGGTTTGGATGTCTAGACCTGATGCAACTTTGGCACAGCAATAGGGTGGCTCAGAAGGAAGCTTGGCACAGAGCTCAGCTCTAGAACAGATCAATACTGGGAAGCAGGCCAGTTCTCATCAAAGGTTCAGCAGGGTGGGGTCAGGGGAGGCAAGCCACAGGCATAATTCAAGATGGATGACAGCACAAATGGCCCTGCAAAAGACACTATGTTCTGCCAGGTGTGGGGACAGAGTGGCTGGGAATCTGAAGCAGTAAAGAGTTTTACTGTAAAATCAGGCTGCTTCTGTAAAGTCAAGCAATGAGTAAAAGTCCCAGCCAGCAAGCTGGGGTTTGAGGACAGGGCTAAATCCTGGGGTGGGACACCTTGTGAAACAGTAAGTCAGGACCCCAGGAAGAGGCAGGAACACGGATACTTTGTAAACCAGCTGAAGGAGGATTTGAATCAGGGACTAAAGCACAACTGTGGGCCGAGCCTTGTGGTTCATGCCTGGAATCCCAGCACTTTGAGAGGCCAAGGTGGGCAGATGATTTGAGCCCAGGAGTTTGAGACCAGCCTGGGCAACATGACGAAACCCTATCTCTACAAAAAATACAAAACAGCCCAGTGTGGTGGTACATGCCTGTGGTCCCAGCTACTCGGGAGGCTGAGGTGGGAGGATCGCTTGAGCCCAGGAGGCGGGGGCTGCAGTGAGTTTTGATCGCATGGCTGCACTCCAGCCTCTGTCTCAAAAAAAAAAAAAGCACAACTACGATACGGGACAGATGGGAGGCTTGGGCTCAGTTTAGAAAAAGATGTTCGTTAACAGAGTGGAGATGCCATGGGGGAGGGAGGTGGTGACATGGAAAACGTTACTGAGTTCAGTAATAAGCAACAGGACACTGCACCTTGAGTCTGAAAAATAGGAACCCTGATTTTACAACAAAGAGAAACTCTCCCTTCTCCCTAACATCACACGTGTGTGCATGCGCGCATACACACACACGTGCATGCATACACACACACACGTGCATGCGCACACACCACCTCTAACATACTATGGGACTCACTGAGACAATTCCTGCCTGTATGCAGGATTGGTCTGGAGCACTGGGGATCATGCTGAAGCAAAAGTTGCTCCATGAACAGAGCAGAAGCGAAGCAATTGAGGCCAAAATTGTAATCAGCTTTTTGTGTGTGTTTTTGTTTTTTAATAGCATCAGCTTTGTTTTTTAAATTATTTATTTTAAAAAGTTTTAAACATAACATATATTCCTTATAGAAAATCTGGAAACTACAAAAGAATAAAAAAAAGAGAAAAAAAAGACTTACATCCCTATACTACCTCTGTTAATATTCTTCTAGTCTTTTTTGTTTTTGCCAAGATTTATTTTTACACAAAGAGAAAATATATTTCTATGTGTCACTTTGTATCCTTAACATCATGACAGAATCATTTCCCTTGCTATTACAAATTCAACATGAATAAGTTTTGTGACATTTCTTGGTTTTGTCTGTTTGTAAAGTCAACCCATTCTCCATGTAGAAAATTTGGAAAGCATGAAAAAGTGTAAAAAATGTACATAATCTATGATTCCATATCTAAATGATAATCACTCAAGATGTTGGTGGGATTTTTTCTTGTCTTTTTTTTTCGCTTTGATGGTACCTTTATTCTAATGATAATTAACTGGTGTTCACCTTATAATTTGCTTGACATATAGTAATTATCCAGGCAATATCATCCTTCCAGAATTTTGCCATGGCCAGGGCCTTGTATATTTGAATCCATAAGAAAATGTTAACTTTTTTCTTCAGATGGACCCTGGGTTTATACTTCACTTTGGATTCTTCCAAGTAATAAACTCCCAACCCAAGTAGTAGACAGGGAAACCTTCTTTTCCCTACTCATCACTATTCTTGTAGAGCGTACTTCCCCCTCTTTCTTGATGGAAATGCTCTGCAATATATCAGATTTGGTGGTGTGGATAGGACAACTAAAAATGCCTATGAATCCGTAGCTGGAATCTCATTAAGGATTTTGGTGATCATTGGTTTGTATAATTCAAACCTTATTTTATACATGTACATACACCCACAAACAAGAATTTGTCCCCAAACAAAATTGAGGTTTGCCTCTAAAACTCTTAGGAATGGAGATATTTGTCCAAAGGTAACACAGGATGTTGGTAAAAATAATGGCTTAAAGTCAGAAGGCCAGAGTTTGAATTGACCTTGACTACCCAGTCATGGGAATTTAGCAAATTGTTTCTCTTCCCTGAGCCTCAGTTTCCTTGTCTATAAAAAGGAGACATTAGCTACCTCATCAAGGATTAAGTGAAGTAACAAGTACAGACAACATAATAAATGGTGAAAGATTTATATGATGTGAAGAGAGAAATAGAACTGCCGTTCCACCCAGCAATTCCACTACTGGGTATCTGCCCAAAGTAAATCATTATATTAAGAAGACACTTGCACTTGTATATTTATTGCAGCACTATTCATAATAGCAAAGTTATGGAATCAACCTAAGTATCCATCAGCACATGATTGGATAAAGAAAATATGGTACATAGACACCATGGCATACTATGTAGCCATAAAAAAACAATGAAATGATGTCTTTTGCAGCAACATGCATGGAGCTGGAAGCCATTATCCTAACTGAAATAACTTAGAAACAGAAAATCAAATATCACATGCTCTCGCTTATAAGTGGGAGCTAAACAATGGGTGCACACGGACTTAAAAATGGAAATATGAATGATAGACACTGGGAGCTCCATAAGGGGGAAGTGGAAGAGGATGAGAGTTGATAAATTACCTATTGGATACTATGTTCACTATTTGGGTGATGGCTACATTAGAAGCCCAAAACCCACCATTACATAATATATCCATGTAACAAACTTGCACGTTCCCTGAATCTATATTTAAAAAAAAAATACAAACTATAGTGGGTGACATAGAAGAACCCCTTTATTAGATACCGGCAGTGAGCCAAGTAAGTTGCTATGTCACAGGCTGGCAAACTATGGCCCAAGGGCCAAATCTGGCATACTGCCTGTTTTTGTAAATAAAGTTTTATTGGAACACAGCCAAACCCATTCACTACTGTATTGCTTATGGCTGCTTTCATACTGTGTTGGCAGAGGGGAGTAGTTGCCACAGAGACTGTGGGGCCCTGAAAAGCCTGAAATATTTACTACCTGGTTCTTTACAGAAATTTATTTCCCACCCCTGTGTTAAATGTTTCCCCAAAACCACAGAGGTAAATTATATTGTCTTCCCATTTCACAGGTCAGGAAACTGACACATGCAGAGATTAAGGACTTGCTCACACTGCTGTTATTGAATTGGATCTTGATCCCAGGTCTATCTCAATTCAAAGTTTAGCAACCACTCTACAATGCTTCTTCAAAAGATATATGAATTAAATCTGAACTCTCATAGCCTTAACTTCCACTTCTGCCATAACATCTCACTTTCAACCATTGATAATGATTGAGCCTTGAATATAGACATTAGTGTCTCTTACATTCATTCCAGCATGCTGTTACATAGCTCCTCCAAAAGAAACCACATCTCAACTTCAAACCAGTATATCAAACTGCAAGTCAGGGAAATGGATGAAACTATGGCATTGTCAGAGTCAAGAACTGTGAAGGATCTGAGATTTGATCCTACTAGCAGTCTCATGAGTTAGTCTGCCACAGTTTCATGGATTCTGGCAAAAGATATGAGACTCTTGGGTCAGAGACAAAAGAGACTTCATTATTCTCAGAACTACAAGCAGCATGAGTTTTCATATTCACATCAGATCCTTCTCACTTCCCGAGTCCCATGGGAGTTACACAGAGTGGCCCAGGTAGATGCCGTGTATGCAGTGGGTTTACATCACAACTGAGGAATCCTGAGTTTAGGAAACCCAAATCTTTGACAATGGACGGTAGGTAAACCTGCCTGACTTTTGCTTGAGAGACAGATATTATCTTGGTTATACTTGACAGCAAACAAACTTGCCCTCAGTTCTGGAAGTAGATGTTCTTTCTACCTTTCAAAGGATGCTATACAAACATCCTTGACAAAAATGTGCAGAACAAAGGTTGTCAGCACCTCTGCCAGCAAGACAAAACTGTAAAGGTCGGTGGAGAATTGTCTCCCAACAGTCATTAACAAAAGCTCTATGTCTCTGTGTTCTATGTGTTGAGTGATTTTTACTTTCTATAGGTTTTCCAACTGGTAAATACTAAATTTGCCTCTTCACAAACCAGTGCACTGTGAACTTGTCTTTGCAATTAGTAACAAATAATTTTACTTTATTTCAGCTTTGTGTGCTCTCTTCTAAGAAAAATAAGCACTTTCTTCTTTTATTTCATGAAACATTACAGTGAAGAGTCTAAGGGTTTATTATTCTGACAGTCCTGCCAAGGCTGAAAATCTCAAACTGGTCCAAACGACCCAACTGTCAGTTCCAAGTCTTTAGCTCTTCTCCATGCAGTTGAAGTTCTTAGCATCCAGGAAAAGCAGGCAGAAGCTGTATAACTTAAAGCAGGGAGATAATCAATCTTGCTAAAGCTGAGATGGGTGTGGGTGTGTGGGTGTGTGGGTGCAGGGAAAGAAGCGGCACCAGGCAGGTGGGAACACTGAAAGCAGGTACTATATAAAGTCTCATCTGAGTAGCCAAGCAGTAGCAATAGTGTGGTGTCTGATGCCAGCTAAATACAATGCCACATAACTACCTTTTCAGTGCAAAAAATCATTTCTATCCTCTGAAATGCTTGTTGCCATCAGATGTCATGAGAACAAACTGACACGATAATATTTAAAGCCAATAGTAAAAGATAGATTTCAAGGGAAAACATATGGACTGAATTTGCTCAATGCCCGACTGTAAGCAAAGGAAAACAAAAACATGCACATTTCACATTGTCAAGGAAAAGGCAGAAGCATATCTTTACTCAAAATAAACATCGCCAGCAGGTGCAAAACATACATACGTTTACTCTCCACACTTGCTGATGCGACTGCCAAGTAAACATGCATGTAAGCTTGTAGCTGAGGATGGCAAACAGAAGCATACATCTGTCAAGAGAACAGACTTCACTCGTCTTCACTGGGTGGTTCACTTCCGAGGGGGCTCTTCTTCTAGCCGCTACTGAGTCAGGGTCCATGTCTACACAAGGGTTTAAAACAGGCTTATTTTCTATATATTTTAGGAGACTGGACCACCCCATTTTAATGGCCAGACTGAATGCATTCAGTTATACCAGGCTAATTATCATCCCACTCTGGACATTGTAATAGACTATGAATGTCACATCGCAAATGAATGTCACATCTCAAATCCTGCCTCTAATTTCCTTTTTCTCTTTGTCTCCAATGACCTCTTCTACTCCATATTGGCCACATGGTCACATCCTAAACTTTACCCTTCATCTGAAAGAACACCTATTGTCATCTGTGAAATCACAAATTCAAATATCTGGCACTCTGACTACATATTTCCTCTCCAATACTTTGGTTCTCCCAATACTTTGGTTCTCCTGCCTCAACAGGCCCATTGGTCCCTAAACTTCCTCCCTCCCAGACACTCTCTTCCTTTCTTCACTTCCTTTCCTATCCAGCTCAGATAACTTGGACCTACATTTCAACCATTCTTCTGCCAAGGTCTTCATTCCCCTTGCCTATTGTCCAGCTCTCCAATCAATTTGTCAAAACCCCATCCTCAGTGGGTCCAACTGTCTGCCTCTTCTAATGCTACTCAGCAGAATTAGAAAAAAACTATACAATCTCTCAGATTTGCACTACAACAAATTTATAGGATCCAAAATCAGTTGGGTCTTCAATGTTGCTACAATCTTTGTGTTTCCTTTGTCAAATCTTCGTCCCATTTTCCATATCAACCATTTAAAACATTCTTCCATCTCCATATGTATATAATGATATATATACATAATGACAAGCAATTGGAACTAAACTATGTCCATTGTAAAGGGATTAATTAAATAAACTATGATACGTCTACAAAATGGAATAGCACCTATCAATAAAATGGAAAGATCTCCAGGATATATTGTTTCAAGTGAAGGTTCAGGATAGTGTTTGTCATTTCCTTTATCCAGATGGGCTAAATTACGTGCAGTGACAAATAAACTATGACATTGTTACCAAAACTCCAGCTGAATCTTCTGTGTTATTGGCAAAAATACCCATGTATTTAAGGTCCTTAACTGAAGTGAACACCTAATATGCACAAGTTATAAAAGTGGTTAACAAGGACATAATAACTAGCTCTGTCTAATATTTCAGTTCTCATAAGTAATCTAGATAAACTGCTAAAAATGAATAAAATATAAATAGGATAAACACTATAGGTGAACTTTTTGTGTAATTTAAAAACTTGATATTATTTTGGATGCTCAGTAGATGTCTGCATCATTTCCAACTAAGAAAGGGTGATGATATGGGGAAACAAGTTTGTTCTTTTTTAAAATTATGGAATGTTCTCATGTATTAAATGCTAATGTTTGATAGACAGTTCAGGATTTCTTCCTAGGTTTTCACTAAAATTTAAGGTTACTAAGAATAAGAATTCTAGTTAATACATAATTCTGTATATAAAATGTGCCAAAGAAGATGTGTTCTCATTGAGAAAAATAATAATTTTGTCTAATTCAGAAGTTATATAAAGGTGAATTCAATCACACCTGTAATCCCAGCACTTTGGGAGGCCGAGGCGGGCGGATCACAAGGTCAGGAGTTCAAGACCAGCCTGGCCAACATGGTGAAACCCCGTCTCTACTAAAAATAGAAAAATTAGCTGGGCATGATGGCAGGCATCTGTAATCCCAGCTACTCAGGAGGCTGAGGCAGGAGAATCACTTGAACCCAGGAGGCAGAGGTTGCAGTGAGCCGAGATCGCACCAGCCTGCGTGAGGGTGAGACTCCATCTCAGAAAAAAAAAAAAAAATTGGACTTGGAAAGGTTTTTTATGAAACAAGATAAAAAGGAACCAGTAAGTAGGGGAAAGAGATGTGAAAAAGTTAAGACTGGCCCTCTATGTTAGAAAAAGTTTTCCTTAAAATACTGATTTGCTGTTAATAAAATTACAAGAGGTTTTGATTTTGATTCTATAATCTGTTTCTTTTTGGAAACTTCTCAGATTCATATCTCAGAAGTGCAACTTTGTTGTGTCTTGCTGCTTTCAGCCTTTTTTCTCCCCTTCAAAACGGCTGAGATAACCCTCTCCTTCAACTTTTTCACCAGCTCATGTAATTTTTTTCCTCCAGTTCTACCTGCTGTTGTAGCCTGATGCTAAAATGTTTTTCTTGAAAGTCTAGAAAAGCAGTGTTTTTCTCCAGCATAACTTGATTCATTTGCTCAAAGTACTAGTTATCTAGTTTCTTGTTTCCTCTATAACATAAGGTTCACTCATGACCCTGGACATGCTCTTCCTGTGTCTGATTAATTCAAGTACCCTTTTCATCAGGTTTGACTTTCAGGTTATTTAAACGTGCTTCCCCTAAGGAGTAGCAATCACACTGCAGAAGGGCTTTCTTTGCCTTTTAGTAACTGGCCTAAGAAACAGATTTTACGTTTTATCACAAGAATTTCTGTGTCATCATTATTATTAGGTATTTGATTGCTTAGAAAAACTGAGATTTAAAAGAATTAAGGTTTTTCCATCCATGTAACTTTCTGCATTGTTTTTGAAGTCCTTGTGCTGTTAAATTATAGGGCTTTGACTCCTGGGTCTGAAAAGGGCGCTGACACCCGCTAAATTTTGTTTGTTTGTTTTTAATTTTTTTAATTTTAAAAAATGTTTATGGGTTCAAGGCAAGTATATATATTTATGGTATACATGAGATACTTTGATACAGGCATGCAATAAGCAATAATCACATCATGGAAAATGGAGAATCCATCCCCTGAAGCATTTATTCTTTGTGTCACAAACAATCCAGTTATACTCTTTGAGTTATTTTAAAATGCACATTTAAAGTATTAATGACCATAGTCACGCTGTTGTGCTATCTAATACTAGGTCTTATTCATTCTTTCTATCTATATTTTTTTTGTACCCATTAACAATTCCCACTCCCCTCACCATCCCGCCAACTACCCTTCTGCCTCTGGTAGCCATTCTACTATCTCCTTGAGTTCAATTGTTCTGATTTTTAGATCCCACAAATAAGTGAAAACATGCGACGTTTGTCTTTCTGTCTGACTTATTTCACTTAACACAATGATATTCAGTTCCATCCATGTTGTTGCAAATGACAGGATCTCATTGTTTTTTATGGCTGACTAGTACTCCACTGTGTATATGTACCACATTTTCTTTATCCAGTCATCTATTGATGGACATTTAGTGTGCTTCCAAATCTTGGCTATTGTGAACAGTGCTGCAACAAACATGGGAGTGCAAATATCTCTTCAACATACTGATTTCCTTTCTTTTGGGTATATCTCTAGCAGTGGGGTTACCAGGTCATATGGTAGTTCTAATTTTAGTTTTTTGAGGACCATCCAAACTGTTCTCCATAGTGACTGTACTAATTTACATTTCCACCAACAGCATACAAGGGTTCCCTTTTCTCCACATCCTCGCTAGCATTTGGTATTACCTATATTTTGGATAAAAGCCATTTTAACTGGGGTAAGATATCAATGTAGTTTTGATTTGCATTTCTCTGATGATCAGTGATGTTGAGCACCTTTCCATATGTCTGTTTGCCATTTGTATGTCTTCTTTTGTGAAATGTCTATTCAAATGTTTTGCCCATTTTTATGGGATCATTAGATTTTTTTTTTCTATAGAGTTGTTTGAGCTCCTTATATATTCTGGTTATTAATCCCTTGTCAGATGGGTAGTTTGCAAATATTTTCTCCCATTTTGTGAGTTGTCTCTTCACTTTGTTGATTGTTTCATTTGCTATGCAGAAGCTTTTTAACTTGATGTGATCCCATTTGCCCAATTTTGCTTTGATTGCCTGTGCTTGTGGGGTATTACTCAAGAAATATTTGCCCATTCCAATGAACTGAAGAGCTTCCCCAATGCTTCCATTTAGTAGCTTCATAGTTTGACATCTTAGATTTAATTATTTAATCCATTTTGATTTGATTTTTGTATATAGCGAGAGATAGGGGTCTAGTTTCATTCTTTTGCGTATGGATATCCAGTTTTCCCAGCACCACTTATTGAGGACACTGGCCTTTCCCCAGTGTATGTTCTCAGCAGGTGTTACCTTTTCAAGTCAGACTGCCTGGGTTCTTCATTTTGGCTCAATGATCTATTTGCTTCATGACTTTGGGCGAGTTATTCAAGACCCCTGGCCTTCAGTTTCTTTATCTGTAGAATGGGTACCACAACAGCAACTATCTCATAGGTTTGTTGGTAGAATTCCACGAGATGGTACATGTACTTTGCACCTAGGACTAAGCACTTGAACTAATACCTGGTATATAGTAGGCCCCCAATCTGTGTTAGTTACACTGCCTCTGGTATAAGGGCAAAATAGCTGTGCAATAAATGTTAGCTGTTGTGATTACTTAAGCCTCATCAAGACACTCTGGGGACATTTTGAAAGGAAGGGTGGCCAGGCGTGGTGGCTCACACCTGTAATCCCAGCACTTTGGGAGGCCGAGGTGGGTGGATCACTTGAGGTCAGGAGTTCAAGACCAGCCTGGCTAATATAGTGAAACCCCGTCTCTACTAAAAATACAAAAATTAGCTGGGCATGGTGGCACGTGCCTGTAATCCCAGTTAATGAGGAGGCTGAGGCAGGAGAATCACTTGAACTCAGGAGGCAGAGGTTGCAGTGAGCTGAGATCACACCACAGCACTCCAGCCTGGGCGACAGAGCAGACTCTATCTCTAAAAAAAAAAAAGAAAGAAAGAAAAGAAAAGGAGGGTGGCTTCTCCTCAGACCCCTGCTTTCTCCCTTGTCATTCAATGATTGGGGAAGATATGAAGGTCCAAAGAGTCATAAGCATTGGAGAGACACCAGAAATGTGTTATCCACTCAGTCCCTTCCTCTAGGAAGCTAATTCTAGAGGAACCCAGGTGGCCTTCCCTCCTGAGCACCCATCCAGCTCTTCTCCAAGCACCAAACCTTTACCAAGGAGGAGGAACATGAGAAGGTGTGGTCTGTATGGTGGCCCCTAATGACTAACTTGCTCTCCTTCTCTTTAATTCAAGTCACTTTCCTCTCAGTCCCTCCTGAGTGGGGGTGATACATGGCACAGGAGCCATTTGTAGGCTCCAAAGTCATTGAGTTGTCACCTGCACACTCTACCTTCTGAAGCTGAGCACTGGGCTCATTCTCCTAGCACCCTTCACCTAGTAAAACTGCATGTGCAACATTATGACGGTAAGATAAATCGGACATAGCTGACTGCATCTTACTTCTGACCTCCACACTGTCCTTGGTCATTCCTGAGCATGGACCAAGCTAACTTTGAGAGGAATTTAGTTTATAGTTTAACTTGAAAGCAAGGATGATAATAGGCCCTACATAAAACTAATGCCCTCCTTGCTCAGGACCGAAAACAACCCAGGTAAGACTAATGATAGGCAACAAGAACAGGATTTTGAGGGGGGCCTGAACTCTGCTAAAACGTAGATGTAGTTTCCATAATCCCTTCCTGCTCAGGAGTCGTGTGGCCAGAGGTCACAAGATTTGTGACTTCCCCAATTGCTCGTATAGACAACATCGTTATTGTAGAATTTAGGATTGGTTTTTTGAGACATCTTTCAGACTGACCCCATACGGACTCATGACTCATGACTCAACTGCCCCTGTGGTCCCATCCAGAGGCCAATTCAGTGTATCAGGACAGTTTTCCACATCTCTATAATTTCATCCCCAGCCAATTAGCAACACCCATTCTCTAGCCCCCTGCCCACCAAATTGTCTGTTAGAACCCTAATCTCTGAGCCTTTGGGGAGATGGATTTGAGTGATAACTCCAGTTCTCCCATGTGACCAGTTTCATGTCAAACTCCTTCTCTACTACAATGCAGCAGTCTCAGTGAAATGATTTGTCTGTGCAGTAGGCAGGAAGAAACTACTAGGCAGTTACACTAGGACCCACTTCCAGAGCGTATGACCTGTGCAGTTTCACAAGGCCCTGCACTCAGATGGGCCCTGCACTTGGCTTGATGGTCTAGGTCATCTAGACCATCTAGAAATTCTTAATTTGTGAACCAGGAGCCCCACATTTTCATTTTACACCGAGCCCCGCAAATTATGGGGCTAGCCGTTTCTTCTTCTGTAGAAACTTGATTCTAACCCCAGAACCCTGCCTGGGACTTGCTATTAAGGACTCTGTAGAAGCACGAGAACATATTTTAAAAATAAATAACAACAGCAAAAACAACAAAGGTAATTTTTAAGAAGGGAAAGATTGCTTTCCAAAATAAAGATGTCTGACATCGGCCAGCAGATGTCGCTCTTGCTGCGTGGCAGAAGAGGGGATTTTTTTAACAGGCCCCACTTATTTCAGGATTTTTGAGCCTTTAAGGAGGCTTGCTTCAAAGGAGCTATATCTAAGAACTTCCATTAGGACACTTTGATTTCTTTTGATGAAGATGTCATCACAAAAGGAAAGCCACCATCAACCAAATCTAAGTGGAAGAGCTGCAAATAAGAATTATATATTATTATTATTGTTATATATATATTATTATAATTATTATTCTTATAAAAAAGGTTTTTTGTTTTTTGTTTTTTTGAGACAAAGTCTCACTCTGTTTCCCAGGCCTGGAGTGCAGTGGTGCGATCTCAACTCATTGCAACCTCCGCCTCCTAGGTTCAAGAGATTCTCATGCCTCAGCCTCCCAAGTAGCTGGGATCTCAGGTGTGTACCACCACACCCGGCTAATTTTTGTATTTTTAGTAGAAATGGGGATTCACCATGTTGGCCAGGCTGGTCTCGAACTTCTATCCTCAAGTGATCCGCCCGCCTCGGCCTCCCAAAGTGCTGGGATTACAGGCATGAGCCACCGCACCAAGCCTATAACAAAGTATTAATTCAGCTATTTAAAAAATAAATAATGCAGCTAAGTGCAACTTCTTCAGATAGGTTGACATATCATTTTTAAACTGTATTGTTCTCTAGAACTGGTGGTTAAAACAGTGAAGAGTACCTGTAGTCCCAGCTACTCGGGAGGCTGAGGCAGGAGAATGGCCTGAACCCGGGAGGCGGAGCTTGCAGTGAGCCGAGATCGCGCCACTGGACTCCAGCCTGGGCGACAGAGCGAGACCCCGTCTCAAAAAAAAAAACAGTGAAGAGTAATAATATTTTCTCAATGTGTTCCCTGCTGTCTTGAAGGGTTGAATTTGTTGCTGACTAAAATGTCAAAGGTTAAAGTCGAGGAGAAATTCAATGCCTTTCATTCCAGGATTCATAGTGAAATGGCAGAAAGAATCTAACGTTTCCCTTGGATGTGGTTCCTAATTTGCTGGAAGGTCCCAGCTGAACATATACTCCCTGTTCAAGCTACATCATCCCTGTGTAAATAGATATTGATGAAGTAAAATGAATTGTTGCTAGAAAGACTATTGGTTGCTAAGACCAAGCTCCATTCTTAGGTAATGGGGTCAGTCTTTCCAATATGAAAATGTCACCAGTACTAAAGCAACAGTTCATCATAGAAAGACGGTCAAATAGCTCTCACAGTCTCCCAAATGAGTTATTTTATGTGTTGAGAAATTACAAATTTTCAACTGGAATTTATTATTGTGTTTAACACTGCAAGATCAGCAAAATTATAGTACATAATGCAAATATATCTGAAAACAGTAACGCAAAACCAAAGTGATAAAAGCTCCTGGGTTTCTTTAATGCAAATGGTGTTGGTTAGTCCATCATGATCCAACAATCCCTAAGTCAGCAGCCTGGGAAGCTAGCCTTCCAAGTTTCTGGGCCTGAACCAGTTACCCAAGATGTATGTGTAAAAGGCACATAATTTATTAAATATTATTTTGACAAAGCCAAACAAATTAATTATGCTTACAAGAGGATGCACAATATACAACTGTATTACATCAATAAAAGGTGAAATGCTACTGAAAGTAGAAATAGCCTTACCAAAATGGACCACAGGCATCAATTTGTACAATCATAGAGTGGACCGGGAGAGCTGAGCATCTCCAAAGAACATCCATCGATGACCTTCACTTCTCCTCTATGTCGACCACCATCTTCCGTAGCTCCACTCTGAATCCGCACTAACCCATCATTGCCCCCCATCTCCAGCCTCTTAAATCTCAAGCTGCAGTCTCTTATCCTTGCCTCATCTCCAACACACCTTCTCTTTGTGTTTATGGAAGAGGCTTCTGTTTCTTCCAGTTTAGCAGCCCACTCCTGGCATGATTTCTCTACCCAGCATAGATCATATGGCTGGCATTAAACATTTTCTCATCAACACACCCAACTCCCCTGTACCACTGTCCTACCACCAGAAGCAACCCATGAAACTCCAAACCAGGATCCTCACTCTGCCTTTGCTCTCCAGCACATGCCGGAGGTAATTCCACTACCTGCAGTAGGACAGGTTGGTGCAATCACAAAATCCTGGGCTCCAGCCCCAACTGATCCCTCAGGGAGGATGGAAACCTTTTTATCTATGCTTTGTCAGCTTTCTCATCCATCACCCCCTGACTGTCCAAAACATTTAATACTCTTCTCAATTCCCACACCTACCACTTTTAGCACATGGTTCACTTCCTAAATCTCCAGGAACAGAGTTCAGCAAACCCCAAACTCCATGGACTGAATCTATCCCAATGCCTGTTTCTATAAATAAGGTTTTATTGGAATGCAGCCATGTCCCTTGGTTTACTTATCATCTATGGCTGCTTTTGTGCTACGATGAGAAGGGCGAATCATTGTGATGGAAATTGTGTGCCCCCAAAACCCTAAAATAATTGCTGTCTGGCTCTCCATTTAAAAACTTGACCAACTACTGTTCCAGAACAGTTAGGCCATTAGGTATTGCTTGCTGCCTATTTCCTTCCAATCAATGAACTACTTAGGATCTGAACCTGTCCTTATCCTTTCCTATCAATCCCACAGGATGAGGAGTCTCTCCTCAAGGCCAACCCTCAGTCTCTGGTTTTGACCCTAACCCTTCTTTTCTGAAGCCTTCTCCATCAATCACCCATTCAGTACTCTGTGTCTTCATCCTCCCCCTCACCACTGGCATTTTCTTTAGGTCTATAAATCTCTTCAAGCTTCCCACTCTAACATGCCTTCCTTGATCCTTCCCTGTGCCCAGCTACAGTCTATCTCCATCTGCTCTTCTCAGCTCCTTGAGAGGGGTCATCTACACTAGCCATCTCCCCTTTACTCTGCAAGCAGTCTGGATTCTATCCCAGTGACGCCACCAAAGCTGATCTGAAATTGATGACAAATCACTGCCATACTATGAAACCCAATGAACTCTTTTTTGTCCATTTCTTAGTGTGTTTTCAGCTGTATTGGCCACTTGCTCCTTGACATTCTAGACTCACTTCTCTGCCCCTGACCTGACATTGCTTTTGCCCGCTTTTCCTTCTATCTCTGACTCCCTATATCTATCTTTTATGCTCTCCTATGTCCACTCTTTAAATATTGGTCTTCCCCAGTGTCTCCCGTGGCCCCGTGCTCTGCTCTCTCTATAATTTTTTTGCATATTTTCATGCACTCTTATGACTTTGGCTGTATCCTGTAAATGATGACTTTCCACTCTGCATCTCCAGCCTTAGCACTCTTTCAAATTAATATATCTGACTGCCTGCTTAGAAAGTTCCATGTGAACTTCCTTTGACCAGCTCAAGTTCAGCATATCCAAAACTGCACCCATCAACTTCCCCCTGGAACTGCTGTTCCTAGCCTCAGTTAGTACATCATGACTTACCAATCCCAAAGCTGGGAACTTGAAAGTCCTCCCTGACTTTCTGCTCATTGTCAGGCAACACATCCCACAGAGTTCATTTTCTAGCTGTAAGAAGTGTATCCATACTGACTACTTAATATGTGTTATGTGCACTGGTGGTTTTTATGGGCCTCAACTTACCTTTTGAGAGGACCCTAATGCACTCATAGATTTATGAAACCTCAGATATGACCCAAGTAAAGGGTCAGCTAAAAAATATCCTTCCACTATGGCAGATTGTAGTTCTTTATGGGTAAAATGAGAGGTTGGGACCATGTGATCACTGAATTCATTCCTAACCTGACAAACCAGTGTTCTAAGAGTCTAGTGAAATGAGAGTCAAGACTGAGGAAAGACCACATAAAATAACAGTAATAATGCAGCTGTAAATCCAAACATATTGACATGGAATGGTCTCAAAGTAAATTAAAATTTTAAAAGGGCACGTGCAGAATATTGCATAGTTGTTGTGCAAAAGTTTTTGATATGCAAAAAGGATATCTTAGGTCCGTTATGGTGGCTCACACCTGTAATCCCAGCACTTTGGGAGGCTGAGGAGGGATGATTGCTTGAGCCCAGGAGTTCAGGATCAGCCTGGACAACATGGTAAGACCTCATTTCTTTTTTTTCTTTTTTTTTTTTTTTTTTTTCAGAGGAAGTCTCGCTCTGTCACCCAGGCTGGAGTGCAGTGGCAGGAGCTCGGCTCACTGCAAGCTCCGCCTCCTGAGTTCATGCCATTCTCCTGCCTCAGCTTCCCAAGTAGCTGCAACTACAGGTGCCTGCCACCATGCCCAGCTAATTTGGTGAGACCTCATTTCTACAAAAAACACAAAAATTAGCCGGATGTGGCGTGCACCTGTAGCCTCAGCTACTCAGGAGGCTGTGGTGGGAGGATCATTTGAGCCTGGGAGGTAGAGGCTGCAGTGAGCTGTGATCACACCACTGCACTCCAGCCTGAGTGACAGAGTAAGACTCTGTCTCAAAAAAAAAAAAATGCAATGACAGGACAAGAAATAACTGTTTAATGTATTAAGCCCCTGAGAACTGGAGGTTGTTTGTTACCCAAATTAGTGTTAGTTTCCTTAATATAGTGACATGACAGAGAAGTATTTTAACAGAGTTGAGGAGATAACAGCTAGATTGTTGTGGGTTTAGAAATAAAAGGAGGGGTGAGGAAGTGGAGACACTGGGTTGAAATTGGTCTTTTGACAGAAAATGGAAGAAGTGAGATAAGAGAATAGCTTGAGAAGGAGGCAGCAGTATGGGACAGTTTTTCCAGAAGAGGGAGACTTGAACAAATATTTACACCTTAGCACACAGCACAGTACACAAGAGATGCTATAAGTAACTGTTGAAGTAATGAACAAATGTATGAACAAGTGAATTAAAATGTTGAACATATCTTACCACTTCTGAGGCAAATCTCAGGAATATTTTATTGGGGAAAGAGGAACACCCAGGAATTTAATGTAAATAATTCTTTTATTTATTTATTTATTTATTTATTTATTTATTTATTTATTTATTTATTTCAGACAGGGTCTCACTCTGTCACCCAGACTGGAGTACAGTAGTGCAATCACAGCTCTCTGCAGCCTCAACCTCCCGGGCTCAAGCCATCCTTCCACCTTAGCCTCCCAAGTAGCTGGGACTACAGGCACACACCATCACACCCAGCTAATTTTTGTATTTTTTATAGATTTGGAGTCTCACCATGTTGCCCAGGCTGGTCTCAAACTTAAGTGATCTACCAGCCTCAGCTTCCCAAAGTGTTGAAATTGTAGGCGTGAGCCTCCACACTCAGCCTAAAGAATTCTTTCATGAAGGGAAGCACATGATAAATGAAAGAAGACTGCAATGGGGTCAAAGGTCAAGAAAGAAATTTGGCAGCAAAATGAGAGGCACCTCTGAGCTAAGGGATCATTTGTCTTCTCAGCAGACAGGTCTGAGCGTGAGATTTTGTGAATGGTGTCCTCCTCTAAGGAGAGACTGTGGGTTCCTTGTGTTTCCCACAGCAGACTGTGAGGGGAACCTCCTGGATGCTTCCTGGGACCAGCCATGCAAGGGTCACTCTGGCCTGCATTCAATTTCTCATACTTTCAGGAATTACAGGCACTTTTCAAGTTAAGAAGTCACTCTAAAAAGAATCACGAAGACATACTGACATTGTGATAGCTGCAGACTTCTTAGGGACTCTCAAAGTGTGAAGGAAGGGAAGTAAAGGCACCAACACAGCTTCTTAGAGCCTTTCCTCCCTCCTCTTTAATACAAATGGTAGCACGTGGCACATGCTGCTATACCCTTTGCTTTTTGCATCTAACCATCATCACAGGTTGCTTACTGTGAGATGAAGATTTGTATGCAGGAAGTTCATTGGTGGGGACCCTGCAGATCAAGACTTCTGGGAGAGTAAAGGAAGTCAGACTGGGCAGAGGGAGGATTTGGGCTGCTATGCAAGTCACAACAAAGACCTATGCAATCCTGCGAGAGTTCTAGACTTGGGAGGGCTCTGACGAGTTGTCTCAAATTAGCACAAAGAGGCTAGGCCTTTATAACCTCACACTGATCAGTCATTAGAAGTGGGCTGCCCAAGAAAGGGGTCACAAACTTGGAGAGGTGGCTTTCTTCAGCCAAGGGCAATTTCCAGACGGGAATTCAGCTGTAAAGTGTCATTTGCCAACTTTTCCAGCATCCGAAGGGATAAGTGCTTCAGTCCTGGGGAAGTGGGGGTGGGGTTATGGCTTGGAGTCCTTTCCATATTGATATAAAAAGAGCTGCCTGGTTCTTTTTCAAAGATGCATGGTATTCCATTGTATGAATGTATAATAGTTTATTCACTAGTTATTCAACATTTAAAATTTTTTAAAAATTTTTTGTGGGTACATAGTGTATATATTTATGGGGTACATGAGATTTGATACTGGCATGCAATGCATAATAATTACATCATTGAAAATGAGGTATCCATCCCCTCAAGCATTTCTCCTTTGAGTTACAAATAATCCAGTTATACTCTTATTTATTTTTAAATGTATGATTAAATTATTATTGAATATAGTCACCCTGTTTTGCTATCAAATACTGGGCCTTATTCATCTATCCTAACTATTTTTTGTACCCATTAACCATCCCTGCCTTCCCTCCAGCCCCTCTGCCCCCAACTACCCTTCCCAGCCTCTTGAAATCATTCTTCTATTTTTTTTGAGACAGAGTTTTGCTCTTGTTGCCTAGGCTGGAGTGCAATGGCGCGCGATCTCAGCTCGCCGCAACCCCTGCCTCCTGGGTTCAAGCGATTCTCTTGCCTCAGCCTCCTGAGTAGTTGGGATTACAGGCATGCACCACCATGCCTGGCTAATTTTGTATTTTTAGTAAAGGCAGGGTTTCTCCATATTGGTCAGGCTGGTCTCGAACTGCCCGCCTCGGCCTCCCAAAGTGCTGGGATTACAGGCATGAGCCACCGTGCCCGGCCCATCCTTCTATTCTCTATCCCCATGAGTTCAATTGTTTTGATTTTTAGATCCCCAAAGTAAGTGAAAACATGCAATGTCTGTTTTTCTGTGTCTGGCTTATTTCACTTAACATAATGATCTTCATTTCTATCCATGTTTTTGCAAATGACTGAATCTCATTCTTTTTTATGGCCAAATATTACTCCATTGTGTATATGCACCACATTTTCTTTATCTATTCATCTGTTGATGGACACTTAGGTTGCTTCCAATCTTAGCTACTGTAAACAGTGCTGCAACAAATACAAGAGTGCAGCTATCTCTTCGATATACTGATTTCCTTTCTTTTGGATATATACCAAGAAGTAGGATTGCTAGATCATATAGTAGCTCTATATTTAGTTTTTTGAGGAACCTCCAAACCATTCTCCATAATGGCTGTACTCATTTACATTCCCACCAACAGTGTCTGAGGGTTCCCTTTTCTCCACATCCTTGCCAGCATTTGTTATTGCCTGTCTTTTGGATAAAAGCCATTTTAACTGGGGTGAGATGATATCTCATTGTAGTTTTGATTTGCATTTCTCTGGTGATCACTGATGTTGAGCACCTTTTTATTTATCTGTTTGCTATTTGTATGTGTTGTTTTGATAAATATCTAGTCAAACCTTTTCCCCATTTTTAATTGGATTATTAGATTTCTTCCTATAGAGTTGTATGAGCTCCTTATACTTAATTGACAGTTGGATTGTTTTAAATCTTTTCTATTCCAAAGTATACTATAATATGTAACTTTGAATTAAGCTTTTTCACATTTGTAGGAGTTTATCTGCATAAATTCCAGGGTAAGTTTCTAGAAGTGGTATTTCTGGAGCAAAGTGCGTATAGCAATGAGGGCCCTTCCAGCAAAACATAAAAGGAGGTTGAAGGGCGGGCAGGCAGTGAATCCTGTAAGGTCCAGTCGACTGTATCATGGACTTTGTTTTTGTTTTGTATCATGGACTTTGGATCTTAGTATATGTGCAATAAGAAAACGTTGATGAATTTTAAGTGGAAGAGAGAAATGATGCCATTTAATTTTTCCAATTAGGTCACCTAGATTGAAGGCCAAGAGCAGAGGGCCCAGAACAAAGTGCTGAAGAACCCCAACATTTAAAAGTTGAAAAAAGAAAACAAGCCAGTGAAAAAGATAGACAATGACCTAAAATGGACATAACTTTCATTGAGATGTTTGGCTATGAGTCAAAAAAGAGAAATAGCCTTCCTACTTCAATCTTCAATGATGGAGTCTATGTTCTGAAATAAAGTAGTTTTCCTGAGATTGTGTGAACTCCCAGAATTTGGAGAACATGCTCTCCATTGCAAACTGTGTGGGTGGGCCCTGGCAAGAGTGAGAAGCCTGTGTGTTCTTTCATCATATGGTTTCCATGCCACAGGTGATCTACTACTGAGTAAACCCGAGGGCCAACCAACATCTAGAACCCCAGCTTAGCAAAACTCCAATTCCAAGAGTTCGAGGACTCACAGTCCTGATTTTTCTAAGTTCTAAAAGGAGTACTCCCCATGAAGGGCTGATAGCAGCCCCATGAAAATGATTTATTTGAGTCACCAAAAGAATGTTTAAATTCCTAAAATCTTGCCAATGTCTATATTCAATTCATGCAGGGCTTGCTTAATATTTAATTGAGGCCTAAGAAAATTGCATGGAGAAGGCTTTGCTGGGGTGGAAGTTGGGGCACTGCAGTAGGGGCAGAGTTCTTAATTTCTTTTACCATTGCATGGTTTTATTTTAGAAAATATGTTTTGTAACCCACTGACACATCTGTTGGCCACATGAAGGTCAAATCCAGATCAGTATGAATTAGAATAATTTTGCATCTATCTCAGGAAATTAGGTAATTAAAGACAAATTTCAGGAGAAAATCCTCTCTGTCCTTAGTGATATATATTAGTAGGAGTGTCTGATTAATGTGCCTCAGATCTGAGTCGGCCCCTTGTGTGTTTTCCGCTCTCCCCAGCATGATGCTTCCTGTGGGAAACACTGACAGTTCAAACCCCTCATGGTTCAAAATGATCTCACATGTGTTAAGGAAGCAATGCTTTGAATTTAACTGCTCTAGTGAAGACCACCCAGGCATGTGAGAGCTGGTGGGGGTCCAGCTTTTCAAATATGGGACTATAATTATTCAGAGGATATTTGCATTCTTTTTTCCCTTAGTTTTGTGAAGTTAACTTGATATGTGATCTGATGATTGTTACTTTGTGCCATCATGAGTGGCCACTGTCCAGGCATGGTTCAGGTGATGCCATCCTTGGTACATGCAGCCAGCATCTCCTTTTCCAATCACGTGTATGTGTGGGGAGGTAGACTGATTGAGTAAAACTCAAGTTACTTCTTGCTCGTATAGGCCCTTGAAACACAAAGGGTTGATTCCACTCATTTTCTCCAAATGGAGTTTGATGTTTCATCAGCGGGTGGAGGGGAACCTGGCAGGGGGATCTCCTCTTCTTCACCCAGGATTGATCTCCCAGGGAAGAACAGGGGAACTATCTGGGACATCCCCAGCTGAACCAAAACACTAGTTAACCTAGTAAATTGGGTTAACTCTCTAGCTGGTCACCCTGCTACAGGATTCACTACTAGCTCCTACATGCCTAGAGTGATGGAGCAGGTATGATTGTGATGAGCAGGTAGGATCATGGTAGGGGGTGAACCAGAGTTATTAATATTTCATGAGATATTAAAATAATAAGATGAAATATTGATGAAATATGTTTGGAATCGCAGTGTTTCTTTTTTTATATACGGTTTCTCTCCACACATAAGGATGGTCAAGGATAAAATGTGTCCCTCGGGGGCTTTGGGGCCTGTGAAGCTGGGGTTAGAGTCAGCAATGTGATGAGTTCAGCTCTCTAAATGCTGTGGCGTCTCATTGGCTCCACCCTTTGGATTCACCCTTCATTTTGGTGTTACCTTCATTAAAGTCTCTCTTCTCCTATAGATCCAGTGGGGCAGAAAAGGCCAGGGCTTTCCATTCCCTGAAATCCATGGAGAAACCCAGGTGGGGGCCTGAGGTGGACGGCTTGGCCAGACACTGCCAGTCTCAGGGAAAGCCACTCTTTCTCTTGGAGAACTTCCACGTGGATCATTGCCATCTCTCACCAAGAGTAGAATGACAAACCGAAAGGGACACAATCGTTATGCTGCCAAGGGAAAAGAGACCAAGGAGGTGCCTTTTCATCATTCCTTAGGGCTGTCTGTGGACAGAGCAAAAGATGTCCCTACAGCATACACATGACTTAACACAGGGGTAGTCAAACTATGACCTGTAGCCAAATCCAGCCCATCAGCTGTGTTCATAATAAAGTTTTACTGAAACACAGTCATGGCCATTCATTTACATATTGTCTATGGCTGCTTTTGCCCCTACAATGGCAGAGTTGAATAGTTGCAACTGAGACTATTAGTCTGCAAAGCCTCCAATATTTACGAACTTGCCTTGTACATACAAACATTGCAGACCCCTGTAGCCTAGCAAACCAGGAGACCATGAGGGAAGAGGGAGAGTTGGGAACAAAAGCAGAAGTCCGGAAGGCCGTTTTGCTATATCTCCTTGTCAAACTTGTGGCAGCATCAAGTATAGGATCCCCGTGACCCTTCTTTTTCTCTCTCCTCTTTCTGTCTCTGCCTTGGCCACGCTAACATACTTGATCACAGCTTCCCCTGGACACCGAGTGATTTCCTACCAATTAGCAGAGGACGGTGCAGGAGTGCCGTAGTCATACGATCTCCTGAAAACTGCTTGGTCCAGTGACTGGTGCCACGCTCTTCATGTCCTGACCCCAACTCTGAGCCCAAGTGAAGCACCACTTCAGGACCATATGAATGGCTTATTTACTCAGAAGGCCTTTCAGACCGTGAAAAGAAAGTGGTGGAAACCTTTTTCCATCGAAACCTTCGTGGCAAGAGAAAGCGAGCCACTGGAAAGTTTTTAGATGATGTCCTATGGTAAATCACATTCCACAGAACTACCACCTACCAAGCCCCTGTTCTAGAGGCTGCAAATGTGGGTAAAGAAGTATGAAATATGCTTGTATTATAAGCAAACCAGCTCCCATGAATCTTTATGTCCCACTCCAGGAGCCAAGGCCTGAAAGAGTGCCTTCCCAGGTCAATGGGACCGACTAACACTCTTAGTCATAACTGTAAACAAACAAACAAAAAACATCATTACATCCTGGCCACAAATACAATCACCGCCCTTCCACTTTCTCCATACCCAGGCAAATAGTAAATGAACAAAAACTCAGCCTACCACTTCAGAAAAGTTATTGGTCTATTTTCAGTGTCATTTACCTTATTATGGCATTATCTTTAGCTTCATCTGGGGGTAGAAAATGGTGACTCATTGTTACCATAACTGAATTTGAAATTCTTATTTAATATTGCAGAACTAATAATAGACTGTGTGATAGTGAATCACAATTGTTAAACCAGTCCAATTCCTTCCCCATCTCTGCATCAGCTCCTGTTCTGTTGGGGCAGCCAGCAAACTTTGCTTTGTAAGTTCTTTGTTCTCTGTCTCTCAGCTATGACCAGAAACACCTTTAACCGTGTGATGGCATGCTATTTTAGGTCATTAACCTCTGCTACTTTTTCTACTCTTTCGGCCCGCCCCACCCTTACTCCTGTCTGTGAAGTCAGCCGTGGTTGCCTCAGGAAGGGGATGATACAGGCAACTAGGCAGTCAAAGTTTTGAGTTCCAAAAGCCCAGGCTGGGCGTGATACAAAGACCTGGAAGAAAACATCGTCAAGCAGGTACAGTTGTGCCATGCTCAAGCCTAGAGAAGATTCTCTGGGATGTGTGGGAGAAAGAGAGATAAAAGGTAAATGAAAATCCTTCAGATGTCAGTGGGTCCCTGAGCAGGCCTGTGCCCTTGACAAGGCCAAGTCAGGGCAGAGAGGAGGAAATAATGGAAGACCAGCCTAGCTTTGAGGATCTGAATGCAAGGGGAACTTATGCTCTGTCCATGGCTAAAGCTCAAGTGGGCAGAAAGACCCTAGGGTTCCCTGTACCCAGCGTACTGTGGGAGCAAAAGGCACATCCGTTTTGCTGTGTCTGCAGGAAGTTTAAGAGAATCTCCAAGAGTCTCTCAGACCCCTGAGATGGCCAAGAGCAGCAGATGTTTCCCTGGTACCAGAAAGTGGTAGTCACTAGCACTGCAGGTAATGTGAAGCTGTTTCCAGAAGCTCTTTAGAAGCAATAGAATCTGCCATTAAGATTGAAGATCACAAATACATACAGAATGAACGTAAAAACCATGGCTGAGAATTGAATACTCAGTGGTCCCCAGAGACAAGTGGCTGTATCTCAAAACAACTTAGATAAAAACAAAGATGGTGGAAGCCTGGAAGATGCCTGTAGATGGCTCCAGAAGTGCTTCCCAGAATAGTGAAGACATCATTGTTGGAAGTTGAATGTGGAGAATCTGAATAAAATATCTTTCATAAAATGTGAGCAGGGGAAAAGTAATGTTATATATTGCATGTTACTTAATAAGGGGTTCCCAACAGGAGGCAATTTCGCCCCACAGAGGACATTTGGCAATGTCTGGAGACATTTTTTGTTGTCAGAACTTTGGCAAGGGTGGGAAAGTGCTACTGGAATCTAGTGGGTAAAGGCCAGGGTGTTGCTAAATGAGCTTCTGCTCTAGTTTGTGTTCCTACACCCAATAACACTAAGCCTTGACAATGACCAGTTCACAGGGCCGTGCTGTCACTCGTGATTGGATGTACCTCGTGATGGATGTTGGAAAGTTTCTCAAAGCATGTCCTCAGGATCCCTAGTTGCATAAAACATCTCTAAAGAATGGCTTGCATGGTCTTAAGATTTGGGAAAATGCTATATTCCAAATTCTCCCTTGTAACTTGGCAATGGACAGTAGTATGTTCAAGTCTCTGAGAAGTCCTGCAAAATGTTGGACTTGGATTAATCTAAAACTTTCCAAATTTGTTTGATCACAGAGCCTTTAAAATTTTTTTCTGAAGGACAGAGGGCAAGGACACTTCTAGTGTTGTCATGTTTGACTGTTTACATGTTTAAATACATTTTATTCTGAATTACTTTCATTTTATTCCCTTTTGTATTACTATTAGAGCATCATACCAATTTTGGGGCAAAAGTACGTAAAGGTGGGTTGTATTGTCTGTGAATTTCATGTAAAACTAGGAAAACAGGCACTGTAAACTATTTGTTATAAAAAGAGTGTATGGATATTTGTCGTAAGAAAACGGTATAGGAAAACCTCTGTGTGTGTCTCGGCATAAAGGTAAAATGATCACCTAAGCTACGCTCTCCATCAGAGATGAGTAGAGGAGGGATGTGAAATCCTGCTGAGATCACAGTATTGCATTACAGAGCTAAAAGCCACCCTGGGCTCCTCTAGTCCCACCTTTCGCTGTACAGACAAAGAAATTGAGATTCAGCAAGGTTCCATGACTTACCCAAGGGCCTCAAAGTTACCACAGAACACAAAGGGCCTTCTGGCATGGCCTGGTCATACTGCATTTCTTGAGTGGGTGAACAGAAAGTTCCAGAAGCAAATATTGTACCATTGTTTTCATAGAATTTACTGTCTTGGTTCGTGTTCACAAATCCCTGAAGAGCAATAGAGGGATGATATGTTAAACATGTTTCCCTGCAAACTCTCCATTCCCTCGAACTGTATTTACTCTACCCTAAAGCAGAAAGTTTAATTGTCCCCCTGGATGTGCTGTGTGATGATATTTTGGAAAGAGAATTGACCAAGGAGCCAGAAAATATCTTACAAAAAAAATCACTCTTACTCTTAAGAATAACACCTTCTACATTTCCTTAACCATAAAAAGTATTACTCACTTCATTGTCCAGACTTCGCTTAAATGAAATGTGACTCTTTCAAACAATCACATCAACCCTGAAAGGATCAAGGTTTGTCATGACTAAGTATTTTCTAAAGTGAAAAGTTAAGAGGGTCAGAGGCCTGGCTTTTGCCCTGGCTAGTTATGTGTACTTGAGATTGTCACTTCTCTTTTCTGTTTTCTCCATCATAAAATAGGTATAACAATGTATTTTCAGTTTTTCTCAGAGTTGTTTTGAAGGTAAAATAATACCAGGTATATGAAAGCTCTTTTAAGCCTTTATAAAGCCTCACAAGTACAAGAGATTGTGGTTATGCCATGCACAAAATAGCTTTTCCAACCTGAAATGAATATGAATATTTCGGGAGATGTCTGTGTTGGGTCTCAGACTAATTTAGATTCCTAAATTTGATAACTGTCAGGTGGTTTCAGAGTGACTTGCTGATTATTACAAAGCAGTCTGGCTTTCTCCCTCTGGGTGAAGCCAGCAGAGAGGCCAGATATTTCTGGAACTTATATCCAGATGTTTCCAACATGCTTTCCAATTTACACTCAACTGCAATGGTATTTCTCCATTTCCCCAAAGAATCAGGAAATAGAAATGTTTCAGCACACAGAATTGAATATTCCCAGTCACGGCAAATATGTACCTTGACTTGGAGAGATTTCTGGTTGCCTGGAACATTGTCAGACAGACAGGGACTGGTAGCCCTTGGGCTTTTTTTTCTCTCATTTTTATTTCTTTCTTTGTTGTTTATCTTGTCAAAGACCTCCAGCCCAGGACTGCCAGGAACATACCTATAGTTGAACACATTGGGATTACTGCTTTTTGCAATGAGGGAGACTGCACACCATGGGGGAACCATTGGACATCTCATTAAGAGATTTTTAGAAAAAACTTATTTTGGGGTGTGGGCTTATGTTAGGTGATTTAGGGGAGGGTTTAAGGAAGCAAGGTTTTGCTTTAGAGTGGTTGCTGTTAAGAAGTGGAGGTAATTCTATTACTGGCCATATTTGGTCATTTTTGTGACCTCACAATGCTCCGTCTTCTGTAGTCACACATGATTACAGGCCAGTCTTTATTTTTATCTTTATCCATCATGGTCACAGAGTGGCCTTGTCTGATGTTGTTGGTTTATAAAATATTTATGTTCAATAGGAGGGCACCAAGACCCAACCATAAGTACCAAGCCAGCTTCTAGCAACATCAAAGTCTAGCTCAAGTTTGTCCAACCCACAGCCTGTGGGCCATATACAGCCCAGGATGGCTTTGAATGTGGCCCAACACAAATTTGTAAACTTTATTATAACATCATGAGATTATTTTGCAATTTTCTTTTTAGCTCATCAGCTATTATTCATGTTAGTGTATTTTATGTGTGGCCCAAGACAATTCTTCTTCTTCCAATGTGGCCCAGGGAAGCCAAAAGATTGGACACCCCTGGTCTAGCTGATAGTGCCAGGCTGCCAGGGGCTATTCTCTTTCTCAATCTTTGCCATGAAATAAAATCCAGATATAAATATCTACGCACAACAAAGACGTAGCTTAATGAATTTTTATAAGATAAACAGCCTTGTAACCATCATTCAGGTCAAGAAATAGAGCTTTGGCAGTCATCCCAAAAGCCCTTCAGTTGTCCTAGTTCAGTCACAGCCCAAAAGTAGCCACCATCACTGACTTCTAGTCATCACTTCCTTGTGTTTCTTTATCTTTGTAACAGACGGTGTCTCTCTCTAGACACTGGAGTTTTGTCTGGCTCATTTTTTAAAACTTGATATGATGGCCGGGTGTGGTGGCTCACGCCTGTAATCCCAGCAATTTGGGAGGCCGAGGCGGGTGGATCATGAGGTCAGGAGATCGAGACCATCCTGGCTTACACGGTGAAACCCCGTCTCTACTAAATATACAAAAAATTAGCCGGGCGTAGTGGCGGGCGCCTGTATTCCCAGCTACTCGGGAGGCCGAGGCAGGAGAATGGCGTGAACCCCAGGGGGCGGATATTGCAGTGAGCCGAGATCACGCTACTGCACTCCAGCCTGGGCGACAGAGTGAGACTCCGTCTCAAAAAAAAAAAAAAAAAGAAAGAAAAAGAATTACATATGTTTTCCTCCATCTTTCTTTTCTTATAATTTACCTATTGAAAAACCAAAGCCAGTCAATCTATAAGATTTGTAAGTGTCTGGATTTTGCTATTTCATATTCATGGGCAGTTCAACCCTGACCTTTGTCTTCTATTTCCTTCCACTGACATCTGGATTCAGAGGTCTAAATGGACTCAAGTTCAATTACTTTGGCAAGTCTGTAGGTGGTGTTGTATTCTTTCCTCAAGAGGCATATTAAGTATCCTTTGTCCCTTGAGCTATTTTTATAAGAAAAATGTATGCTTTCTGTTTTCAGGTGTGAAATGCTGATTTAGACAGAACATCCCCAACCCCTGAGGAGACCAGCTGTGATTAGGTAATCCTGCCCAGAGGAAACTCAGAAAACATTGTTGAGGAAGGCTTCTTGGAGCACAGAGTATAAGGGATGTCATCTTGCAGTTGTGCTAAACGTCTCCTTTCCCTTACATTACTGTGAAAATGTCCCTTTTAGTTTTATATGTGGTGTGGAAATGCCTGTCCTCTAGAAAAACTTAAAATAGAGCATGGTGACATCTGGCATAGATCATACTTCTTTGTGATATGATGAAAAATGCATGGTCTATTAACTGAAACTATTATTACTGGAATATAGGACTCTGTGCTTGCATCCCACAATGCACAAGGTACCTAATAGTCACTTCTTCACTGATTCCATGAAATAAGTAGGAAAAACATAGTTCATAATAACGAAGGGATGCTGTCCACCATTAACGGTGGTGTCAATCTCTCCATAGTCAATAGAGCTTCGTGTCATCTAATCCAAAAGTTAAAGAGGTCAACTAACAGAGATCATTAATGTTTTACTCATGTGAACAAATACCATGACTCTTGACCAATCTTCAGTGTCATACTTCCTTTTTCAGTCAAAGTTTCATCAGGAAGACAGGATCTATACCAGTTATTTTAATAGAGTGAATTTAATATAAGGAATTGGTTAATGGTGTTGGAGAACTGACAAGTAAAGAGAATCCTGAGTTGTCTCAGAGATTGTAACTGCAGGAAGCAGCCACTACCCCTAGGGCTTGGTGGGAACAGGGAGAAGAGGTTTCTGAACCTAGAAGATTGGAGGAGGGTCCCTATGAGGCTGTCACCCATGGCTCTGAGTGGGGAAACTTTCTGGTGGTCCTGATGGTTGAGTGGGTGGGATAAGGATGGTTCCAATGATGTAGGAGGAAAAACAAGAATTGGAACCACCTGCTAGGGAGAACCATTCATGAGAAGACACTAATAGGAATGTTAATAAACAAGAAGGAACACATTCTTCTCTCTCCTCCAGTCTTGCTGCATCCCTCTATTATCCCTTCATGGCAGAGTCTGACAGGGAGCAACCGGCAAAGCAGAAATGCAGCAGAGTGATTTGGGGGCTGAGAGACAAGAGCTTAATAACTGGCACACTTCCTTTTTTCTTCTGAACAGATTACTGTGATTACCCTTGTTTTCAAAGAAAGTATCAGTTTAATCTTTTGAAGCTTGTTGGTAAATACAAAGTCATTACTAAACAAGGGAGTGGGTATTGATGGGTGTCTTGAGTATGCTCAGCTCTAAAAGCAGTTCATAATTTTGAGAGTCAAGGAACCACAGCATGGGGTTTCAAGTCTCTGGCTAGTGGGCATTCTCCTCTTCCTTTGCAATAAAGTTCTCATAAATGCCAATGTCTTGGTTTAAATTGTTGAGCCTGTGGTCTGTTTTCCATACCACTATGAATTACTTCCCAAGACATTTTGCGTCCAGCCTTAGGTTTCTAATGGCTAGGAGCACAGGACATGTGGTTATTGCAGTTTTGAACTTTCTCCAAAGAGATCAGTCCTAGAGTCCTGCCCTTCTCTTTCTGTGTCATTATCACCAAAAGGCAGAAATGAAGGCTTTACACTATGAGCTTGGGCCCAAAATGGGCAGGATCTTTCTGAATGTGGGGTGATCAAGGAATCCTGGAAACTTTGGGGGGTTGTGCATGATCTAAGAGTTCCCTGTTATTGAGCAGAGCATCTGAATAAATTCTTTTGGGAAAAGGTAGCAAGTTCAGATACACATGGTACTCTCATTCAACATGTTGTGCCTAGGACAAAGGAGATACTCAATGACAGATTATCATTAATTTATTGACTACTTTAGGAAATGTTTATTGGATACCTATTGTGTGCCAAGCATTGTTTTAAACCCTGCTTATACAGCAATAACAAAGCAGATGATATCTTGCCCTCATGAGACTTGTATTCTAGTGGAGGAAACATACGATAAACAAATAACAGTGTAATGTGATATCAGGACATGGTAGGTGCTATGCAGAAAAACAAAGCAAAGAAAGGGGTAGCAAGTGACAACCAGGGATTATTTTAGAGAGAGGCCATCTGAGAAGACACCTGATGAAGATGGTGGTGTTTGGAGAAAATTCTCCATAGGTCTTTGCATTTCTTCCCATCTTTTGAGCAAACACATGGCAACATTTGTTCCAGATTATTTTTCCAATGATGTTTGTATAGCAGCCAGCCTTGGAAGATAGAGATGGTGTCTCTCTCTGAGGCAGAAGGCAGATTCATTTCCTGATCAGGATAATAAAGATAATGTCTGCCTCCAGGGCAAAGATTGGGCAGGTTTACATGCAATCAGGGGTTTTCTAAGCCCAGGGTTCCTGGGCTTTGACACAGAGCCACTACATACACAACATCCACCTTTGCATCACCCTATGGGACTCAGGGGCAAGAGATACTGATGTGAACAGAAGGCTCATAAGTCCTTTGTATCTGACCCAGGAGTCTCTACATTCTGCCCGTCTGTAGGGAACTATGGTCGGCCAACCTGTTAGCTTGTAAATAGGGTAACAACTCAAACCCTTCACAGTTTTGACAATTGGCTTAACCTCGAAGACATTGAAGGAGGTCTTTGGTTATCAGGAGTACCAACAAAACCACATTACAGCAAGTGCTCAAGATCAAAATTCTCATTTTGATGAGATTAAAATCAAGAATGTTTTGAAACCTAGGACAACTAAGTAACAGAAAAATTCTTGTAGCTATTGCTAAACATTTCAGGCCACTAAGAAAAGACAAGCTTTGGCTGGGTGTGGTGGCTCATGCCTGTAATCCCAGCACTTTGGGAAGGCGAAGTGGGAGGATCACTTGAGGCCAGGAGTTCGAAACCAGCCTGGGCAACATAGCGAGACCCCATGTCTAAAAAATTAAACTAGATTAGCATGGTGACACACGCTTGTGGTTTGAGCTACTCAGGAGGCTGATGTGGGAGGATCACTTCAGCCCGGGAGGTTAAGACTGCGGTGATCCATGATTGTGCCACTGCACTCTAGCCTGGATGATAGAGTGAGATTCTGTCTCAAAAGAAAAGAAAAGAAAAGAAAAGAAAAGCTTTAAGCATCATCAAACATTTGCTGGATTAAGTTAAGAGGTTCCACAAAAGGCTTAAAACTGCTTATCTAACATTTTTATTTGCTATAAAATGGGTTCTGGCATATATTCATGTACCATTGGGTGAGCCATTCTTAAGTGTTTTTCAAATCTCTTATTTTTGTGCTGTACAATTACGCAGAAGCATAGGAAAAACGTTTGGCAGCCAAGCCCCTTGACAGACCACATCAGGGCAAAGAAGAACAAAATCTCTTCTAGAGATCATATTTAATATCTAAGCAACAGTGACACACAGTTTTTCACAGCAGTTCAGGAGCAACATGGTGGAGTTTGGCCCTCAAAATTTCCCCAAGTCTTTCCAAATTTATAGCTAGTTTGGCTGTATGAAGTGACAAATCTCCAAAAGGGAATAGCAGAATTCAGGCAACAATGTATATCAGGCACCTGATGACTCTTTCTGTGAACAATGTGTTATCTTTCCAGGAATGCTTATTATTCTCCAATAGTTTTTTTTTTAATTTTATTATTATTATACTTTAAGTTTTAGGGTACATGTGCACAACGTGCAGGTTTGTTACGTATGTATACATGTCCCATGTTGGTGTGCTGCACCCATTAACTCGTCATTTAGCATTAGGTATATCTCCTAATGCTATCCCTCCCTCCTCCCCCCACCCCACAACAGTCCCCAGTATGTGATGTTCCCCTTCCTGTGTCCATGTGTTCTCATTGTTCAATTCCCACCTATGAGTGAGAACATGTAGTGTTTGGTTTTTTGTCCTTGCGATAGTTTGCTGAGAATGATGGTTTCCAGCTTCATCCACGTCCCTACAAAGGATATGAACTCATCCTTTTTTATGGCTGCATAGTATTCCATGGTGTATATGTGCCACATTTTCTTAATCCAGTCTATCACTGTTGGACATTTGGCTTGGTTCCAAGTCTCTGCTATTGTGAATAGTGCCACAATAAATATATGTGTGCATGTGTTTTTATAGCAGCATGATTTATAATCCTCTGGGTATATACCCAGTAATGGGATGGCTGGGTCAAATGGTGTTTCTAGTTCTAGATCCCTGAGGAATCGCCACACTGACTTCCACAATGGTTGAACTAGTATACTGTCCCACCAACAGTGTAAAAGTGTTCCTATTTCTCCATATCCTCTCCAGCACCTGTTGTTTCCTGACTTTTTAATGATCACCATTCTAACTGGTATGAGATGGTATCTCATTGTGGTTTTGATTTGCATTTCTCTGATGGCCAATGATGATGAGCATTTTTTTCATGTGTCTTTTGGCTGCATAAATGTCTTCTTTTGAGTAGTGTCTGCTCATATCCTTCGCCCACTTGTTGATGGGGTTGTTTGTTTTTTTTCTTGTAAATTTGTTTGAGTTCATTGTAGATTCTGGATAGTAGCCCTTTGTCAGATGAGTAGATTGCAAAAATTTTCTCCCATTCTGTAGGTTGCCTGTTCACTCTGATGGCAGTTTCTTTTGCTGTGCAGAAGCTCTTTAGTTTAATTAGATCCCATTTGTCAATTTTGGCTTTTGTTGCCATTGCTTTTGGTGTTTTAGACATGAAGTCCTTGCCTATGTCCTGAATGGTATTGCCTAGGTTTTCTTCTAGGGTTTTTATGGTTTTAGGTCTTACATTTAAGTCTTTAATCCATCTTGAATTAATTTTTGTATAAGGTGTAAGGAAGGGATCCAGTTTCAGCTTTCTACATATGGCTAGCCAGTTTTCCCAGCACCATTTATTAAATAGGGAATCTTTCCCCATTGCTTGTTTTTCTCAGGTTTGTCAAAGATCAGATAGTTGTAGATATGTGGCATTATTTCTGAGGGCTCTGTTCTGTTCCATTGGTCTATATCTCTGTTTTGGTACCAGTATCATGCTGTTTTGGTTACTGTAGCCTTGTGGTATAGCTTGAAGTCAGGTAGTGTGATGCCTTCCGCTTTGTTCTTTTGGCTTAGGATTGACTTGGCAATGCGGGCTATTTTTTGGTTCTATATGAACTTTAAAGTAGTTTTTTCCAATTCTGTGAAGAAAGTCATTGGTAGCCTGATGGGGATGGCACTGAATCTATATATTACCTTGGGCAGTATGGCCATTTTCATGATATTGATTCTTCCTACCCGTGAGCATGGAATGTTCTTCCATTTGTTTGTATCTTCTTTTATTTCATTGAGCAGTGGTTTGTAGTTCTCCTTGAAGAGGTCCTTCACATCCCTTGTAAGTTGGATTCCTAGGTATTTTATTCTCTTTGAAGCAATTGTGAATGGGAGTTCACTCATGATTTGGCTCTCTGTTTGTCTGTTGTTGATGTATAAGAATGCTTGTGATTTTCACATATTGATTTAGTATCCTGAGACTTTGCTGAAGTTGCTTATCAGCTTAAGGAGATTTGGGGCTGAACGATGGGGTTTTCTAGATATACAATCATGTCATCTGCAAACAGGGACAATTTGACTTCCTCTTTTCCTAATTGAATGTCCTTTATTTCCTTCTCCTGCCTGATTGCCCTGGCCAGAACTTCCAACACTACGTTGAATAGGAGTGGTGAGAGAGGGCATCCCTGTCTTGTGCCAGTTTTCAAAGGGAATGCTTCCAGTTTTTTTCCATTCAGTATGATATTGGCGGTGGGTTTGTCATAGATAGCTCTTATTATTTTGAGATACATCCCATCAATACCTAATTTATTGAGAGTTTTTAGCATGAAGTGTTGTTGAATTTTATCAAAGGCCTTTTCTGCATCTATTGAGATAATCATGTGGTTTTTGTCTTTGGTTCTGTTTCTCCAATAGTTTTTAACTCAAAATCCAGCTCCACCTGGAGAAGGGCTGGAGTAAGTGGGCAATTATCTGGTCAACTCTCAATTCAACTCAAAGAGAACCAAATCAGCCTGTAACTGCTAGAATGAATTTTATTTTCTTTTCCTCATCTTATTGGTCCAAGCTGATGATGATAATTATGATGCCAGGTGTCTTAGTACATTTAGGGCTACTGTAACAGAATGCCTGAGACTGGATAATTTATAAGGAATGAAAATGTATTTCTCACAGTTTGGGAGGCTGGGGAGTCCAAGATCAAGGATCCAGCATCTGGTGTGTCTTTACATAGAAGAAGGCAGAAAGGCAAGAGAAATAACGAATGCTATGCCCTCACATGGCAAAAAAGTAGAAGAGAAAAAACTTATTCCTGCAAGTCCATTTTATTGTGGCATCAATCCATTAATGTGAGGCCCTCATAACCTAAACACTTCCCATTAGGTCCCACCATTCAACACTGTTGCATTGGGGATTAAATTTCTGACACATGAATTTTGGAGGACACATTCAGTCCATAGCATTAGGGTACTAGAAATCCACTGTATACTACATTAACTGGCATGAAATACATGTCTCCAGTCCTCACTGTTCCCCCTAAAATCCCAAATCATCCTGCATTCACTGTTTACATTTTACATATTAAAGAGGGTAATCAAAAGACAAAAGTTACATAGCTAAAAGACTGGAGTGAGCAGCAACAATGTTATTGAGCCCCGAAAGAAAGTCACCATTATGTTACTGATGGGGGAATATGGCAATCTCAATTTTTTGTTTGTTTGTTTGTTTTGAGACGGAGTCTCAAATCATCACCCAGGCTGGAGTGCAATGGTGCAACCTCGGCTCACTGCAGCCTCCACCTCGCATTCAAGCAATTCTCCTGCCTCAGCCTCCGTAGATGAAATTACAGGCACACGCACTACTAGGCCCAGCTAATTTTTGTATTTTTAGTGGAGATGAGGCTTTACCATGTTGGCCAGGTTGGTCTCGAATTCCTGACCTCAAGTGATCCGCCCACCTTGGCCTCCCAAAGTGCTGGGATTACAGGTGTGAGTCACCATGCCCAGCCATAATGTGGATTTTTAACAGCTTTATTAAGGTATAATTTCATACCATGAAATTTTTGCATTTTAAATGTACAATGCAGTAATTTTTAATAAATTTACTGAGTTTTGCCACCATCCCCACAATCCAGTTTAAGAACACTTCTATCACCCCAAAAAGATCCACAGTACCCATCTGTAGTCAACCCCCATTCCCACCTTCAGCTCCAGGCAACCACTGATCTAATTTCTATCTCTGTAGATTTGCCTTTTCTAGACAGTTCACATAAATGGACGCATACAATATGTGGTGTTTGTATCTGGCTTCTTTCATTGAGCATGTTTTCAAGATTCATCCATAGCAATGTAACATTTTGCTTCAAAGAATTTCACATTCAACCCCTAGCTTTCTTAATGAAATTAACAAGCCATAGGCTACACAAATAAGAGCTGAGTTTGGGTTATTTCCCTAAACTTTAGATTTATATTAATTAAGATTACAATCCATAACAGTTCAAAAGCCATGGAGACATCTTTGTGTCCTAAAGTTCAAGGCCACAGACTTGGTTCCATAACATGATAAGAGGATCTATGAGTGTTATGTTAGAGCTAACACTGTTTCTATTCCTGATACAGAAACACCTTCATCACTGAAATGAAGATGGATTTTGAGTGATCAACCCCCCAAGTACCACTATCCTCTGATTTCTTTTTAGGTAGACAATTGAATCATTTGTTTAGGATAATTAGCAATGCAAATCCTGCTGGATTTCAGAATCAGTTACATGGACAGAATAACACTTTCCTCTTAAACACATGTGTATGTACATATGGAAATACACACACACACTCCTTGCCTCTGCGATTAGTTCACTTTTATGTAGTGTAGCCATCCCACTACCACTTCCCCAACTCCATCCCCACATTGTATTTTTCTCTTGCCAACTTGGTTAAGCTGGGAGCTACATTAGTCAGTGTCTTACTTAGAGTAGGCTAACTGATCATCAGTGTGTACATATTATTTTATTTTTAAAGAGCTCTCCTTTTAAAATTGAAATATGTATACATTTTATATATCAGCAAAATAGTAAATATGGGTTATTCTTAGATGTGTCTAGATCCAGCCTTTTTGTATCTTCTCACCACTTGGATAAACAGAACTCTGGGAAAGTGTGCATGAACCCAGCCTCACTATTAAAAAAAAAAGTGTGCATGAACCTAGCTTCACTATGAAGCCTTCATTGACGTCCTTGATTCTCTGAGAGGGAAAGCTATCAAAGCATCTGAAATAGTCATAAATAGTACCAAGAAAAATAATTGGTTACCTTTGTTCTATCCTGTGGGTAGGGCCAACAGCCAGCCAGTCTATGTAAATCACAATCAAGAAAACAGTAAATCCATTTATTGTCTCTGGAGTGGTTCTCTATGTGTCACATTGGCATGGGAAGTCTTGGACATGGTAGAAAAGGCCAGCTTAGAAAAATGACATGAGTTAGGATTTAGACACCAGTGTGGATGTGTGTCTATGCAAATTAATTCAGGAGCCAATAAGATGTTGGGCAGAAAAGGACCAACAAGTAAACACTTGAAGATTGCAGGAACAAGCTAGGACTCGGGACCAATGGATAGGACAGTCAAGGGGACAGGGATCTAGAGAGGTAAGCAAGTACAACTAAAACACCAGTGACTGCTGACCTAATTCAGAAACTTCTCTTAACCTATGTGTTCCATTTATATTTTCTACCTGTCTTAATCTTTTTTGTGTTGCTATAAAGGAATATCTGTGGCTGGGTAATTTATAAAGAAAACAGGTTTATTTGGCTCATGATTCTGATGGTTGGAAAGTTCAAGATTAGGCATCTGCATCTGATGAGGGCCTCAGGCTGCTTCCGCTCATGGCAGAAGGCAAGGGAGAGCCAGCAGCATGTGCATAGATCACATGGCAAAAAAGAAAGCAAGGGGTGGAAGGCAGTGACAGGCTCTTTTTAACAACCAGCTCTCATGGAAAATAATGGGGTGGGAACTTACCCCTGAGGGAAGGCATTCATCTGTTTATAAGGGATCCACCCCCATCACCCAAACACCTGCCACTAGGCCACATCTCCAACATTGAGATCAAATTTCAACATGAGATTTGGTGGGGACAAACGAAGGATATCCAAACCACGGCACTACCAGAACTTGTGACTCTTTGTGGGTGTATTAGGGTCCATTCATGGATGCAGAACCACTAAGAATTTTTAGCATAAGGGATTCATGAGAGGAATTACACATTACATAATTTTGGTGGGGGAGAGTTGGTTAGGTAAGTGAAGATCCAAAGGGAAATTTGGAGGATCATCAGAGGACGCACTAACCAAGGAACCTTAGAAACCAAGCTCTTCCAGCAGCTTAGTGTCCAGAATGCAATGGGGGAGATGGTGGTGAGATCTAAGGGAGGCAGCCGCCTCTGGTTACCACCCTTCTGGATCTGCAGACCAGCATCTGGTAGTGGGCCTGAGACTGTTGATGGTCAGCAGCCTAGAGTTAGGGAAAAAAGCTAGATGCAGGTGATAGAGAAGCAGGATAAACTGGGAGCTGCTGGGCACCTCCATGTCTGTCCCTCACCCTCTTTGGCCTCAAAATCTTCCAAGGTTAAGGGCTGCTTCTTTGCTTCTGCCCTTCAAATCTCACACAAGTTCTTCCATTGACCTACTCTAACCTAGAACCACACAGGGAAGGGTCTTCTGGGAAATGGAGCTGCCAGATTCACCACATTGAAAAGAGAACCATCTAGAATAGTGAGAGAACGGCAACAGCTAGCTGACAAGAGAAAATGTGAAATAATCACAGGGGCAAGTAGACTAAATTTTTTTTATCATCTGGCTCAGAAAAGCAGGCTGACATTATAGCAGAGATCCACAACTTCTCTATAGTCTGCACTGAACTGGACTTAGAATGGAAACGTCCTGGATTCTGGGGAAAAAATAATACAGATATGATTATCAAGGCAGTTCTGTAAAAATCATCAGTCAATCAAGTCAAATATGATTCTCTGAGGTTCTGCCAGTTTCAACCAAAATTGGACTTACAGCAGGGGTTGGCAAACTGTGACCCTCTGGCCAAATGTGTCCTGCTTCCTGTTTGGTAAATAAAGTTTTATTGGTACACAGCCATGCCCATTTATTCCCATATTGTCTGGCTGCTTTCATGCTACAATGCCAGAGTTGAGTAATTGCAACAAAACCATCTGGCCTGTTTGCCAGCCTCTGTCTGAAGCATACTATGAACAATAAAGGTAGTCACAGAAGGGTTGGAGGTAGCTAGTGCCAGATCCAAGAGAGGGTGCGGGAGGACAGGGCAGGCAGGTGAGCTAACAAGGGCAGACAATAATGGTATCTTAGTTAGGGTAGGCTAACTGCTGTAATAAATGGACTAAAAAAATGAATAATGGTTCAAACACAGCAAAAATGTATGTCTCCCTCCTATAGTAGTCCAGAAGGGGTAAACAGCTTACAAAGCCTCTGCTATTTTCAACATGTAGCTTCCAAGGCCACCCCAGAGGTGGTCTCCATTCAAGCCAAGTGGAAGAACGTGGAGAAACATACATGAGAGATGTTATGGGTCAAGCCTGGAAGTAATGTTCATCACTTCTGCTTCCATTCTCATAGCTCAAACTCACTCTTATGGCCACATCTAATTGCAAGGAAGGCTGGAAAATTTAGCCATGTGCCCAAACTTAAAGTTTCACTTGTGCCCAGAGAGAAAAAATAATCATGGATTTTGGTGTTCAGCTAGTATTCATCTGCCACAAAGAGCTCCCACGTATGATGCTTCATATATACTTATTAACTCACATAATCCTCCCTGCAACAACCCTGAAAGGCAGGAACTGTCAGTATCCCCTGTTTTCACGTATGAGGCACAGAGAAGTGATGTAACTTGCCCAAAGCAATACAAGTGCTTAGGGTTGGAATCCTGGCACGTGAGTACCATGAGTCATACATGGGTTAACTGTCCCATGCCATCTCTCTGCATAACTAAAAATGTGAGGCAGAGGCAGTGGACAGAAGCCACAAAGCTGGACCAGCAGAGGATCAAAGCTGAGAGTAGCAATTCCAAGGGGAACTGGGAGTGTTTGGAGGGTCAGGAAGAGCATGAAGGGCTCCTAGCTAATCCAAGAAGAAAATGTCACAAGTGACCTTCCAGAAATTTACCATTTTCTCTTTAGGGTGGTTTCAAAAGCCAAAGCAAGTGAGGGAGAAGGGGAAGGGCTGGCTGAGCTGAGGTGAAGGGCCAACAATTGGGTTTCTGTCACAAAAAGAGGTTGTGTTGACTGGGCCAGAGCTTCTTAAACTGTGATGCGCACACAAATCCCCTGGGGATCTTGTTAGCCTACGGATTCGGATAGAGTGGGGCTTGAGATTCTGCATTCCTAAGAAGCTTCTAGGAGGTACTGATGCTGCTGGTCCATGAGCCACACTTTAAGTGCTAAAGAACCAGGCAAATGGGAGCAAAGTCGATTTTAAATGGCAACTATGGCTTTGAGGCAGCCCTACTAGGGGGATTCTCTTCAGGGTTCAAATGGGGCATAGCTTTAGATGAGATGGGATTTGGGGGTAGGAGATTCTAAAACCAACCTCCCAGCCAAACCATGACATTCAGTGGCCAGAAAGCTCTATGCCTGAGACTGTGTCTCATCAACAAAGACCTCAAACCAGCTGCCAAGGCTCTCTCTCCTGATTTCCAGGCCTGAGAATGGAGGGAGATGACCAGGAGAACATGGAGAGCTCATGTTTGGGGGAGAATGAGGGAGTCTGAGCTGAACTTTGTGGCCATTTCAGACACACACACACACACACACACACACACACACACACACACACAGAGTCAACATTTATGGAACTAACTTTATTGAGCAGTTACTAGGTAAAAGCACCATTTCTTATACTTATGTGTACAGTCTATAAGGATACATCAAACAGTTAACAGTGGTTGTCTCTGGGTCATGAAATTTGAGGCAAAAGAGTTTTTTGGACTTTCTATTTTAGACAGTTCTGTGTAATTCTGGGTCATTACACATACACTGAGGGTCAGAATACACCACCTGGGCTACCCCAAATATACCAAGCTTCTCCTGCTTCTATTCCTCTGGACAAATGCCTTGGCCTAGAACTCCCTTGCCCACCTGACAAATTCCTACTCTGTTTTCAGGTCCAGCACCCGTGCCATCTCCTCTAGGAAGCTGCCTTGGTGAAGTTCAAAGCTGAATCCAGGCTCCACAATCACAATATCCCATTCACCCTATCATGACACATTCTTACCACAGTCTATTGCAATATTTGAGTCTTTTCTGCTATGTCTTCCACTGGATGGTGAGCAACTTGAAGGCAGAGGATTTTTTTTCCTTCTTTCCTGAATGTCTAGCTCCCAGCTTAGGGCCTGGTGAATAGTAACCACTTAATCCGTGTTTTTAATGAATCGCTGTATGGATACACACACACTTATCATGCACTGTGGGTCTAGTTTTTAGCTGCTATCATCTGATTTTGGAATTTGCGGGCCATGCTGTGACCCAGGCCAGGGCTGCAAACTGTGGTCATGATGGTTTACCACAACCTGTGATCTGGGCCAACTTCCTAATTAGGGGTAAGACTGCTGGAGTTACCACTTACAGGGCATTGAAATGACTTAGCAAACCCATACTTAGGGTCTTGTATTTGATTTTCAACAGTCACATAGCCCCAGCTAGAGGTGAACTTGAAGTAGCATTGTCAGGCTCACAATTTGTTCAGGACCTCGCTTTGCTAGTGACCTACATTCCCCATCTGTAAGTAATTTAAATTCACCTGGCGTTCTGTTAGGAGAAGGTAACTGAGTCGTGTTAAGGCAGACTGCCCCAGCCCTCACCACTGGAGAGATCTGTCTCAGCAAATCCTCCCTGAGAGACTAGCTCTCATCCTCTCTGAGCCTAGCCATGGGGGTAAAGTGCTGGCAGGCAGCCTTGTTTTCTGGCTCTCTGCAAAAAGCAAGCTGAAAAGAAAGAAAGTCTGTTTGCAGAGGAAGGAACCTATAGCAAAAATGGCAGAGATAAACAAGCTGGCACACAGCCATACTTATTTTGAGTGATACAAATCCTTGGGGATCACAGCCTTAGACACATAGAAAGTAGCTAAGAAATACTGAGCAGGCCTAGCATTTTGCATGTCTGCGAGCCAAATCATACTTCATTATCCTCAAAATTGTCTAAGGCGGCACTGTCCAAGACAGTAGCCACTACCATCATGTGGCAATTAAAATTTAAATTAATAAAAGTGAAATAAAATTAAATACTCAGTTCCTCTGTTGCACTAGCCATATTTCAAGTGTTCAGTAGCCACATATGGCTAGTGGCTACCATATTGGACAGCACAAATATAGAACATTTCCATCATCACAGAATGTTCTATTGTACAGCACTGGTCTAAGAGTGAATTATATTTTGTGCTCTTTTCTCTTCACTAAATATACCCAGTGAGCCTTTTTTTTTCCTGGTCATTTTCCCCAGCTTCTGAGGGGGCCTTGCCTATTAAGACCCATTCTCAGAATTGAATGGAAGGGACCAAGGAATGACTTAGCAGGCAAACCCCATCATATGAGTTCATTGTTTTCAAGTTCTGTTATTTCCAGCAGAACATCCCCCACTGCCTTCACCACTGGCTCACGGGGTCCCAGCAGCCCCAGCCAGCTTCACTCTTGCTATTTCCACCAGGACACATTTCACACAAATGAAAGCAGGATTCGTAGAGTGAAGGAAAACGATGAACTTCTGGGATGAGGTTTTAACAACATTTCCAAATGTGAGGCGTAGGCTATTCCTCTGAGTCTCAGATGGCATGGTTTCCAGCATTTTGAAGGCAGCTTTGAATACCTCTGGATATTTTATAGGCTGAGGAAATTGAGGCCTCATTTTATACCATATTATAAAGGATCTCCCAGAGTGGAGTAGAAAATAAGTTCAGATTCGAAGCAGATTTTCCTCGAATGGCCATTCCCTCATTTTTAAAGAAAATATGTGCACCATCACCATAGTCAGGGCACAGTTAGGAGTAAGGAGAATGAAAAGAGGAATTGATTAAGAGGAATGGCTTCTTTTAAAATGTCATTTTCTTAAAATATGGTTTATACAACGTATATGTGTATGTACATGGAAAAAGTGTACTTTTTTGTTTGTTTCCGGGATCCCCGTTAATATCAAGAAGACACTAGAGACAATGATGAATCAGACATCAGCGAGAACCCTAGAAATCTAGAAACAATGGTCAGTTTGGACGCTGCTAAGCAGACAGACCTGAGTTACTGCAGATTTAAAAGGCATTAAGATGCCTCAGTTTCCCCAAGTGATCCTCTTTTGGGAAGTCCTAGATGAAAACAATTTGGAAAAGCCACTGACCAAAGTAAAAGCATGTTGTACCCCATTTCCTCCACCAACAGCCATGTTCTTTTAAAATTACTGGATATTTCATCAGTACATCTAGAAAACAATAGTGTCTATCTGTTGTTTTTTGTGTTTATACCAGGCTATCCTCCAATAATGGATTTAAATATAAATCATTGCAAATATAAAACATTGCAAATTTTTTAAACTCATTGATTGCTATACATGTATCAATCATTACAAATATATCAATTGCTACATGTGTGTTTTTTATACATTGTATCAAATGTATTGATTATTACAAATGTACTTTTAAATGTATTGATTGGAACAACGTTTAAACACAAGAGATAAGGTTACATTAAAAAAGTAAGTTAGTCTGGGTAGGGCCTTTGGCACATATAGCTACAGTTAACATTAAACATAGCCCACCTCCTAGCCAAATTAACATAAAGCCTTACACTGAAAGCCTAATTAACTCAGTTTTTATTACCAGATATATCATGATCACTTCCAACAAAAAAAATTATGAGATAAGCTAAAGGCAAGGAAAAAATACAGTCTAAAGAGACAAAACAAGCATCAGTATCAGACTTAGATGTGATTCAGATTTTGAAATTATCAGATAAGAAACTTAAAACAAATATTATTGATATATTAAGGGCTCTGAACTTGGCCAGGCCCAGTGGCTCATGCCTGTAATCCCAGCACTTTGGGAGGCTGAGGCGGGAGGATTGCTAGAGCCTAGGAGTTCCAGACCAGCTTGGACAACACAGTGAACCCTTGTCTCTACAAAAAAAAATCAAAAAATTAAAAATAGCCACATGTGGCGGCACACACCTGTGGTCCCAGCTACACAGGAGGCTGAGGTGGGAGACCACTTAAGCCCAGGAGATCAAGGCTGCAGTGAGCCGTGTTCATGCCACTGCACTCCAGCCTACCTGACAGAGAGAGACTCTATCTCAAACAAACAAAAAGTAAGTGAAGAAATTAGGTAAAGAAAAATAAGAAGCAGCCAAGAGTGAACTACTCAACATGCATACTGTGGCCAAAATTTAGGCTCTAAGCCTTCAAGCAGCCAACTCAAAGAGAGAGACATAGGCAGTTACTTGATTCAGCATCCAGAAAGCATAAACTAATTCTTAGTTCTTTTCTCCCCTAGTCCTAGCAAAGAGGATGGGGCAAAAGTGCCTAACAAGGACCTCATCAACACCCCTGTGAAAAATAAACAAGTTTGATCCGTTTGTTCTTCTAGTAAGGCCAATGCAAATATGCAACTCCGAAAGTTTCGAAAGACAATTCTTAGGCAAAGAGCTTGGAAATCAATATATCTTTGTCCAGTTAAACAGCTTCCTTTTTATTTTTTTTCTATACAGGGTCTCACTGTGTTGCCCAGGCTGAAGTGCAATGGCATGATCACAGCTCACTGCAGCCTCTACCTCCTAGGCTCAAGTGACCCTCCCATCTCAGCCTCCTGAGTAGCTGGGACCACAGGTGCCTGCCACCAAGCCTGGCTAATTTATTATTATTTTTTATTTTTGTAGATACACAGTCTCCCTATGTTGCCCAGGCTGATCTGGAACTCCTGGGCTTAAGTGATCCTCCCACCTGCACCTCCCAAAGTGGTGAGATTACAGGCATGAGCCATTGTGCCTGGCCTAAACAGCTTTCTGATAGATTGTTTAGTACAAGGATCAATTGTAAAGCTGTGATTCTTGGTCTAGACAGGGAAATGAGGGGGCCTATTTGAATCAACTGGAAAGCTTCTTCAAACTATGTAAGTACCACTCCCTTCCTTTTGACAGGTTTCCATGAAGCGTGTCCCCAAATGTATTACCATGACTGTGTAGTGAATCCCTTACGTGTGCTAGGGTGAGGACCTCATGGAAAATGGAGGTGTTCATGAAAGGGTAACCATGTGCAGACATAAGAGCCACCTAATTCCAAATTCATCTGTCTAGACTCCTTCCTAAACCTCAGAATTAATGACCCTTGGATGAAGCCATAACATACGTACTCTTAACTGCCTTATCAGTTGATTCTGATGCAAAACACCTTTGAGCAGTGCTAACCTAGAGCAATGGATGGACCATATACTATTTGGCCAAGCTTCTCTAAATATTTTTCTCAAGAAAATGTTTCAAATAGAAGAAATTCCAAATTATACTCCCTAGTGAGCATACCTGGAGTGCCACTCCGTCCTTCCAGTTAATCAGTCCTGTGATACATTTAACAGCTAGATTGCCCCAACATGGCAGATGTGGCTGCTGATTCAACTAGGGGAAACCAACAAAAAGGCGTTCCTAGCAGACAGCAGCCTGTCTCTTCTGCCTACCCATGTGTCTCTGGACACAGCTAAAATATTCTGTTGGTCAGAATCCAGATTCCATCTGTGTTTTTTAGGTCCTTGACCTTTTGAGGCACCCTGTGTTTTGAGAAGCTGCTTTTATACATCTAAGCCCTGCTCAAAATGCCTTTGAGATAATATGAAATTGTATATCTGGTGCCCAAAACAAATTGGACACATAAAAGTCTCAGTGCTTACTGAAGTGATTTAAATTAAACTCATATATAATAACAATATATAAATAATAATGATAGAATGATACTCACTCTTATTAGATAATATATATGGGAGACTACCCACCTGGCCCAGGTAATTTGGCATGCCTTAAGATTCCTGAACTTACCCAAAATAATACAATTTCATTTCTTAAATATAAAAGCAGGACAAGAAGAAAAAGAAAAAGAAAGGTAGAACAACGCACAACCCTTAGGTAGCTGTGGAGGCGACAAAACAACATTGGCTTGGGTTGCTCCTGACAGATGCGTGGAAAAGGTTCAAAAATTTTTCTACTTTACAGCCTGGCCCAGCCTCTGAGTGTCCCAGAGATATTTTCATTAGAGCTCTTCTTCCCTTGTTGCTACCTAGTTATTAAAACATTATTCCCGAGCCAGGCAGTGGCATGTGTCTATAGTCCCAGCTACTAAGGAGGCTGAGGATCCCTTGAGGCTAGGAGTTCAAGGCCAGCCTGGGGAACATGTGGGACCTTGTCTCTAAAAAAGGGGGGAAAAAAAGGAATAAAAAAGAAAACATTGTTCCTGGAAATGGTAGTGGGACGTAACAGGGAGATAAGGACTTAAGGGGAACCAGCTGATGGCGGGTCTGGCTGAGGGGAATATGATCAGGAACTGGTTTCTCTCCACCAAAGATGAGCAGCACCCAACTTGTAATGGCTTGTGGGAAATGCAAAGATGCCTCTGAGGGCAACACTCAGTCACAGCCAGTATAAATAACCCTGACTTTCATTGCAAAACAGTTTTCACTTAAGAAAGATATACTTTTATTTTATTTGACTTTCTGTTTGAGCTGCATAGCTCAGGAATTACTCGGGATTAGGGCGGTATATTTTTTTCTTCCTCTAAGGGCTTATAAGGAAATCTAAGGGCCTACATCTTTTGCTGGGAGGTTATCTCTGTTAATATTTGGGATAGCTAATGCCTGTTGGCAGAGGAGGTGGGAAGAGATGTGTTTCATTTTTCCTTTCAAGAGGCAGGCCCAGGATTCTGGTGCTACTTACAATAAAAATTCCTTTGATGAAAGATGGGTGGAAGGACATTCCATTCCATTCAATTTCCTATTCCTATTTCAAAGAAAATAACCCGATTTGCAGGAAAAAAGAGAGCATGTATAGTGATATGGTTCATGAGAAGTCATTTGAAGTTCCTATATTTACTATCTTAAAGACTGCTGGAAGAAATAACCATAAAAGAGTCATAAACATATTGACCTGCACGTATTTCACTTCATTTCATACTTTTGAAAAATATAAAAAAGATCTATGTTCTGGCCCTCACTTATAGTCCGCAACAGAACTGTGACTTCTGGGGGCTGGGCACAGTGGCTCATGCCTGTAATCCCAGCACTTTGGGAGTCCGAGGCAGGTGGATTGCTTGAGGCCAGGAGTTTGAAACCAGCCTGGGCAACATGTCTAGGCGAAACCCTGTCTCTATTAAAAATACAAAAAAAAAAAAAAATTAGCCAGGTTTGGTGGCGTGTGCCTATAATCGCAGCTACTCAGGAGGCTGAGGCATAAGAATCGATTGAACCCAGGAGGCAGTGGTTGTAGTGGGCCAAGATCATGCGATTGTGCCACTGCACTCCAGCCTGGGCAACAGAGCAAGACTCTGTCTCAAAAATTAATTAAGTAAATAAATAAATAAATAAAGGAACTGTGACTTCTGCACCAACTGCAAACAATATCCTTAGAAGGATTTAACTTCGTACTTCAAGATTAGAATTTTTAATTTTTAGAAACTATTTTCACTGTAGAATAACACACTTATACACTGCTGGTGGGAGTGTAAACTAGTAAAACCCTATGGAAAACAGTGTGGAGATTCCTTAAAGAACTAAAAATAGATCTACCATTTGATCCAGCAATCCCACTAACTGGGTATCTGCCCAGAGAAAAATAAGTCATTATATGAAAAAGATAGTTGCACACACATGTTTACAGAAGCACAATTTGCAATTGCAAAAATGTGGAACCAGCCCAAATGCCCATCAATCAACAAGTGATAAACTGTGGTATATATATGATGGAATACTACTCAGCCATAAAAAGGAGTGAATTTATGGTATTAGCAGCAACCTGCATGGGATTGGAGATTATTATTCTAAGTGAAGTAACTCAGGAATGGAAAACCAAACATCAAATGTTTTCACTCATAAGTGGGAGTTAAGCTGTGAGGATGGAAAGGCATAAGAATGACACAATGGACTTTGGGGACTCTGGGGGAAAGAGTGAGAAGGGGGTGAGGGATAAAAGACTACAAATGAGGTTCAGTGTATACTGCTCGGGTGATGGGTGCACCAGAATCTCACAAATCACCACTAAAGAACTTACTCATATAACCAAATAACACACGCACACACACAAAGAATTAGCCTTGCTGTCCACATCATGGTTTTTCTTTTTCTTTTTTTTCTGCCTATGGGAAGTGGGAGCCCCAAGTGTCCTGAATGGCTACCAGTCTACGGACTTCCCTAGACCCAGCCATGATTGTCCAGTTCCTACCACATGGCTGCAGTCTGTACGTCCTCTTCAGCTTTCCAGATCTAGTGTAAGCTAGTCCCCCTTCTCCTGGAAACTGGGCCCCATCCCTGAATGCTCTGCTGCTGGTGAGAGCCCCACTCTACCCTGAAAATCCAAGAAAACCATGATGCTACTCTTTTCCTGATTTGCCCATCCTACAGCCTAGCAAAAACGAATCATGCCCAAAACTCGTTAGAGCAAATTTAGGCTTTTCTTCATTGCCTCCCCACTTTCCCCCATATTGATGCTTTAATCAAGTCCAATTCACCAGGCTACTCTAAACACTGTAACTTGGACTGCTGGCTTTCTCTCCAGAGTACGACAGGCCCAATTTTCACCCACTGGCCCATGTTACTGAAATCCCAATATGCCCATGGCTGGTTATGACATGCCCTAAACTGTAGGCCTCTTGATGGCATAAATAAGACATACCTCAGTCCAGTTTTCTCGGTACCTAGCAAAGAACCTGGTACAAAGTTAGTGCTCCAACAGGGTTTATGAAAGAGAATTTAAATCAGATGCCATACAGCAAAACATAAAATGCTATGTATAAACACTATTATTATGAGTCAGTATTATGCCAAACTCATTTCATCCAGCCAAGTATAATCATGTAGTTAGCCAGAACACTCCTCACCAAACCCTTATGTAACTGGCTTTTAAAAATATTCTGCTTTTTCATTTTTAAAAAGAAGCAGGTAATAATAAAATAGATCATTTATAACTGCCAACTTGTAATCATCTGGGGAGCTTTTAAAAAATCCTGATGCATCGATTTCACCCCTATCCCCACGCCCGGCCAAAATTCTGATTTCATTGGTCTGAAATGAGCCCCGGGCATCAGAATTTTTAAAAACTCCCAAGGCGAGTAAAATATGTGGCCAGGGGTGAGAACTGCTGCTTTAGGGGCAGCTTCCCAAACTTTAATGTGAAAAGAAAAAAAATCACCTGGGGCTTTGTTAAAGTGCAAATTCTGATTCTATAAATCTCAGTTGGGGCCCAATTCAGCACTGTCTACCAGAATTAAAATTGCCTGTGCGCTCTGACCCAGAAATTCCCCAACTAGTTATTTCTCTCATGGACATACTCACACATATGCATAATATCAAATATATGTAAAATTCATTACAGTGGAGTTTATGTAACACCCTAAATATCTGTCAGGAGAGGACTGTTTAAGTAAATGATGGTGCACCCATAAAATGCCATGGAAGACTTTATAACCTTAAAATATAATTGGAATAATCTGTAAACTACAATGTTAAATGAAAATAAGAGTAGAAGCAGGGTAAATATTTACAAACATATTTTTATAAATACACAGACTAAGGAAAGGTCTGAAAAAAAAGGTAACAGTGGTTATCTTCAGGGAGAAAAATTGAGGGACTGATGTCACATAGAAAACTAAATATAATAATCCAGATTTAGTAGGTAAAGGTGATTAGTATTATTGTAAGGGGGTGCAAGGGACTATTGCTCTAGGCAGGATACACCAACAGTAAGATCTGCAAGCTTCTCAAGGTTTAGGCAAAAATGACTTTTCTTTTATAGGAATGAGTAAATCAAGCCAAAAATGAGCAGGGGTGGGCAGTGGGATGAACGAGAGTGGCATCGTGGAACAGCAGATCAGAGAAGGTTTTACCCCCAGGCCAGCTTGTTCTCTGGAGTGGCTGGTTTAGACTGCGGCTGGGCCAGAATGTCAGAGTCTTGGGGAAAGAGCATTTTGTCCCGATTGATCAGCAGGGACAAAAGAGCTCAGCTAGTCATTTTTAAGGAAAAGAATAGAAATTTGGAGAATCTGTATCTGGCTTTGTACTAGGTAAACGAGGGGGGGTTATCTAAATCATCATATGAGGAAAGGTGGTTCTTTGCAATAGTCATTTCCTGCAACACAAAAAAAGTGGGTGAGGGGGTTTCTGAGCCTTCTGCTGTTTTCCAGGTGTGTAGGGCTCAGGTAAGGCTCCATATTGTCACTGGAGAGAGAAGGAGCAGTGGTTTCCATGGCATGTCCTTTTCTCCTTTAAAAATTTTTTCTACCAGGCCGGGTGCAGTGGCTCATGCCTGTAGTCCCAGCACTTTGGGAGGCCGGGGGTGGGGGGTGGGGGGGTCACCTGAGGTCAGGAGTTCGAGACCAGCCTGACCAATATGGTGAAACCCCGTCTCTACTAAAATTACAAAAATTAGCCAGGCGTGGTGACATGCGCCTGTAGTCTCAGCTACTTGGGAGGCTGAGGCAGGAGAATCACTTGAACCCGGGAGGTAGAGGTTGCAGTGAGCCGAGATCACACCACTGCACTCCAGCCTGGGCAACAGACAGAGACTCCATCTCAAAAAAAAAAAAAAAAAAGAAAAAAAAGACTACCTAACATACATTTAAATTTTAAACAAATACTATATTTTAAATGAATAAACAGTTTAAGACCACAAATTCTGGAAACCTCTTTTCTTGCTACAGTTTAAAATTCTTCCAAAATGGCTTTGCATGTAGAGAGAAGACTTGGGCAGTGTTCATTGAAATTTTGGGGAAAGTGCTGAGAGCCAAGAAGCATTTCCAGTGCTTCGATAACTCGGTTCTGAGTTTCGCTCCTACAGATAGATGTCAGGGGGACTATGTGGGCGAAGCCAGCATACCACATTGAAGAAACACCCCCTATCTCTCCCTGGGTTTAATTTCACAGCCAGGCATTGAAGTCCATTCCCACAAATGTGCCGAGTTTTGTAATCTCCACTTCTCATACAAACTAGAAGAACAAACCATGAAATAAGAGACAAACTCTGGCCCAAATACATGCAAATAAAGCATTCCTATTCCTCTGCTCAAAGGGATTTTGCTGAAGCACTGCAGTTCTGTCACATGGAGCCCTTGTAAGGGCACAGGAGATTAGCAGAGTTGGGGAATTTTCTCTCACCACTGGGGCCTGCTATTGTTCCCATTTATATTTTTGGCTTCAGTTGGCAGCCTCCTTTTACTATTCCTTCATCGCTTGCACCTGCTCCATCATATTTTGGCCCTGGCTTTTTGCCCTACAGGTGCTTAGGTAATGTTTACACACCCAAAGATGCAGGCCTTATCAGAACTCATGTTGCACAGTGTTAACTTGATCTGCCTCTTCTGAGCACCTGAAACTTGATTTCAGTTGCCAAAATTCACCAGTCCAATTATTTTTTAACCACAATTGAAAGAGTTACATTACCAACAATATTGCATGAAAACAGAAAAGTTACTTCAGAATAATTAAATCCACCTTTGGGAAAATGAACTATACACAGCTTTATAAATAGTTAACTTAAGCAAAAAGATTAAGGCAGGACTAGAGATGGGCTAGTTGTGACAATTCCCAAATGGACCTCAGTGGAAAGGGGTGATTTGTAAACATGAGGGCTGTTAAAATACACCTTGCAGATGTCTAACTGCAAGGAGCTGAAGTGACTGACGGCCCCAGCTGCTGCCTCTGAAATTCATCACAGCATTTGTGCCAAGGCCACCCCTCCCATGCCTTGCCCTTGCTGATGACTGAGTGTGGTGGGTACTAAGCCAGCCCATTACTGGGATACACAAGTTTCCTCTAATGGAAGATTCTGACTTCAAGACTTCCAGGCAGCTCTGCCAAACCTTCCTTTTGTCTGCTTAGCAGTCGGATTCTTTCACCAAACTTCTCTTCCTCACTTGGGGTCAGACTTGCATTGAAGTCTGATGGCAATGTAGCTTCCCCAGTTCTGTCCCCCAGTTTCTCCTTTTGTGGTTCCATACAAATTTTAAGATTGTTTTTTCTATTTCTGTGAAAAATGCCATTGGTATTTTGATAGGGATTGCATTGAATCTGTAGATTGCTTTGGGTAGTATTGTCATTTTAACAATATTAATTCTTCTAATCCATGAGCGTGGTATATCTTTCCATTTATTTGTATCCTCTTCAATTTCTCTCATTGATGTTTTGTGGTTTTTCTTGTAGAGATCTTTCCCCCCCTTGGGTACATTTATTTCTAGGTATTTAAAAAAACTGTTTTGGTAGCTATTGTAAATGAGATTGCCTTCTTGATTTCTTTTTCAGCTAGTTCACTGTGTATAGAAAATGCTACCAACTTTTCTATGTTAATTTTCTATCTTATAACTTTACTGAATTTATCAGTTCTAAGAGCTTTTTGGTACGGTCTTTAGGTTTTTCTATATATAAGATCATGTCATCTGCAAACAGGGACAATTTGACTTTCTCCTTTCCAATTTGGATGCCTTTTATTTTTTCCTCTTGCCTAATTGCTCTAGGTAGGCCATCTCTCCTTTTACACAACCTGGAAATGCTGGCCACCATCCCCTGTTAATTTCGGCATGTCTTTTGTTTCTCTTTAGACTGCATAATTTGGGGACATTCTGGGTTTTGCCTTTGTAAGTTGCAGTAAAGTCACTGAAGAGGGTTTAATTTGCAGGATATTTGAAGTAGCAATGTATAGGTTTAAAATAACGCAAAAAAGTTCCCCCAGCACAGAAGTCACTTACTCAATAATTCAGTGTCTCCCACTCAGATATACCTACTGTCTGTTTTGCTACTTAACCACTTTATGCTCACGAGTGTGGGCTACACAAATACAGGTCATATCTCACTTCAGTTCATTGCAACTTATTTTGTTGGAACATTGCTACATCAAATATTCAATTGTATTAGTAGAAAATAGTTCAAATTCAAGACCCTGTTTACTTTTGAAAATGAATCATCTCTATGTAGGAAACTGGTATCAATATTGTCTCTACGAAGGGATATTGCGTGACTAGGGGATGGGGCAAAATGGAGGCTGACTTTTCACTTATACAACTTGGAAACTTTTGAATTTTGTACTGAGGATTTTTTTTTCAAGTTCTTAGACAACAAAATGGATTAGCTCATGACAAAAAATCAAATAATGAGAATGTAATTCTTCTTGCATTATTTAGATGTTTGGCTTTACCTAGCTGATTTCATTCTATGCTTGACCTGCTGGAATCAAAGCTGGATGGTGACAATCCTGATGAACTCTGCCGCTAACTCGACTTACCAACCACCATTTCTCTGCCTTAATGCCTTTCTTTTTGTGATAATGTAGAATTGAATTCTCACTTTCTGCCTCCACTCATTTGTTTCTGGGAAAAGGAATTAATTTAACTACTTTTATCCCCAGTGATTGTTAGCTTTCAGTTAGACAGCAAAGTCTTTAGAAAGCCCACATATATGTATATGCACAAAAGTACCTGAAGAGAAATGAACTACTTGTAACATTACAATGCTCTTCCCATTTAAAAAGTAAAATATTCCTAGATGTCTTTAAAAGCTGATGGCTTCTTAAGAAGAGAAAACAGAGAGAAGTACATTTCTAAACCAACATGTGGAAAGCATTATAGACCAAAGGGTGAAAAAGTCCTGAATGACATCCAGGATATCACCCTGGTTATGATTATAAACACTTAGGAAATAAGAGACTAAATTACCTATGTCTAAATGCAGCAATATGAAGCTCTCAGCTTTTGGACAGAAGTGAGCAAATATATTTTTTTCATTCCAAAGCCAGTAATTTATATTTAGCATATTTCCAAGCTGAAACTAACATTCTCATCACATTTATTCATGAAAATGACAAACAATCAATTTCCTGGTGAATGAGAAGACCTCCCAGCATTCAATGAAAACTAAAGTACAAAAGAGGGAAAATGTCACTCAGCAAAGCATATATGTTGCTTTTTTCTTTATAAACTGACAACCAAAGTGGCATGAAAAATGAGTGTCTCCAGTTGCCTAAGCTTGACTTCATCTCTAGGGCTCCTAACGGTAGGTCCACAGGTATGGCAAATGTAAGGGCCACTGAGCACAGCATCTAACTTTCCATACTGTGGCAGAGCAAGCTCTGTGGGGAGAGAATGGAGACAGTCTAGAGTAATAATCCTAGACTTCGGAACTAGCACATAGGGGGCAGTGCCTGTGAAGTTGCCAGTTCATGGTAGTGTGATGGAACTGCTGCTGGCAGAACCCAGGGCTTAGCAGAGAGTAAAAATCAGCAGCTTTCTGGGAGTTACAAACTGAATTTACAACTGGCCCTGGTAAAATGAGTCACCTTTCCCAAACTACAGTTCCTCATCTTTATTATCAGTGCTGCTTTTGCATTTCTCAGAGCATCTACAGTTCTGTTTCTCTCTCAATTCTCCATTCTCTTTCACAATTTCCAGTCCCTCACACAATTCCTTGTCTCTCCCACAATTCTTTGCCTCTCCAACAATTTCCCATCTCTCCCACAATTCTCTTTTCTCTCACAGTTCTACAATAGTCCTTCCTTATCCATGGTTTTGCTTTCCAAGGTTTAGTTACATGCAGTCAACCACAGTCCAAAAATATTAAATGGAAAATTCCGGAAATAAACACTTCATAGGTTTTAAGTTCTGTACTGTTCTGAGTAGCATGATAAAATCTCATACCTTAGGAGGCATCTCTGAGATCAGAAATCAGAGATTAGGTTGACTGTAGTGATATCACAGTGCTCATATTCAAGTAACCCTTAATTTCCTTAATGCCCCAAAGCACAAGAGTAGTGATGGTAACAATTTGAATATGTCAAAGAGAAGCTGTAAAATGCTTCTTTTAAGTGAAAAGATGAGGATCTCCAATTAATAAGAAAAGAAAAAAACTTGTATTTTGAGGTTGCTAACATCTATGGTAAAAATGAATTTTCTATCTGTGAAATTGTGAAGAAGGAAAAGGAGATTTATGCTAGCATGCAGAACCAGCAACGAGGTCAATACTGAAATTTGCTGAAGTGTTTCGAAGTGCACATACATTAACGGACAAAATTATGGAATACTATCCTTGGATGGAACGCAGCATTAAAAGCACTCGTATGACCATGGAAGGACTATCTATCTACTATCTCTGCAGCAACATCTTGATGAGCTAAAGAGAAAGAGACAACAACCTCCAATTACAATGTTCTCCAAAAGGTTTTGGCAAACAAACAAACAAACAAACAAACAAACAAAACCGTCAACCATCAAGGATCCCCAACCATCAACTTCTCCTGGCATCCAACCATCAACATCATCATGGCTCGATGATCCAGGATCACCTGAAGCAGACCATCCTCCTTCTGGCGTGTCACTTGAAGGTCAGTGGTAGCCTAACACTACATCACAATGCTTACGTCATTCACCTCACTTCATCTAGTCACAGTGTCATCTCACAGCATCATAAGAAGAAAGGTGAATATAGTACCATAAGATATTTTGAGAGAGAGACCACATTCACTTAATTTTTATTTTAATTTATAAATTAAACATAGTATACGTAGAATTCGCTACTCTTCACAGTTTTAGGCATCCACTGGGATTTGGTAGTGGGGAATACTGTACTTTCTTTTCCCCAATTCTCTGTTTCTCCCACAATCCCTTACTTTTCTCACAATTCACCATTCTTTCCCACAGTTCCTTGCCTTTCCTATAATTTCTATTACCTCCCATAGTTCTCTGTTTCTTTCAAAATTCCCTATTTCTCCCATAATTCCATGTGGCTCTCACAATTCCCCATTCTCTCTGACAATTCCTTGCCTTTCCTATAATTCACCATTTACTCCATAATTCCACAATTCTCTGTTCTATCCCACAGTTCTCTGTTCTATCCCACAATTCTCTGTATTCTCTGTTCTTCCTCACAATTCCTCCTTTCCCTGGACTGTAATTCTAAGAGTGAACAGGACACTTTGATGTGGTCTTCTTAGAACCATTATAGTGTCTTAGACTTCCAGGTGAAATGGTCTGTCCTGTGTTTCTCCATAAGTAAATGCAGAAAAAATTCCTCAACTTACAACTCTAACCTCAAAATAGTATCGCTACAACAAATAAAATGTGGGCTACTGTCAAAACCAATACTTTATTTAAAACAGCAGTCCTGTCTCAGCCAGTGCCAAACTTTCTAAAAAACCTTTTAAACCCCCTCAAGTCTAGAAATATAACCTTGCCACTGTTTCTCTCCAAATTATTTTTTTTTCTGGTAATTTAAACCCCAATGACTCCTATGAACTGCTTTCAGCTGCCTAACTGATTGATTTTGAAAGTCAACATTCATAATACCAGAGGCTGACATTTGCAAAACCTGTAACTGTATTTTTTATGTAATACATAACTCATTGTAACACTGAGTCATTTTAATATAACTTTCCTTTTTCTTTTACACTAAGGACTGAATGTTTACTAAAATGACAGTCATTTATGCTGAATGTACAGTGGGAAAGGCATTTTGACAAGAAATAAAACATTGCCTATGATTCTGATGAGGCCCTAACACTCAAAATGTTTAACTCCCAGTTAAATGTTTGAAATTCTCATGTTGGATCAACTACTGTGCTCTGTCTTTGAGGGCTTTCCACAGACAAATGTTAAATGGTTTTGGTATTTTCCATAGCTTCTTCTTTCTCCAAAAACGCAGACCAAGTGGCTTGTTTATTCAGTCATTTGAATTTCTATAATATTTTCATGTTCTGGTTCAAGTTGGAAAAAAATGTGTACATTTGGAATGGCCTCATTAAACTTTTGGAAATATATTACTTAAGTTTTCAATTTAATTTTTTAAATTTAAAATTCCACCCAACATTGGCTAATTTGGTCCCATAATTTAACATCCAAGGGGAGTTTAGGTCTCTACCAGCTCTTCCTCCAAGAAAGGGAAACTCATCATCATTGAGGACAAAATAGAGTTTTCAGATTACACATCAAGCCTGGTCTGCTAGGGTATGGGAGTGTGTAATAGGAGAAATAAAAAGTGGATAAATATGAGTGGGTGGGGCAACTGCTCTTCTGTCTATAGCAGGACTCAGCAAAATATGATCCTTGAACTAAATCCTGCCCACAAGCTGTTTTTATACATCTGTGAGCTAAGAATGTTTTTCTTTTAATGCTTTAAAAACAATTAAAGGAGGAGTAATATGTCTCCTTTTTTTTTCTTTTTCTTTTTTTGTTTGAGACAGAGTCTCACTCTGTTGCCCAGGCAGGCTGGAGTGCAGTGGCACTATTTCAGCTCACTGCAACCTCCACCTCCCAGGTTCAAGCAATTCTCCTACCTCAGCCTCCCAAGTAGCTGGGATTACAGGCACATGCCACCACAACCAGATAATTTTTATTTATTTATTTATTTTATTTTTAGTAGAGACAGGGTTTCACCATGTTGGCCAGGCTGGTCTCTAACTCCTGAGTTCAAGTGATCCACCCGCCTCGGCCTCCCAAAGTGCTGTGATTAAGGCATGCGCCACCACACCTGGCCAAGGAATAATATCTCTTGACACATAAAAATTACATGAAATTGAAATTTCAAGGTCCATAAATAAAGTTTTATTGGAACACAGCCATGCTCATTCATTTAAGTATTATCTGTGACTGCCTTTGTACTATAACAGCAGAGTTGAGTAATTGTGACAGACCACATGACCTGTAAAGCTTAAAATATCTACTATCTGGTCCTTTACAGAACAAGTTTGACAACTCCTACTCCATTTCAATCACTCTTTTTTCTCTTTTAACACCTGTGGCCAGAGCCCTGAGATGTCTCCTTCTCAGAAGATACAAAAAGTATGTTTCTCTGGGAGGTTAAATTGTGTAGGTCTGCATTAGTATAGGTCTTAAGCAGAAAGAGTTCTTGAGGATTACATATAGCTTAGGCCAGAGTAGGAGCTAACCCTAGCCAGTGATGAAGAGATAAAGTAGGTATTTGTCTCAGATGCTTTGAATACCCCATTTCTCTCCAGGGAATTACCAGGGTGAGGGGTAGGGGTGGGGGCAGGCAGTCATGGAAGATACAGGTTTGGACATTTGGAGATCTTGTTGTCTGTTTAGGCACAACAAGTAGCCTAGCTGAGCCCATAAGTGATAAACAGAAGCTCTCTGGAATAATGTACATCTTCAGAGGGCCAGGGCTGCCCAGAATTCTCCTTCAGTATTGTGGCACTAGGCAATATGTGTTCTGGAATATGTGGCAGGCATGGTGAGACTATAGGATGCTGTGGTTAGCCTATTGGGAAATATGTACATATGTTTCTATAGGTCAGATATCTCCAGATTCTCCAGCTTTCAGGGACAACTCTTTCCTTTCCAAGTCACCAAGGAGCAAGCCCCTGATCCCCTTGAGTGGCAAGGAGTCTTACCAAATCCCCTTCCCAGTGAATTAGAATTATGGAAGTTGTGAAGGAGATGTGCTTGTTCCCCCAGTCTGTCCCGGTTGTTGCTTGTCTCTTTCACTTGACAAGCACAGCTTCAGGTTCTCTGCTCAGCTATCACTTCTTGCCTTTTGACTTTCCCATCCTCCATGAAGCTGCTGCCCTTCTCACACCTCTGTCCCCACCATAGATGAGGCTTTGGCCCCGTCCCATTCTGTAGCAGATGCTGACAGTGCTTCAGCCACTTGCCCTTGGTGCCCATTGCATTTCAGAGCACAGTACCTCCCAGCATGCATTCACTCTCAATAGCCAGCAACACACTGATGCCCATTTGTAGGTGGAACAGCCTCCAGCTGCCTGACCCCACTTCACCTACACATGGGAATTTATGTATTTGCCAAAAACAGCTATCAACTCAAGACTGATGAGTAAGGAGGTATAAATACCCCAGCTCCCTTGCACCTTGACTGGAACAACTCTGAGTCACAACCTTCGCTATCTCCTGAGCTCTCCTGTGGGACTGGGCCACAGAACTCTCTGTAGTACTTTGCCCAACATTACATATTTGCCTATGCACCTTCCTTTCCTGGTCCTTCCCACCTCCCTTCTGACTTTCCCTGGTAACACCTCCCAGTAAATCTCTTTTCTTAGGGGCTACTTATGGGGACACAACCTTAGTTATACCCTCCTAAAGTACAACTCCCTTTGGAATCAGACAAGACAAGACAAGGGGTAGTTGGGAAGATGTTCAAGAATACAAAATTTCAGTTAGACAGGAGGAATAAGTTCAAGAGATATATTGTACAACATGGCAATTATAGTTAATAACAATGTGTTATACATTTGAAAATTACTAAGAGTAGATTTTAAGTGTTCTTACCACAAAAATGATAAGTATGTGAGGGGATGGATATGTTAATTAGCTTTATTTAGTCATTCCACAATGTATGCATATTTCCAAACATCATGTTGTATACCATAAATATATATTATTTTAACTTGTCAGTTAAATAAATAAATGAATAATTTAAAAATTTTTTAAAGATAAGAGAAGGAGTGGAAGAGCTGTTTGGATATTAAGTAGAAATGGTCCTCACTTAAACATTTGTTCTCTCCCATTTTTCTTGAAAACTTCTGCCAAGTTTTCGGTAGATTTTATCTCTCATTTTACTAGTTTAGGGAACAAACTGGATACAAAGAAATATTTCTCCTCTATAAGAAAAAGAGTGGTTCAGACTCATTAATAAATGACAACTGCCCTCAGCCTGAGTGTTGGGGAGATGACAGAGCCCATGGTGAGGGTGGAGATAGGGCAAACGTGTCCAGTCTAGGGACATAGGCTGTATTATTCAGCCCCCATCAAATGGCACCATGGCAGAGTTCAGGTTTCACGTTGCCATATTTTCTGATTTTGAAAGAGAAGCCAGAGGAACAGGTTTGGAGGGAAATTTTACCAATTTTCTAACATTGTTTTAAACATGTGTTTTGAGAACTGTGATAGCCAAATAAGCCACAGCCACATGCTACACTGTGCAGCTCACCATATTGAACAAAGCTCTGCTCAGTATTTAACAAAGCTTGACTGAAAGCTTGTACATCACTGAAGGAAATGATAAAACAGAAAGTAAAAATTTTAAATTGATGACTAGATGGGGCTGCTTCTGGAGTCTATGGTATCTTCCTCAGGCTGGTCTTCCTCTTTTGCCTCAGTCTGCCTCAATGGTAGAGGAATTAGCTTGCCTCTACAATGGCCTATGGCCATCCTCCATCCAGGGGCTAGGCTCTCCAACCTTCTCAGGAGCCCTTGGGAGGGATCCTCATTCCCAATCAGCTGTAGGCTTCCCTGTCAACATAGCTGTGTTCTTCAGGGAGGCCGCTTGGCTCCTGTGAAGACAGCCAGGTAGACACTGCACAGAACAGACTAGCTCCCCCAAGAACCAAACTTCTTCCTTTTAAAAAGGAATGCAAATAACCTATGTAAGTGGCTTTACCCAGAGTAATAGACTTGGGATACATTTTCTTTCCTCTTAAATACATAGGCATTATTGTTATTATTTTAAAGGCCTTATCTGCTAGAAGATAATACAGAAGTATCTACTGGTGAAAGTATACAAATGCATTAGATTTGCTTTAAATTCTCCAGCAAAATAGAAGAGGAATGTTAATGTCAGAATGACAGTCATAGTTGAAGCTGGCTAATGGGTTCATGAGGCCTCATTATACTGCTCTACATTTGCAAATGTTTAAAACTTTCCAAAATAAAAATTAAAAATATAAACCTGGTCTTGCTTTGAGCTATCAAGTTTTCAGAAACAGAGCAGTCCTCTCTCAAAGTTCCTTTTCAAATGTTCCTTATATAACACTTTCTATTCGCTATGCCACAGTCCAAGTGCAGGCAGATCGGGGACCTGGTGCCAGCTACTCCAGGACTTATACAAGAGAGAGCTTTTCTGGTTTTTTTCAGGACTCCTTAAAAAATAGCCCAGGTTCTTCAAACCCAGAGCATCTCTGACACGAGGGCTGCATGCTTTGAATTATACCATCCAGATCAGTCCAAGGAGATCTTTTTACAAAAGGTTTATATCTCCAAGAGACCTCAAGACACTCGCTGGGAATCCTGGAAATTCCTTGGCACTGCAGCAGGGTTTCCAGCTCTGCCTGCCATATTTAGAGCACTAGCATTGAGATCCCTAGAGGAGGGGTTGTCCTCTTTAAATACCATTGCACCTGTTCACAGATGGTGTCTGTCCTTTGGAGATGAGAGGAAGAAGGTACAGAGAGAAATGCAGAGGTAAGCCATGGAACTGTAATCTATTTAGATTAAAAAAAATAACTCTATAAGGAGGAAATTAACAACACAAGTTACACTCGATGACAAATTGGTAGTAGGAATGTCTTCCCTCCTGACCATAAACATACTTTTCTCTATGATAACCTGAAAACTAACATAATTTGTATTCATCGGGCTGACAGGGTTTGATCCTGATTTCCTTGCTTACCAGCAAAGTGACTTGGGCAAGTTTCTGGATCTCTCTAGACTTCCGTTTCCTGATGGGGGAATGGGGATGATAATAGTTCCTATGTCATAGGCTGATATGATGACTAAATGCAAAAGTGTGTGCCAAGGGCTTGGGTGAGGAAAGTCACTTGAACTTCCAGCGGACAGGATGTACACATCTATAGATAAAAGTGATTTTGCATTGCTATAGTCACCTATAACTTGAAGAGTTGTAAAATAGTTCAAAGGCAATGAGAGGCTAGAGTCAGAAAACCAAGAAGAGTGTGATCTAAACAATGCATTGCTTTTCATTGAAACACAAATGTTTCCCTACATCACCATATGATAAACATTTTTTGACTGAATTTTCTCATTGGCATGTTTGTGAGTGTTGCAGATCTTACGTAGCTTCAGAATAAAGCCTTATTATAGAACACAAGAGGCAAAACAGGACATGTCTTTTTAATAAGCTTTTTTAATGTTAGAAAGTGTTAGCAAAATTCTTGCAATAAACACTGACTTTAGCTGGGTGTGGTGGCTCATGCCTGTAATCCCAACACTTTGGAAGGCCGAGGCAGGAGGATTGTTTGAGTCCAGGAGCTTGAGACCAGCCTGGGCAACATAGCGAAACCTCATCTCTACAAAAAAATACAAAAATTAGCCAGGTGTGGTAGTGTGTACCTGTAGTTCCAGCTACTTGAGAAGCTGAGGTGAGAGGATCGCTTGAGCTCAGGAGTTCAAGGTTGCAGTGAATCATGATTGCACCACTGCACTCTAGTGTGGGTGACAGAGTGAGACCTTGTCTTATAATTCATCATTTCTCATGCCCATAACCTTACTAATAAGAATGGAAACCAGAGTTCTCAGTTTTAGAAGAAATTTGAGTTGGACAGAAAGGGAAAGGCACCAGAAGGGAATCATGGCATAATACCATGGATGGCAGGCTTTGACCCACCTCTTTTAAAAGTGGTGCCTGTGATCTATTTTTACCTACACTCAAATGAGAATACAAACTTTCTAAATGTCTTATATCCTAAAATTATTCTCATTAACCCTCTGAGATGAGTGAAGAAATACAACATCAAATGATTCACCTTTACCAAGAATTAGTAGCAGTTTTAGATAAATCACTTGGTTTGTGAGTCCTAGAAGTCCAGCTATATTTGATCTCATAAATCTATGCCTGGGACTCTCATTACAGGAAAATGGATCATGCAAAATTCAGGGTGATGAGATCAGACCTGGGCTACACTTCAATAGTATTGTTGACATCTAGGTGACACCCATGGCAGGTTTAGGTGAGGTCTTTAGTTCAATTCATTAAGAATGATAGGGAACAGGAGATTCTTAACTTAGCTCTTTCAAACTGGAAGTAAAATTAAACAATACAGAGCAACTACTGTAAAGACATCATTTTTTTTCCCTCTTTTAAGGAGTAGGATATCCTATGCTGCTTTATCACCAAAGTTCACACTTGTATTATTTTTTCACATTTCCTGATGTTGAATGATCCCTTGAGCATTTGGGACTTAGTAACATGAGGGGACCTCAAAAAGTTCCTGGAAATACTGAATTAAAAGATAAAAATAAAAATAGAAACTTCATTTCTCAACGTAAACTCCATCAAGTTCAAGACACTTTTGTAATTGATGATACCAGCAGTTTAGTTCATCCCTAAAGAATTGAGGGTCTTGGGAATTTAAGCATATCAATGCAGTCTTTTTACATGATTAACTGAGGAAAAATGGGCACCCTTTAAAGATTGTTTAAAATTGGGAAACAAAAAGAAGTCAGAAGGAGAGAGTCAGGACTATAAGGTGGACAGCTAATGATTTCCCATCAAAACTCTTACAAAATTGCCCTTGTTTGATGAAAAGAATGAGAAGGAGCATTGTTGTGGTGGAGAAGGACTCTCTGGTAAAGCTTCCCCAGGAATTTTTCTGCTAAAGCTTTGCCTAAGTTCCTCAAAACACTCCCATAATAAGCAGATGCTATCGTTTCTTGGCCCTCCAAAAAGTCAAGTAAAATGCCTTGAGCATTCCCAAAAACTGTTGCTATAATCTTTGTTCTTGACCCATCCACTTTTGCTTTAACTGGACCACTTCCACCTCTTGGTAGCCATTGCTTTGATTGTGCTTTGTCTTTGGCATGGCAGTGGGAAAGTCATGTTTCATTTTCCATTACAATTCTTTGAAGAAAATTTCAGGATCTTGATCCCATTTGTTTAAAATTTCCTTTGAAAGCTCTGCTCTTGTCTGCAGTTGATGTGGGTGCAATGATTTTGGCACCCACTGAGTGTAAAGTTTACTCAACTTTAATTTTTTAGTCAAAATTGTGTCAGCTGAACCAATTGAGATGTCTATGTTGTTAGCTATTGCTTCTGCTGTTAATCGTCGGTCCTCTTCAATTAGGGCATGAACAAGGTGAATTTTTTCCTCACAAATTGATGTGGATGATCTTCAGCTGCAGGCTTCATCTTCAACGTCACCTCGTTCCTTCTTAAAACAAATTGTTCACTTGTAAACTGCTGATTTCTTTGGGGCATTGTCCCCATAAACTTTTCATTAAACATCAATGATTTCACCATTCTTCCACCCAAGCTTAACCTTTTTTTTTTTTTTTTTTTTTTTGGAGACAGGGTTTCACTCTGTCACCCAGGCTGGAGTGCAGTGGAGCAATCAGAGCAATCTCAGCTCACTGCAGCCTCGATCATACAGGCTCAGGTGATCCTCCCACCTTAGCCTCCCTGGGACCACAAGTGCCTGCCACCACACCCAGCTAATTTTTTGTATTTTTTATAAAGACAGGATTTTGCCACATTGCCCAGGCTGAGCACCATAAATTTGATGTTTTTTCTTGCTTTAATTTTAGACTCTTTTCAAACTGATGTCTTATCCTTCTTAGTGCCTCAAACGCGATCCTGTTCAGGCATGTTATAACAAGTGAAAAAGTTTATTTTGGGGCTGGGTGCAGTGGCTCACACCTGTACTCCCCACACTTTGGGAGTCCAAGGCGGGCAGATCACCTGAGGTCGGGAGTTCGAGACCAGCCTGACCAATATGGAGAAACTCCATCTCTACTAAAAATACAAAATTAGCCAGGTGTGGTGGCGCATGCCTGTAATCCCAGCTACTCAGGAGGCTGAGGCAGGAGAATCACTTGAACCTAGGAAGCAGAGGTTGCAGTGAGCTGAGATCATGCCATTGCACTTCAGTTTGGGCAACAAGAGCGAAACTCCATCTCAAAAATAAAATAAAATAAAATAAAGTTTATTTTTGTTAAAAAAATGGAAATCCATGCATACTTTTTTCATAATATACATTTTCCATGAACTAATATGAGACCCCTCATATTAGGCTTTGGGCAGCTGTTTTGCATGAGCTCCAGTGTCACATTTGCAAAACACACATGTAATTAATACCCCTATCCATTTATCCAAAAGAATCCAAGTGAATGTTTTGCTACTTAAAAAATCTTTGTAAAAATGTTTCTATGAAAAATACTTTAGAAGGCAGTTGTGGTTTAAATAAATATTGTGTAAAACCAAACATGGACCAACAACTTTACTAAAACCTTCAATCCTTTTCCTGTTATTATAAAGCCAAATTAAGAAAAAGGTCTATATATGTAACAAAATGTTCAGCTTATTTAAAAATAACTCTCTACAATTAAAGTTATCAATTATATTACTTATATATTTATGTATATATGCAACAAAATGTTCAGCTTATTTTAAAAAATCTGTCTACAAATTAAGTATCAATTATATTACTTATATATTTGTGTACCTGTTTGTCTATCTTTCCTCATTATGAGGAAGCTCTCTTAGAGCAGTTTTCTCTTGTCCCCTTCTCTGTCCCACAGTGACCAGCACATGGTAGGCACTAGGTAAACCTTTGTTGAATGAAAGAACAAGAAAAATCAACCTTTAGCTGTAAACTTTAAGCACAAATATTTCCATCAGAGCTGTGTTGTATTATTAATTCCTGAATATATACACTCATCTAAAATGGTTTGCGATGTTACTGGAACTCAGTAGCAAATACGGGATATTTTATTTTCATAATCTGAAGACCATTTAACATCAACAAAATACTATTAAGTTTTCTTTTTCTGTTTGGCAAAGATAACTATATCTAGGAAATATGTAATTATTAACATATTGTGTTTTTACAATAAGCTCCCAGTTACATAAATTCTTGTCCCTGGCATCCAAGCAGTAAAATGCATTTGACAAAAGCAGGAAATACTAGAGTTTACATACATCAGAAATCTGTTATTTAGGGAACTTATGGTGTATTTTGTTGAACTGAAAACAAAATTTAAAAGATGCGATTTTTTTGTTTTTTCATTTTCACACCATACAAATTTCATACCACACCCAAAAACATCACGTTTACAAGATCAGTAAAATGGAAGGTGTGGGGCCAAACAATGAGCTAGGATTCAACTGCTGGGGACTTTTTGGTGTGTGTGTGTGTGTGTGTGTGTGTGTGGTTTTTTGTTTGTTTGACATTTATGCAAAAAGCTGGGAGGTAAAATGGAATGGTGTTTTAGCCAGGACTCCTCTGGCTGCAGGAAACAGAAATTCATTCAAACTAACTCAACATTCAAAGGAAGTATGTTAAAATGATTCAGGGAGTCTTATAGAGATGGAGGGCAGCAAGTAGATCCAGGTCTTAATGAAACAGAAGAATCATAAAACTAACTTAAGATAAAGATAGGGAGATAGTGGTAGGGATACATATAGTGATAGACATAGATACAGTGATAGAGAAATGGAAAGAGATATAGTTACAAATATATAAATGTAGTTATAGCAAGAGATATAATTATAGATATACAGATATAGGTACAATGATAGTGCCATAGGGATATAGATAACTAAGATATAGAGATAGAGCTATAATTATACATATAGTGATATAGAGGTATTGATATTATAGGCATGTAGGTAGATACAGATATAGTGATAGAGATACAGAAGAGATATTGTTAGGGATATATAGACATAGGGAGAAATAATTATGCATATATAGATATAGCAATAGTGATAGATATATAATTAGAGATATGTAGATATAGATGAATATGGATATAATTATAGTTAAGTTATAGAGATATAATTATAGACATAGAGTTATAGATATTGAGAAATATCTAGATATCAATGTATATATATGTAGATGTACTTGGTTGGTACAAAAGTTATTGCGGTTTTTGCCATGGAATGTAATGGCAAAACCACAGTTACTTTTGCACCAACCTATACATGTAGATATAGATATATCCAAGGCCACCCAGTTCCTGAGCATTCCCTCCTGATTCATTGGACTTGTTCCTCCTGCTCCCCCAACTAACTGAGTTAGAGCTCCCCTGCTCTAACTTGATTTTGGACATGCCTTTGACTTGTCCCACCACAACTACAGTCCTTAGTGTCCCAATTCCACATTCCTGAAAGGAATAACATGGCTTTTATATCCACCCTGGTCCAATCAGCTATGGCCTAGGACAGTTGAGTCATAGGGTACAAACCACTATTTTTGGCCACCACTTCAGTAGGATTGTAGGAACTAGTTAACAAAATGCGGGGTCGGGCGGGGGGAGTTGATCATTTATTCATTGGATTAACATCCCTTCTTTGGTGAAATTAACCCAACCTTGCAATTTCAAATACAGTATTTTGGGGTCATGTTTGATTTTTTTTTCACTGTCCTGCCAAAGAAAATGTTGGAATCACAGAACATTAAAGGAAGACACTTGAGGATCCAGAATCCTTGGCAAATACAAGCATGCCTCAAAGACATTGCAGGTTTTATTCCAGACCACCATAATAAAGAGACTATAACAGTAAAGTGAGTCACACAAATTTTTTGGCTTCCCAATTTATATAAAAGTCATGTTTACTGTAATCCCAGCACTTTGCGAGGCCGAGGCGAGCAGATCATGAGGTCAGGAGATCAAGACCATCCTGGCTAACATGGTGAAACCCCGTCTCTACTAAAAAAATACAAAAACAAAGTTAGCCAGGCATGGTGGCGGGCGCCTGTAGTCCCAGCAACTCGGGAGGTTGAGGCAGGAGAATGGCGTAAACCCGGGAGGCGGAGCTTGCAGTGAGCCGAGATCGCGACACTGCACTCCAGCCTGGGCGACAGAGTGAGACTCCGTCTCAAAAAAAAAAAAAAAAAAGTTATGTTTAGGTCATGCTATAGTCTATTAAGTGTGAAATGGCATTATGTCTAAAAAATGTACATATCTTAACTTAAAAATTCTTTATTTTTTAAAAATGTTAATGATCATCTGAGCCTTCTGTGAGTTGTAACCTTTTCGCTGGTGGAGGACCTTGCCTTGATGTCAATAGCTGCTGATTGATAAGGATGGTGGTTGCTGAAGTTTAGGTGGCTATGGCAATTTCTTAAAACAAAACAACAATGAAGTTTGCTGCATTGATGGACTCTTCCTTTTACAAAAGATTTATCTGTAGCACGTGATGCTGTTTGACACACATTTTATGTACAGTAGAACTACTTTCAAAATTGGAGTCAATCCTCTTAAAACCTGCTGCTGCTTTATCAACTAAGCTGATGTACTATTCTAAATCCTTTGTTGTCATTTCAATAATGTTCACAGCATCTTCAGCAGGGGTAGATTCCATCTCGAGAAGCCACTTTCTTTGTTCATCCATAAGAAGCAACTTCTCATCCATTCAAGCTTTATGATAAGATTGCAGAAATTCATTTACATCTTTAGATTCTAATTCTAGTTCTCTTGCTACTTCCATCACATCTGCAGTTACTCCCTCCACTGAAGTCTTGAATCTCTCGAAGTCGTCAATGAGAGTTGTAATCAACTTCTTCCAAACTCCTGTTATTGTTGATATTTTGATCTCCTCCCACAAATTACGAATGTTCTTGATGGCATCTAGAATGGTGAATCCTTTCCAGAAAGTACTTTTTATTATTTTTAGTAGAGATGGGGTCTCACTATGTTGCCCAGGCTGATCTAGAACTCCTGGCCTCTAGTAATCCTTGCCTCAGTCTCCCAAAGTGCTGGGATTACAGCTGTAAGCCACTGCACTCAGCCCTTTCTAGAAGGTTTTCAATTTACTTTGTCCAGATCCATCAAAGGAATCACTATCTATGGCAGCTATAGCCTTATAAAATGTATTTCTTAAATAATAAGACTTGAAATTACTCCTTGGTCCATGAGATGCAGAATGGATGTTGTGTTAGGAGGCATGAAAACAACATTAATTTTGTTGCATATCTCCATCAGAGCTCCTGGGTGACCTGGTGCATTGTCAAGGAGCAGTAATATTTTGAAAGCAATCTTTCTTTCTAAGCCATAGGTCTCAATAGTGAGCTTAAAATATTCAGTAAACCATGCTGTGAACAGATGTGATGTCAACTAGGCTTTGCTATTCCATTTATAGAGCACAGACAGGTGGATTCTGTATAATTATTAAGGGCTCCAGGATTTTCAGAATGGTAAATGAACATTGTCCTCGACTTAAAGTCATCAGCTGCATTAGCCTCAAACAAGAGAGTCAGCCTGTCCTTTGAAGTTTTTAGGCCAGGCATTGACTTCTCTCTAACTATGAAAATCCTAGATGGCATCTTCTTCCTATAGAAGGCTATTTCATATCCACTGAAAATCTGTTGTTTAGTATAGCCACCTTCATCAATGATGGTAGCTAGATCTTCTGGATAACTTGCTGCAGCTTCTCCATCAGCACTTGCTGCTTCACCTTGCAGTTTTATGTTATGGAGATGGCTTCTTTCCTTAAAACTTCATGAACCAACCTCTGCTGGTTTCCAACTTTTCTTCTGCAGCTTCCTCACCACTGTCTTCATAGAATTGAAGAGTTAGGGCCTTGCTCTGGGTTAGGTTTTGGCTTAAGGGAATGTTGTGGCTGAAGACCTTTGACTCTTCCTTTCATTTGAACACTTAGAGGCTATTGTAGGGCTATTCACTGGCCTAATTTCAATGTTATTGTGTTTTAGGAAATAGGAAGTCCTGAGGAGAGGGAAAAACTCAGGGAACAACAGGTTGGCAGAGCAGTCAGAACACACACATTTATTGAAATTTGCCGTCTTTTGTGAGTGCAGTTCATGGCACCCCAAAACAATTACAATAGTAACATCAAAGATCACTGATCACAGATCTCCATAACAGATATAACGATAATTAAAACGTTGGAAATATTGTGAGAATTACCAAAATGTGACAGACACACGAAGTGAGCCCATACTGTTGGAAAAGTGGCACTATAGACTTGCTCAATGTAGAATTGCCACAAACCTTCAGTTTGTGAAAAACACAGTATCTGCAAAGCACGACAAAGTGCACTGCAATCAAGTGAGGTATGCCGAGATATAGATGTAGAAAGTGCGGCCCAAACAGGTGAATGGGCTTGTCCAGGTTGAGGAAGTTAGTTGGTAGATTCCTGAACTAGATCTTCATCCTCCTAATTTCCAGTCCTAGGCTCCTTTACCCAACAATGCTGCCTCACTCGAGAGTAGCAGAACTCCTTTGTGTCAGAACAACGTGGTTCACAACAAGTTATTATCTGAGAGAATATCATTTTTAAGATTTTCTATTTTCTAAAAATCTTGCCGTCTAAAAATTACTTCATAAAATGATTTGTAAAAGTAGGGGATAAAACAAGGACAGTTATATGTATAGGGCAGGAAGAACTGATCTTTTTCCCTTGTTTCTGCAGCACCCTGAAGTACTTCTGTTAATACTTATGTCATTAATTCTAATAACATGTTTACATTTATGTGACTCGGGGGAGGGATTATGTCTTATTCATCTTTATATTCCAACCAAACACAGTGTCCAGCACATGATTGGTGAAGGGACAGTAAATATTTGTTAAAGGAATGAACAAGCCTATAAACCATAGATGAGAACTTTCTGAAAATAGGAAGGTATATGTTTTCTACAAAAGAAAAAAAGAAATTTTTTGTTTTAGAAAATTTTACCGGTTTTATTTCTTTAAAACAAAGGGATCACAAATGTAGTTCCAATTTTAAGTCCACAGAGCATTTCTCAACCAAACATTTCCAAATCAAGTTGGAGTGACTCTGAATAAGAGTCTTTACTTTTAAGGTGTATCTAAACGGAGTTGCCTGGGTTTCGCTCTCACAAATTATTATATAGAATTTATGTAGGAAAAAATAAATAGACAAGCCTTGCAAGAGTATGCCAAGTTATTATTACATTCAATTGTGAACAATAAAATAGCAAAGGATATTTATACCCAGACCAGGAAGAAGAAAGCATACAGGATAGACTCAAGCAGTAATCCTCCCCACAATGAAGACAAAAAGAAAAGCCCCTGCTGATTGAATGCCTTCAGTTGGAAATTTATGAACTTGCTTTAAAGTCAAGGGAGCTAACATCTAGGCAATGGGGTTTCAATCACAGGCAAGGGGATTCTTTTATTTAATAATGACATTTAAAGAGCCATGGACCACCCCCCTTAAAAAATCAGAGGAAAGCCATGTTGTCCCTCACCATAACATACTCTCCTACACATAAAGTATTATTTGCTATTTCTTGTGGTGAATTGATACTACCCCACATTTGCCAGGTTAAAAATCCCTGCTATGAAGAATGAAATCTGGTGGCAAAATTAATCTCCAGTGAGGTCTGACTTCAAAGCCCATGTTCTTTTCATTACATTGCTAGGTAATCTTAGACAAGATATTTAGCTGCTCTAAACCTCACATTCCTCATCTGTAAAATGGGATAATAATGCCCACCTTAAACAGGTGTTGTCAAGATTAAATGATTACTCTTTTTAAAATATCTAACATATAATAATCATTCTACAAATATCAATTTCTTCCTCTCCCTCAATTACTAAGTGGTGAGTTCTAAGACCTAGCAAAACTTGAGAGAAAAATGCATCAAGGTGTCATTTTTTCCCTTTTAATCTTGCCTTAGTTTTTTTTTCCTGCCCTACAAGAGGTGAGAATTATATTGTTGAGGGAGACCAGACATTCTAAGAACCACGTGTTAGTCGTCCAGCCCACTTTACCAGGGAGAAAAAAGAAACAGGAACTGTCTGGTGGACACATTTCCACCAAGGGCCCCCACTACTTGGCACAGGGCCCAGCACTTTGTAGGGCCCCAATAAATGTGTGAGCAAGAAAGAAGGAAAGGAACAGAGAGAGAGAAAAGGAGGGATGGGTGGAAAAGAAAGGAAAAGAAGATTGAAAGTGATTGGGACTTTTCTTCTACCATAGAGCTCCAAGAGCAGGGTTCTTGACAGGCACAGGATGAAGAAAATTGATGTGTATCTCAAGAAACACCTTCCCATACTGAATTTAGCAGTGTCTGCATCAAAAGACATATAATTCTTCATTGACTCCTTTCACTGAATAAGAAGAAATGGAAAGAAACAGACCAGGAAAATATATCAATTTCTAGAACAAGGCACTGGGCTACAGTTAACACAGAAGATTAACAATTAAGAGTTGCCAGTTTTGTCTTCAGTAGGAATGATGATCAATAAAACATCATGACGTTTGAAGGGGAGGACTCTATAGTAGAAACACAGAGACATTAATTCATCCTATGTGGGACATCAGGAAAGTTGCTCCACAGGCTGGAGCTGAGCTTTTGCATCTGTAAAATGTGGGAGTTGGTTCATATTAGTGGTTCTCAACATCAGCTGTTCATTAGAATCACCAGAGGGGTTTCTGAAAGTGCCCATGCTCTAGCCATAGCCCAGACATTAGCATCTTGGAAGGTGGAGCCCCAGACATCAGTAGTTTCAAAGCTTCCCAGGTGATCCCAATGTGCAGATAAACTTGAGAACTACTGATCCAGGTGATTTCTGGACCCTCACTACCCCTAGTGTGGTCCTCAGACAAGCAGCATGGGTGTCGCTTGAGATCTTTTTAGTAATTAAGATTCTCAGACCTTACCTCAGACCTAAATAAACAGAATCTGCATTTTAACAAGATCCCCAGGCAACCTGTACTGACATTAAATCTTGAAAACACTGGCCTAGGCACTCTTCTATGCAGCTCTTTCTTCTGACAATGCTTTGCTTTTGGTGCTGATATTACAATAATTTTTAGATCTCAGTGCCTGGCACATTGTAAGTGTTAAAAGTTTTATACGTGTGTCATGTATATGTATTCAGAAAGCACAGAAATATCCCATCACACCTGTTCCACACAGGGGGTTAAGTGGAAATAGATTGGAAGAAAATGTAGCCCTGTAAAAGGCACGGACGATTTTATGAGATTCTGATCAAAGATTGTTTTTTCTCTGTAGAATGATGAAGTAGGGTCCCCTAAAGATCAGTTTCCAGGTTCCTCTTCAAAGTCAGCAACACCAGTGCAGTTACTAAAAACAACTGCCTCCATGTGGCAATTTGTATCCAACATCTTCTCACCTGGCAACACATCATTTGCAGGTTCCTTCTCTGTTGCTCATATTATGTGACAGCTCTTTTGTTCACAGCTCCCCCAGGAAATAATAGGTGGGTTGGCTGGGGAGTGTTTGACCTCCCCCAAAGTTTCCTGTTGTAATGTCCATTACCTCCTTTAAGCCTACAAAAGAGAATTCAGCTGACAAAGAAAAAGCACAAAGCATCAAAATACTGAAACTAAAGCTAGAAAGTTACAGATAATGTCAATGCAAGATGTTATTCTGACTTTGTAACTCAGGACTAAGAAGGCAGATAGCCCTCACATTTTAGACTAATCATGTTTAGTTAGGACTTTTTTGAGTAATGGTTTATTTGGAGGAGGGAGTGATTAGTATCCAAATGTTAAGGGAGAAGTGGCATGGGCAAAAATCCATAATTTTTAATTCGATTCAAGTTCCAGATATTAGGTAGCTGCCAATGTCATGCCACTACCCGTATCCCCTCAGGCCTTACATTTCAGTAGGACCTTCAACAGTCAGTATCACTAGCCATTTGCCTGAGGGCTTTCTTTGGCTGTAAGCCCCACTCTGTCTTCAGCACAGAAGACTGAGTTCTAGGATCAGTACCACAGTTGAAGCTTTCAGGTAATGAGTGAATGGAAGTGGTGTATAAATACCCAGTTCCCTTGCCTTTTAGGTAAAATCATTTGGAGATGCTTGTTCTATGCTGGCTCTGGGAGATCCCCAGCAGCATGAACCTCCAGTTGCTCACAATGATAACTTAATATATGCCTGATATTGTCTTCTTTCCCAACTCATTTCCTCACTCACCTACCCATGTTCTCTGTACCTCCAGAATAAACTACTTTTACTTGAATCCTTGCCTCAGGGCCTGCTTGTGGGGAAACCCACAACAAGACAAATTTTATATTCCATTTTCTTTAAGATCCTCACAGGTATAGAGTTCATAACTTATATTATTTTCTTTTAGTTTTAATATTTCAGTAAATAAAATAAGTTATGGTATGAAGAGTTCAAAGTGTTTTGATGACAACCTTGAAGAGCTCATCTTATTACCTTATTCATGATACTCATCTGACATGTGAATCTGCCAATACGTGAGAAGATGAGAAAAGAGATTGATATAACAGCAGCAGAGCCCAATGGGGAAAAGCCCTGGTTTCCAGTTCTGGTTCTATACTTGTTAGCTGTATGACCTTGGTCGGGCAAGCTGCTTAACCTCTCCGACTCAGTTTCTTGACACTTCAAACATGGGGGAACTAATGGTCTCCATCCACAGGCTTGTGGATGTTCAATCAGATAACATATGTGTTTAGGACAAGGTCTGACACTATTAATTACGAGCAGCTCAATGGTCTAACTAGTTACCCAAGAATACTGAATCCATGGGGATACCTTCAACTGTAAAATAGAAGTCCCAACTAAACATGGCTTGCACCAATAAGAACATCTATTACAATGTAAAGCAAGATTCTGCAGCAAGAATCTCCCCCCTCCCTACTTCTCACATTTCATTGGCCAGAATTAAGGCATATGCCTATAAAACCATGAATCAAGCTTCCAATCAAGATAAACCTCCTCTTTCTCTGTATCCTTTTTCATTTCATTTCTCACACTGGGCCACTGTGTGTCAGAGGACTATCACAATAAGCCTCAGTAGATTGGCTGGTGCCGGGCAACCTTAGCTGAGCTCATTCATATACGTGTGGATTGGGTAATATACATGAGGCTCCACCGAGTAGCTCTGCTTCAAGCTATAGATCTGCAGGTTGACGAGGTAGCTTTTTCACCTGTTTCTCATTCGCCTTGGACCACCAGGCTAGGTGGTGCAAGGTCTTCTCATGTCCATGATAGAGGGTCAGGTGTGTTAAGACCTAGGCTTGGAACTGGAACACTGCAACTTTTCTGCCCTTAAACCATTGATCAAACAAGTCACACGGCCAAGTCCAAAGCCAAGGTGTGGGGTCATAGTGTCTGCCTACCATGAAGCCAAAGGGTGTGGACGTAGGAAGGACAGAAAGGGATCAGTCATTCATTCTAATGTAACACGTTGTCAGAACAAAGAATGTGTCAGTACCCAAATGGATCTGAATTCATATAGCATTCATGTTTCTGCCATGAATTTCTGCACTGGTTACTATATTGGGATGTCATCTGGGGTCCCATGTAAGTAAGCTGTTGCAAATGGGCCTGAGAGATTACTTGCCAAATGACAGGGTTGCCCAGGACTTAGTGACCTTCCAGCTCTAGCATCCCATTATTTGCAGTTTGTAGAAGAAAACCGGGAGAACGTGAAAACCCAAAGAGAAGTGAGGGATCATGTCTTAGGAACCTGCATCCTTCCATCCTGCTTCGACTTCTCAACTAAATTCTTAAGTCCTGGAGTGCAGGTATCACCGAAATTTGCCCCATGCCTGAAATACATGGTAGTAGATGGTGACTCTGACAAGCGTGAAGTGACCTGAATCTGGGGGAAGTTTCTGGGTGAACAGAGAGCGCGGAGGATGCGCGGGTCATGCTGGAGGCGGGTCCCAGCCAGATGTGCACAGCCCGCCCCGCCCTCCCTCGCTCACCCCGTCCAGCTTCATCCGCAGAGGAGCCTCGGCCAGGCTTGCCAGGGCGCCCCCAGCCCCTCCCCAGGCCGCGAGCGCCCCTGCCGCGGTGCCTGGCCTCCCCTCCCAGACTGCAGGGACAGCACCCGGTAACTGCGAGTGGAGCGGAGGACCCGAGCGGCTGAGGAGAGAGGAGGCGGCGGCTTAGCTGCTACGGGGTCCGGCCGGCGCCCTCCCGAGGGGGGCTCAGGAGGAGGAAGGAGGACCCGTGCGAGAATGCCTCTGCCCTGGAGCCTTGCGCTCCCGCTGCTGCTCTCCTGGGTGGCAGGTGGTTTCGGGAACGCGGCCAGGTGAGTGTCTGACTGGCGATTGGCTTCCCCCCACCCCCGGCCTGAGGTCCCGCTTTGGGGCCCCATGTCTTTGCAGGCACCCCCGCGTGTATGGGTGTGAGTGTGCACGTGTGCCTGTGCGCGCTGCGACGGGATTTAACCTGGATACCAGGCCGGGAGCGCCCACGGGCTTTCCTCCCTGCTCTCCTGTGGCGGGGCTTTGCACCTAGTTAGCTCCTTTTGCATCAGCTGTGCCCCACCTGGCTGCGTCCGGAGGGTTGCAGGAGGAGGGAGGCTCTGCACGCAGACCCGTGGGTGCGTGCGGGCTTGATGGTCTGCAGACCTGCTGTAGGGGCAGGTGTGTGAGGGTTGGTATGCGTGTCGGTGGGTGGGTTCTGTGTCTGTGCGGTTTTGTGTTTTCCACTCTATTCACAGGACACCAAGTGCTTGTCAGTCGCTAGTTTTGCTGGGGAAGGAGGGAAAGAAACCGAGGACGATAAAGCATTTACTGTTCTTGAGCTGAGCCAGCCGGGCTGCTCTCCTCACTGCTCTCTGATTAGGGTTGATGAACTGGAAAGAAAGGACACGGTTGTCAGATGACAACCATTCTCATTCTTGCTATGGCAATGCAGACTCTGAAGCCGTTCCCTACTGCCCTTAAGCTTAGCTGAGACCTGAAATATTTTTTCCAGAGATCGGCAAAGACGCTTAGTAAATGCACGCTTACATGGTGACTGTCGACCTGGCACTGTTCTAAGCACTTCAGGACTATTAACCTACCCAAAGCCATAATGGCTCTGTGTGTAAGGTACTATTATCATCATCTCCGTGTTGTAGAAGAGAAAAACGAGGCACAGAGAGGTAAAGTAATTTGCCTGAGGAAGCATAGCCAGTAAGAGATGGAGCCAGGGTGCAAACCTAGGTATTCTGGCCCAAAGTCTGTTCTTCACCAGGGCACTAGGGCAGCCTTCCGGCAACGGAAGAGGTTTTCTGGTTCTCTAACTGTGATGTCTTGCTTTCTACTTAGGTGTCCACTAGAATATGGTTTTTCCACCGCAGCATTATTGACCTTTCGGGCTGGGCTGGATAATTATTTGTTGGGGTGATGGGCTGCCCTGTGCATTGTAGGATGTTTAGCAGCACCTGTGGCCTCTACTCACTAGATACTAGTAGCAACCTTGACCCCACCCCACCCCCCACCACCACCACCACCACCAAGTTGTGGCAACAAAAAAAAGGTTTGGGATATTGCCCAAGGTCCCTGGAGGGCACAATTGCTCCTAGCGGAGACTGCTGAACTATAGAAATTTTTCAGTGATGATTCCTGAGGAGAGTAGGATAAGAGCTTTGGTTTGGTACAGGCTTCTCGAAGGTTTGCCTATCTTTGTTTGACTTACAGGAAAAAATATTTCATCAGAGTTAGCCATGGTATTAAAGGATTTCGAAGTTAAAACAGAACAAACCTCAAACCAGGTTCTTAGAATGTATGATCGCAAGTTTCAATTTCCTTTTCATGATAAAAATGTAAGCAGATGCAATTTGCTCATAATCACATTTTCCTTGAATGCTAGAGGTTCTTGCGTTGCTAGAAAGCCCACTTAAAAAAGACCAAATGCTGTTTGGAGATGAGATTAATAGTTCTTTAGCGGCCAGCAAACTGACCTCCAGGAGCTTCACTTTCAAAGTGCCACCAAATTAAATTAAAAGCCAAAAGCCCCTGGATAAACCAAAGCATATTAAACTGGAGAATCCATGTCAGGATTCTGCAATTCTGCAGTTTTCAAGATGTGAACCATGGTTTCTTTAGACGATTATCAAGTTTATGAGCTGGTGTGTTTATTATTTGCTCAATGTGCTTGGAAATGTCAAGTGGTCAGCTCTTCAGGAATGTCCAGGACCCATGTTTAATCAGCTCTAGATTCCACATTATGGATAAGACACTGTTACAGAGAAGGCAAGGCACCCATTGCAGAAAACTGTGTCTACTGGTTATTTCCTGGGGTTTCACAACTTATAGGAAAAACTGTGGCTGCTGTATAGAGATTTCCAGTATAAGCATCAGTTCTTTTTAATTGAAACACTGCACTATGATTTTATAACCTAGAAAATTATGTGCTTCTTAAATGGTATTTAGTGCATAGTACACAATTAACGCTCATCAAATGAATAAATCATTAGCTCCATGCATGTACCTGCCCTTAAGCTTCAGAATTTGGCTTGCCTTATATTTTTTATGTCCTTTGGGTATTGGAACTATTTAGATACCCTAGACCTGTCCAATACAGCAAAGATGGTAACCAGGAGCCCCAAGTGGCTATTGAATACCTGAAATGTGACCAGTCCAAGTTGAGATGTGCTGCAAAAAGTATCAAATACACATCTAATTTTCAAAAAAAAGAACAGGAACTATCTCACTAATCATTTGATATTGATTACATGTTGAAATGGTAATGTGGATATACTGCATTAGATAAAATTGTTATTAAGATTAATTGCTTCTGTTTCTTTAGCATTTAAAAAATGTGGCTACTAGAAAATTTTAAATGGCATATATGGATATTTATTTCTATTGGACAGTGCTGGTCTAGAACACTTATTGATCTGAACTCCATCTCGAGTGTTCTAAGTCCTAACACTGGGATCTTTTTGCCTTGAGTACCTAAGATAAATATATTATTAACTTTGCTATTCTGGAGATTAACGTTTGGAGCAACTCCTTCCTTACAACATATTTCTGTTTTATATTTTTTTCTCTACTGAATTCAAGTAAAAATAATGTGAGAGAGGAGGGAATGACTAGGTTCCTGCTGAGAGGCTTTACTTACAGAGACCACATGCTATGTGGGTAATTGATTTTTCTCAAAGCCCTGGTAGCAAAGTGCCACTGTAAAAATTGGCCACAAATTCCATGGCTTAAAACAAGAGAAGTTTATTGTCTTACAGTTCTGAAGACCGGAAGTCCATAATGAATCTTATGGGGCTAAGATTAAGGCATCAGCAGGACTGGTTTCTTCTGGAGGCTCCAGGGAGGTTCCATTTCTTGTATCTTCCAGCTTCTAGAGGCTGCCAACAGTCCTTAGCTTGTGGCACAATATCTTTTTCCTTTGTCACTTTGCCTTCTCTCTGATTCTTCCTTGTTTTCTTCCTCCTAAGAAGAACCCTTGTGATTATATCAGGCCCACTCGGATAATTCAGGATAATCTGCTCATTGCAAGAGCCCTCACTCGATCACATCTGGAAAGTCCCTTTTGATATATAAGATAACATTTACAGGTTCCGGGGATTAGGATGTATACCTCTGCGGGGTGGGGGCGTTATTCAGCCTTTCACAGGAAGCCTGAGCTGTAAGTCTGTTGTTCTTATTTCTATGGGCTAGATTTTATCTTTAAACATGATTTTGGTGATTTTCGAATGATTGGTATATCATTTATTTCTTTATTCTTCAAGCTGTAATTTGTGAGAATGTACCCAAAACTAAAGAGCTGTGTGTTTCTGGGAAATAATAATCATCTAATTACAACTTAAAAATCATTTCTGGGCAGCCTTATTTCAATAGTTAGTTTCACTGGCTTAGAAAGTGTTAAAGTCCTATTTATATGTAATTCATGAGCATAAATCAAGGCTATGTAAACATTACAATGAAAATAAGTGTATTACCTAGTCTTCATAAATCAGATTGGCATTCAACAGATATTATTGAGGCCCTAGTCAGTGTCAACCATTTTCAATGTTATTTCAATCAATCCTCTCAACAACCCTAAGAAATGGGTATTGTGTTCATTTGACAGACAAGGGAATGGAGAAACTTGAAGAAATTAGGTGATTTCCCAGGAATTACATTTGATTTGGTCTTCTGCTCTAAGACCAGTGTTGTCCCACTATTCCAAATTTATTCCCTCAAAAAAAGTGAATACAGAAAAGCTGACATTTTTACAAAGGGCTTTCTTACAAATGATCACCAGTGATCCTGTTTAGCTTGACTCTAGTTCAGCACATTCAAGGGACATATGTAGAGTAAGTGCTCCATCCACCCAGTACCACCACTTTCCTTTCTAAGTTTGCATTTTCTCAGAAGCAGACTCTGTGTGTAATTTATTTGAGAGGTGACCCCAGGAAGTTCTGGTAGAGAAGTGGGGAAGTGGGACAGAAAAGGGAAAGAAGTGTCGTAAAAATAAGTCACCACTCTGTCAATCCTGCTGGGGAATTCTAGGAGACAGTAGAACACGAGAATCCTAGTTATCCCTTGTGAAGACAAGGGAGCCGGGGTGTTTGTAATCCCAACAGTCATTGGTTGAGGGCTTCTGGGGAAGGGGATTCTGCACTTTCAGCCTACTGTGCACACAGGAAGAGCTGGCTCCTGCCAAGACAAAAAGTTCTCAGGAATCGTGAAATGAGGCTGGTCAGGTTCCACAATGTGCCAACAGCTATTTGCCACTGAGCCAGTAAAACAGGGAACTACCACTGATGAACTTGTGCTCCTGGTGACAAATTTCAGGACAAAAACTCCTCTGAGGACAGTGGGGGCAGGACATGCAGGTATCCTGAGGTGATGTGGACTGAATTGTGTACTCCCTCAAGATTCATATGTTGAAGCCCTAACCCCACTACCTTAGAATATAATTACATTTGGAGATAGGGTCTTTAAAGGAGCAGTTAAATTAAAATCAGTTCATTATGGTGGGTCCTTATCCAATATGACTGCTGTCATAAGAAGAGGAGATTAGGGCCTTTCTCCCTCCCCAGCCATCTTGGTGGATGCTCTTGGCTGGGGGCCATCCCACACCTAAGACAGGAAGACTGTGGCTGCAAAAAAGACAAAAAAAAAAAAAAATCACCGGAGTCAATCAGCTGTAGGCTCCAACTCATTATGAAAAGTGAAAAGTACATGCTGGAGTACAAGAAGACTCTGAAGATGATCAGACAAGGCAAAGTGAAACTGTCATCCTTGCCAACAATTGTACAGCTTTGAGGAAATCTGAAATAGCATTATTACAGCATATTGGCCCAAACTGGTGTCCATCACTACAGTGGCAATAATAATGAATTGTGCACAGCATGCAGAAAATACTACAGATTCTGCACACTAGCTATCATTTATCCAGATGATTCTGATATCATTAGAAGCATGCCATAACAGGCTGGTGAAAGGTAAACCATACAAGATTATTCTTTACTAAAACTTGCCAAAGCTTATTTAAAACAAACAAACAAACAAACAAACAAACAAACAAACAGGCCGGGCATGGTGGCTCATGCCTGTAATCCCAGCACTTTGGGAGACCGAGGCAGGCAGATCACCTGAGGTTGGGAGTTTGAGACCAGCCTGACCAACATGGAGAAACTCTGTCTCTACTAAAAATACAAAATTAGCCAGGCATGGTGGTGCATTCCTGTAATCCCAGCTACTCGGGAGGTTGAGGCAGGAGAATCACTTGAACCCAGGAGGCGGAGGTTGTGGTGAGCTGAGATCATGCCATTCTGTCTCAAAAAACAAGCCAAAAAGAGGAGATTAGGACACAGACACACACACAGGAAAGACCATGTATGGACACAAAAAGAAGACAGCCATCTTCAAGCAAAGGAGAGAGGCTTCAGAGGAAACCAACCCTACCAACACCTTGATCTTGGTCTTCCAGCCTCCAGAACTGTGAGAGGATAAATGTGTGTTGTTTAAGCCACCCAGTCTGTGGTACTTTGTTATGGCAGCCCCAGCAAACTAATACATAAGGTACGTTCAGAAAAGATAGAAACCGCATAGGATCAAAAAACAAAAGTCCACCTGATCTTTATTTTCAGTTGAATGCAAATTGAAAACTGGCCTCACAAGCTATTTGACATTGGGGGTTTTAAGCAGGAAATGTCAGAATATGGATAATGGGCACATAGCAGCTAACTAGCATGGCAACATTGCTTTTTGATCCTTCAGAATTAGCTGCAAGTGATAGAAAACTCAAATAACCTTGGCTTAAGCAAGATAGACATGTGTTTCTCTTTCACAAAGGTGTGGGTAGTTGGGCTGATATGGCTGGCTTTCAATGGAGTCAGGGACCCAGATGCTGCCATTTTATGGGTCCATCAGAAGGCCCTCCCCTTGTGGCCTAAGATGGCTTCTTGAGCTTCAGCAAACATGTCCAAATTCCAGCCGTGTTGGGCCGTTCTTGCATTGCTATAAAGAAATACCTGAGACTGGGTAATTTATAAAGAAAAGAGGTTTAATTGGCTCACCGTTCTGCAGGCTTTACAGGAAGCATAGTGGCTTCTGCCTCTGGTGAGGCCTCAGGAAGCTTCCAATCATGGCAGAAGGTGAAGCGGGAGCAGGTGTCTCACATGGCAAAAGCAGGAGCAAGGGCGGGGAAAGGTGCCACACACTCATACACTTTTAAACAACCAAATTTCATGAGAACACACTCACTACCATGAGGACAACACCAAGGGGATGGTGCTAAACCATTCATGAGAAATCCACCCTCACGATCCAGTCACCTCCTGCTGGGCCCCACCTCCAACTTTGGGGATTACATTTAAACATGAGATTTGAGAGATAAATATCCCATCTGTATCACCAGCCAATAAGAGGAAATAAATGAAGAACATCATCCTCCCTTCACAGCCACATCCTGGAAGTGTTGCACATGGCACTTCTGTTTACATCCCATTGGCCGGAACTTAGTTCCATGGCCACATATTATTGAAGTGAAGGCTGGGAAATGTAGTCTATATTCTGAGTAGCTATGTAATAGGGGTCCTATTACTAAGAAGGAAGGGGAGAACAGAGATTGAGGTCCCACTGGCAATGTTGACCATGTGTAAATTACAGATCACATCTCCAATTATATAGATGAGTAAACTGAATTTCAAAAGGATAGATTGTTAAATGATTTGCCCAGAATCTCACATTGAACAAGTGACAGATTTAAAAGCCATGGTGTTTCCCAAGGATGATTAAGTCACTTTTCATGAAATATTTTACCCAGAGAGATCAGTAGTACTTCTAGTTTCATCAGTTAACTTGCTGGGTCCCAGTGGGTAAGTTTTAATAACTGACCTGTTTTCAATGTGAAGGTCTTGTTTATGAAAAAAAAATATAAAAAGTGTTAAAATTAATTCAGTTTAATGCAACATTAACTGAACAGTTGATGTGCCCAAACATTCTTCTGAATGCCAGAGATTCATAACTACTGCCTCCCTCACTAGACAACTTCATAGGGCCATCAAAATGTCTTTCTTTCCTTTTTGGCCAGGGAAGCCAGGGAGGAAGGATACAAGTCCAGGTTCTAGCCCAGTGCCTGGCACATAGTAGGTGCTGAATTAAAAGTTAGGTAAATTAATAAATGACCAAGGAAGGGGGATGGAGAGGCACATAATGTTATTTATATATGAATTTTATATATATATATATATATATATATATATATATATATATATATACATACACACACACACATACAGTATAGCATTTCAAACAATGAATATATGTCTATATGCATATGTATAAACATATAAAACTATAAGTTTATATAGGGTGTATATATATACATATTATATATATACATATATATAAAAACATATAAAACATTCCACAGAATACAGATAAGAGAGAAACTGAGTCCACATGAGAGAATCAGGGAAAACTGAATACAGTGGATGACACTTATAGTGTTCTTATGGAGCAAATGTGAGCCCACCTGCTATAAAATGGGCATAGAAAGCAAACATTCCAATGCTTAATTCCTAGTAGGTATTGCATAAGAGTAAATGAATGGATGGATAGATACATACCTGCAAAAAGAATGCATAAGGTGAGCATCAGCCCAAGATACAGAAAGTGGACTGGCCAGAATCTTAGGTAATAAGCCCAGTGGCTGCCAAGAGGCAAAGAAGGCAGGCTGGAACCAGGCTGTGAGGAGCCCAGTACACTGAGCCAAGGAGTTTGGACTTGGTTCTGACAACAATAGCGAGCAAACAGGCCATTGCAGGCTCTGTGTTCTTTAAAGTTAACACGATCGTGACTAATTCATGCACAGAATTATGACAAAATTGCACAGAATTATTAAGGTAATGAGCTATAGTTTAGTTTAATTGGCAGCATTTTTCTTTTCTAATGTACATAGTAATAGAATGCTTATAATCTATGATATCTCAGATTTAATGAATTTAAGTACAAAATTAAAACTCAAAATACCAAAGCAACAAACGTCAACAAAGATCATCACCTTGCTCTTCAGTACGTTCTGCTTGGTTTCTGGATATCACATTTATTAGTTATCTATTGCTATGCAACAGAATACTTCAAAATTTAGTGGCTTACAATGAGATACCATCTCACACCAGTTAGAATGGCAATCATTAAAAAGTCAGGAAACAACAGGTGCTGGAGAGGATGTGGAGAAATAGGAACACTTTTACACTGTTGGTGGGACTGTAAACTAGTTCAACCATTGTGGAAGTCAGTGTGGCGATTCCTCAGGGATCTAGAACTAGAAATACCATTAGACCCAGCCATCCCATTACTGGGTATATACCCAAAGGATTATAAATCATGCTGCTATAAAGACACATGCACACGTATGTTTATTGCAGCACTATTCACAATAGCAAAGACTTGGAAGCAAGCCAAATGTCCAACAATGATAGACTGGATTAAGAAAATGTGGCACATATACACCATGGAATACTATGCAGCCATAAAAAATGATGAGTTCATATCCTTTGTAGGGACGTGGATGAAGCTGGAAACCATCATTCTCAGCAAACTATCGCAAGGACAAAAAACCAAACACCGCATATTCTCACTCATAGGTGGGAATTGAACAATGAGAACACTTGGACACAGGAAGGGGAACATCACACACCGGGGCCTGTCGTGGGGTGGGGGCAGCGGGGAGGGATAGCATTGGTAGATATACCTAATGTAAATGACGAGTTAATGGGTGCAGCACACCAACATGGCACATGTATACATATGTAACCTGCACGTTGTGCACATGTACCCTAAAACTTAAAGTATAATAAAAATAAATAAATAAATAAATAAAAATTTAGTGGCTTAAAGCAACATTTATTATTTCACACATTTTCTGTGAATCAGGAATTCAGGAGCAGCTTAGCAAGATGGGGCTTGGGGTTTTTTTAAGACATTTTTTAGGGCAGTTTTAGATTCATAGCAAAAGGGCTTGGAGTCTTTTAATTCTTATTTTAGGTTCAGGGGTACCTGTGCAGGTTTGTTATATAGATAAATTCACGTCATGGGGGGCTGTTTTACAGATTATTTTGTGACCCAGGTACTAACCCTAGTATCCAATAGGTATTTTTTCTGCTCCTCTCCCTCCTCCCACCCTCCACTCTCAAATAGGCCCTGGTGTGTGTTGTTCCCCTCTTTGTGCCCATTGGTTCTCATCATTTAGCTCCCACTTATAAGTGAGAACATGTGGTATTTGGTTTTCTGTTCCTGCATTAGTTTGCTAAGGATAATGGCCTCCAGCTCCACCCATGTTCTTGCAAAGAACATGATCTCATTCTTTTTATGGCTGCATAGTATTCCATGGTGTATATGTACCATAGTATCTCTGTCCAGTCTATCACTGATGGGCATTTTGGTTGATTCCATGTCTTTGCTTTTGTGAATAGTGCTGCAATGAACACTGTGTGCATGTGTCTTTATGGTACAATGATTTATATTCCTTTGGATATATACCCAGAAATGGGATTGCTGGGTCAAATAGTAGTTCTGTTTTTACTATTTACAAATAGTAGTTCTGTATCTACTATTTCCTCAAATAGTAGATTCTTTGAGGAATCGCCATACTGCTTGGGCTTGGAGTTTTTCACAAGGTTACAATCAAGTTGTTGATCAATGCTATAGTCATCTGACATCTTGACTCTGGCTGGAGGATCTGCTTCCAAGACGGCGTACTCACATGGCTGTTGGCAGGAGGCCTCAGCTTCTCTCTATGTGGACCTCTCCACAGGGCTGCTTGAATGTTCTCACAACTGTTAGCTGACTTCCCCCATAGTGACTAATCCAAGAGAGAGAGCAAGGAGGAAGCTACAATGCCTTCTGTGTCCTAATTTCGGAAGTTACCCCCATCACTCCCACAGTATTCTTTGTTAGATATCAGTCACTAAGTACAACCCCACATAAAAGGAGGGGAATTAAACTTCACCTTTTGAAAGGATGAGCATCAGATCATTTATGGACATATTTTAAAACCGTCACAGCATACAACACATTCTGGTTTGCCTTCGCCCACACTTGTTACTCTTCCCTTCTTCAACAGGATTTAAAGTGCTGTATTTCCACAGAGATTAATCTCTGACCCTATTTTCTTTCTTATTTACACTCTCCAGGTTATCTTCCCAGTCCCAGCACTTTCAATGCCATCTATATGTATATTCATGTCTTCAAAATGTGAATCTCAAGCCCCAGCCTCTTTCTGCTGCATTCTTGACCGATTCATTGAGATGTCTCACTGAGCCTAAGACATCCAAAACTGAACTCTTGATCATCATTCAGAACTTGCTTCCCTCCACTTCACCCTTTCTCCCCACCCCAGAACAAACAGCATCCAAACTGGCTCAAGCCAAAAACTGGGGTATCATTGCTGACAGGTGGGGTTCTTCCTCCCCACTTGTATTACATCTGCTACTAAGTCCTGTTACAAACCATGTCTCAAGTCCATCTCCTTCTATCCCCACTCTCTGCCCCTGCCTACCATCATCCAGCTACACCACCATTATCTCTCACCTGAACCACCACAATAGCTTCCTTTTACTTTTTCTTTTGCTCCCTCTAGTCCATGCTCCAAAGTGTTCCTCTTAACAGTTAAATTAGACCATGTCAGCCCTCTTCTTAAAACTTTTCAGTGACTTTCCACCAGATTAAGAATAAAATTCATTCTACTTAAAATGACATAAATGGCTCTACTTGACCTAGACTTTGACTACTTCTCTAACTCCATCTTCCATCTTATATCATTCTCCCCCATGCTTACTATGAATGAATGAATGAGAGGGAGAATAAATGTAGCTGTCTTGATAACACTTGCTTTATTGACTGCCTTCCCTTCCTAGTCTCACTTCCCCACTCCTTTATCAACGTTCCCTTCACCTCCTAAGTAAACCACTTCCATGCAAATTCTTGTCTCATGGTCTGCTTCTGGGGTAGCCAAAACCAAGACACTCCCCATCCCCAATCTCCACATAACTCCTGAGCTTGGAAGATAAATGAGGGAAATAGAGGAAGCAATGGAAAGTTCCAACTTTTGCCTGAAGTTTACTACTATCCCTACCAGTCATGGCATTAGAAATTTGAGGACACATCAACACACACTAGTATAGGAGAGCTTTATAACCCAGGCAAGTTTTTCACTGGGCACATAAGCCCCTACACATCTGGGAAAGTGAGATGTCTTGGGGTATCCCTGGACCCGCTGGACTTGTACTCTGTTTCTTGATGGTAGATGGGAACCCAGACTTAATTTTAACTGGCTAAGTACAGTGAACTTGCCATACTGGGAGCTATGATAAAAAAAATAACAAAAATCAAAACCACCGCCAACAAAAATCTTCATGGCTGGACCTTGTTGTCCCTATTTAGAAAATCTTTTATTTCATTTATATGGCAATATTTAAATGTATTTAAACATCGGCAAAAGAAGTTTAATTTCTCAATTTGTCTTGGAGAATATCATGAAGTTTTCTGGAATCTGACCATAAACAAACATACTAAGAATTCTGGCACAGTATATTTTTGCAGAAAATAAGGAATCCTATGAAGAAATACTACACTACTTACACAATCCCTGGAATGTTTTTAAATTAACTTCAGCTGTGGAGACGGCGATTTTCTGATTAATTTGATCAATGTAGACAGCAAGCTGTATAATGCATTAAAGAAACTGGGCAATTCAGCATTTAGCTAAGACTCCCACAGCTCAGGGCTTCCACTCCACAGAGACTTGTTCACCTACATTAGCATTTCCCTGTCTCAAGACTCGGTTCCCTGAGCCTCATATGTGCAAAATATTGTTTAGGAAGAGACAGAGAGAGAGTGAGAGAGAAGCTGGCCAGTCCATCTAGACCTTCCAAGGTGGCAGAGGATGTTGATGGGATTAGTACAGTCCAAAATTAGATATTCTATTTCTTTTCTTTTTTTTTTTTTCTTTTTGAGATGGAGTCTCACTCTGTTGCCCAGGCTGAAGTGCAGTGGCGCAATCTCGGCTGACTGCAAGCTCTGACTCCCGGGTTCACGCCATTCTCCTGCCTCAGCCTCCTGAGTAGCTGGGACTACAGGCCCTGCTACCATGCCCGGCTAATTTTTTGTATTTTTAGTAGAGACGGGGTTTCACCATGTTAGCCAGGATGATCTCGATCTCCTAACCTCTTGATCCGCCCACCTCGGCCTCCCAAAGTGCTGGGATTACAGGCGTGGCCCACTGCGCCCGGCCGAGTTGATTCTTAAACAATTACTTCCATTTTTTAACAAATGAGAGTGATGTAGATTTGATGGCAAATCTCCTATATCTTTCGACAGAACTATAATACTAAGATGCTTTTGTGACTGAGAAAGGAATTCCTTACAGCAGATAAGAAATCTTAATTTATTAACAAAGTTAATAAATTTTTGATGGCCCAAGTGTTAGTCATTAACATTTGGGGGAGTTTTATAAGTAACACTTTATACGACATCAAAAACAATGATTTGGGAGAAATTAATACACCTCAGATTTCTCAGTTTCACCTTTTCACCTGAAAGCAGGCATGTGAAAGCAATAAAGATTGAGAAAATGAGGATTTCTCTGGAGAGTTGTGGTAATGTCAAACAGTATATGAATTTTATCTTCTGGTAACTGTCTCCTGTTAGTTAACCCCAGGCAGTATTCTTTGCAATCCCAAGTAATTGACTTTGACTGGTACATATGAAGTAGGTTTGACCACCTGTACCAAGGACTCGTGGCTGGTTTCTGATTAGGCTTTTTAAAAATATCAGATTTCAACAAATTTCTATTTGGTTTTGTGTGATTTCACATCTAACTGTTTCAGAAATATTGTTGGAGCTTAGTGAGCTCACCCTACTTCTAAGGAGGCTGTTTTGTGTATTACAAAATTCTTGATATTTCCAACTGCTTGAAATCTACCTGTCACTGTCTGAAGCCTGCAGGAGGGACACAGGCCTTTTTCTTTTGCCCCCTGCTGTTTCCCTGCGCCTTCTCTATCCCACCATTCCCCTGCTGCCCTTCTCACTCCTGCTCCTAACACACACCACGATCTACACTCAAATTTTCAGGCCACCAACTCCCCATGTTCTTAATGGTGCTGTCCTTGGCACAGGCTATTTTTTCTGCCTGGAACACCTTCCCCACCATACAGCCTCCTCCCACTTCTCCTAAGTTCCATGGCTAAGTTCCATTCATATTGAGCCCCATTTCCTCCAGAACACCCCTCACCCACCCATCCCAATGTACTAACTTCCATATCTCCCCCTAGCTCCTGAGAACTTGCCCCTTTGGTAGGGTCATATGTTGGAATATAATGGGGCTTCTCTCATATACCTCCTGTAGTCTCAGTGCCTAGTACAGTGCCTGATGTGTGTAGTTACTTAATAAATTTTGGGTAGACAAATGAGTAGGTGAATAGTTTGGTGAAGTGTGTTCCCCTCTGGCTCCTAATACCAATGAAATACTCAGTTTTTCTTGGCCTTAGTTTCTTCATGCACAAAATGATAGGTTGGAACCAGATGATATCTAAGGTTGCTTTCTTTAAGGTGAAATTCTATGATAATCTCCCCTTAGAATGAACAGTTATTCCTACAAACATAAAAAAGGCAAGTCACATGGAACCTGTGACAGCTATGAGGATGTGCCTCGCAGACATCCAACTGCAGGGAGCATAATTGACCCAGGGTCCCAACTACTCTGCTCTTGGAAATCCAGCACCACTTTTAAGTGAGGCTGCAACTCCCACAGGCTGCTGCCACCAATGACTGAGCATGGCAGGGATACTAAGGCAGGTCCTTCTGTGGGAAACGTGGCTCTCCTCTGAAGGTCAACACATCTGATAATATTAATCCTACTACTACGAATAATAAAAGCAATCAATTAGGGAGCATTTACTGTGTTAGTCACCATTCACAGCCCTTTACATATATTTAATGATTTCATTATCACAAATACCCTTAAGGTAAATACTGTTGTTTTCCCTGTTTTAGAAAAGAGATAGCTAAGGCATAGAAAGACAAAGTAACTTGCTGAAGGTCAGAGTTAATATATAGTAGAGCCAGAATTCAAACCCAGGAAGGAGACCATAGTCCTGACCACCATGTTATGCAGCCTCTCAACATTCAGAGTTGATCCCACTCTCTTACTAGAAAAACTCTCCTCATTTGGCTTTCCCAACAATGTACTAACCTGGTGTTCCTCTGAGCATTGCCTGGGCCTCTTTCTGGACCTTCCTGCTCTTTGGTCCATCTCTTACATGCTGGCATCTTTGGGACTGTGCCCTAAGCCTCCTTCTTTTCTTACACTACATCCACTTCTGTAGAATCAGTTACCATCTACCTGCAGATGATTCCCAAATATAGTTCTGCTTCCTGGACTCCTCACCCAAATATCCAACTTCCTACTCAACACCTCTTCTAGGTTGTCCGTCTAATGAGTACTCAAAATCAGCATGTGCCAAAGAGAATTCATCATCTATCCTATTCCCTAACGTGTTCCTCCACCCATATTCCTCATTCCAGAAATACAGTGCTAACATCTACCCGATGGTGCATCCCTCTGACGCTCTATATCCAATCGACTAGGATATAAGCTCCATGAGGACAGAAATCTTATTTCCCTTTTGGTTGCTGATGAACTTCTGGAAACTAGCCCAGTGTCTGATACATTATAGGCACTCAATAAATACTTGTTGAATGAATGAATGAATGAATCACTCTAATCCATTACCAAATCTTTTGGTCCCACTTTGATGCCATTCATTTCTCCTTACCTCCACTGCTTCTGCTCCAGTCCAAGCAACCAGAATCTATCTTCTGAGCCAACTGGTATCTTTTCTTCCATTCTGTCTCCCTCCAATCTATCTTCCAGACTGCTTTCGTGGTACTGTTTTTCAAGAGAAAAACCTTATCAAATAACATTCCTACTTAAAACCCTTCAGTGCTGTTCTATTGCCATTAAGATGTAAAACCCAAAGCCCTAACTTGATTCACAAGACCCTCTGTGATGTAGCCTCTGCCAACCTCTCGGGGCTCATCTCTCACAAGCTGACTCCTCCCTCCCTTTGTTGTAATCCTCTGGTCATCTACTCATTCCTCAAGCACAAGCATGGTGTCTTTTACCTCTTAGTCTGCACTCATTCTATTCCCTTTGCCTCTAATATTCTTTCACTTTATGTGGTTGAACCCTGTTTGTCTTAAGTCTAATTTAAAGTTTGCACCTTCAAAGGGAACATCTGGGACCCTTTAGACTGGATTATGTTTCTTTGATTTAAGCTTCTGTAATAGACTGAATATATTGAGTGCCTCTGTTACCCTGAACCCCTTGTCTAAAAGCTCATGAGTAGGGGACCCTCTATGCCAGGATTATAAGTGTATCCTCAGCACCTAGCACTATAGTCCATACATATTAATGCCCTATTGAGGATTATACTGATTTTTTTTTTGGCATCAGGAAATAGGTAAGGTCCTTCCTATTGTGATTGGGGAGCATATTGCTTGCAAACCTGCAGTCAAGAAGTTGACAGATCATCTCTAAGATTTTGTTGCTAGATTGAATTCTAATTAAATGAATCCCACATTTCTTATAAAAATATGAAATTAAAATTCCAAAGGCAGAATTTCCCCCATACAGCTTTTCTTTCATCATGTTTTCTTTTGAAATCCAACTCAAATGTCACCTACCCTGTGACATTTTCCTCCTCTTTCCCAAGCAAGGTTAGTTCCTCTCTCCATTCTGCTCCCCCAGGCATCAGCTTCATGTTGTTAAAGGAAGAGGTAAAAGCAGATTGTAGTACTTTGTCAAGGTTTCTCACAGATGTGTATGGTTAAGAAATGGACTTACTGTTTATCTATGTGGAAGGGGTTTTTCACCAAGGTATGGGGATAGTTGTTTTTACCAACAAATTTCAATCTTGTTTTCAAATCTTAAAAACATCAAAACAAATAACCCAGTTAAAAAATGGGCAAAGGACCTGAATAGACATTTATCCAAAGAAGATATACAAATGGTCTATAAACACATGAAAGACACTTAATAGAGAAATGCACATCAAAACAAGATGCTACTTCTCAAGCATTAGGATGTCTAGAGTTTTTAAAAATGAACAATAACAAGTGCTGGTGAGGATGTGGAGAAATTGGAACTCTCATATATTGCTGATGGGAAAGTAAAATGATATAGCCATGTTGGAAAACAGTCGGGCAGTTCTTCAGAAAGTTAAATATACAACTATAATATGTCTTAGTCAGTTCAGGCTGCTATAACAAATTACCATAGGTTGGGTGGCTTATAAACAATAGAAATGTATTTCTCACCATTCTGAAGGCTGGAATTCCAAGACTAGGGTGTCAGCATGGTCAGGTTCTGGTGAGGGCACTCTTGGGTTGCAGGCTGCCGACTTCTCAAGCTCTCTAGCCTTTTCTTATTAGGGCACTAATCCCATTCATAAAGGCTCCAACCCCATGACCTAATTACCTCCCAAAGACCCCACCACCAAATACCATCACATTGGGATTAGGGTTTCAATATATGAATTTTGGAGGACACAAACATTCTGTCCATTGCACCATATGACCCAACAATTCCACTCCTGTGTATATACCCAAGAGAAATTAAAACATATGTCCACACAAAAACTTGTGCACCAATGTTCATAGCAACATTATTCATGATGACCAAAATGTAGAAACAACTTAAATGTCTATCAACTGATGAGTGGATAAATAAAATGTGGTATATCCATATTATGGAATATTATTCAGCAATAAAAAGAAATACAGTACTGTTACAAGCTACAACATGGATCAAACTTGAAAACATACTAAGTTAAAGAAGCCAGATACGGAAGGCTACATATTGTGGGATTCCATTTATATGAAATATCCAGAACAGGCAAATCCAGAGACAAAAAGCAGATTTGTGGTTGCCAGGAGATGAAGGGAGAAGTTAGTTAAGATGAACTGCTCATAGGTATAGGGTTTATTTTTGGGGTGATGGAAATATTCTGGAACTAAATAGAAGTGATGAGTGCATAACATAGTGAAAATACTAAAAACCACTGAAGTGTATACTTTAAGAGGGTGAATTTTACGTTATGTAAATTATATCTCAATTTTTAAAATACTAAAGTAAAAAAATTATTAAGGACATCACTGTATTTGGACTGGCACTTATTTACTCAGCATACTTTATGGTTAGTTGCCCATAGTTTCTTCTTTTTTACTGATACAAAATATTTTACATATTTATGGGGTACATGTGAGTGTTACATGCATAGACTATATCATGATCCAGTTGTACTTGGGGTACCCATCAAATACTCAAATACCTTGAGTATTTACCATTTCTATGTGTTGGTAATATTTGACATCCTCTCTTCTAGCTACCTGGAAATTTACAATACATTGTTGCTAACTGTAGTCACCCTGCTGTGCTACAGAATATTGGAGTTTATCATAGGTTCTTTGGAAACTGTTAGGCGCAGACTGGGTCAAGATTGTGGTATCCCTTGCAGAATTGTTAGGAATATACAAATTAGATTAGACACATGGCTGCATTATTTCTCAGTCAAAACTCTTTAGCAGAGCATTTTAATAATATTTAGCATGCTATCCTATACTTGAATGCATATGTTTCCAATAGACTGTGAACTTAAGAGAGCAAAGACCAGGCCCTTTTCGTCACTGTACTCTATGTGCCTGAGACAGTACTTGGTACATAGCAAATGCACAATAAATGTTTTGCTTTAAAGTACTACTACTTAATGAAAGAAAAGTTTACCTTCCAGGGGACATTTGGCAATGTCTGGAGACATTTTCGTTTGTCAGAACTAGAGGGGTGTGTGCTACTGGCAACTGTAGATAAAGACCATTGTTAAATATCCTACAATGCACAGGACACCTCCCAACAACAAACAATGATCTGGCCCAAAATATCAGTTGTGTAGAAGTTGAGAAACCCTATTCTAAATGTTTGAGTGACTTATGAATCCCTAAAATTAATTCCATTAAAAAATGAAAAAAAGTTCTCTTCAAGAAAAAGTAAATGTTAAAATCATCCTCCCATTTGGTGCTCTCAGTAAATGAAATGTCTCAGACCATATCTTTATAGCTCTTAACTGAGTAATCACATTTGTGGGAGAGGCAGATCTTGAGGGAAATCTACAAGGTTGTTTAACTTCCCGACCTTGACTTAGATATTATTAACTTGCATGAAGTTCAGTTCTGTAGCAGAAAGCACATGGTAAAATGTGCATTCCTTTGTCTGTTAAAGAGCCCAGGAAACATTTTTACAGTGTATTTAATATGTGTAAGGAAATAATCACAGCCCTCCACTAAACATACAATGCAAGTATTTTCCTTCAAAGTCTGGTAGCAACCCTGTCCAATACCAGGACAGTAAGTAGGTAAACATGCAGTGAGCTTCATCCATGGCGGCACTACTTGGGGGCACTTGGTGGGGGACAGGGGGCTCACCTTTTTCAGGCATCTAGATCAGGCAAGCTACAGCCTGCTGGCCAAAGCTAGGTGATCCCCTCTTTATAAACAGCCCATGAGCGAAGAACAGTTTTTACATTTTTAAATGTTAGAAGATGGAGCAAAAGGAGAATACCATATCATGACACAGGAAAATTATATGCTATTCAAATTACAGTGTCCATAAATAAAGTTTTATTGGAACACAGTCATGCGCATCTGTTTACTATTGCCTATGGCTGCTTTTGTACTTGGACAGATATCTTATGGCCCTACAAAGCCTAAAATACTTACCATCTGGCTTTTTACAGAAAATGTTTGCCGATCTCTGCTCTAAAATTAAGCAGTTTAGCAAATTGGGTTTCCAGGAGGTCAATGGGAACGAGCCCTGGGCTAGAATTCCCAACACCCAGCTCTGCTGGGGATGTGACTCCACTCCATTGGACTGGAGTTTCCTCCTCTGTAACATAAGAGGGCTTTGCTGAACGAGCCCTTCCAACTCTTAATCATCTATAGTGTATGTTGATTCCAGTCTATTCAATGGTTCCCAGGTGCCAGTGGGATAAAAGTGCAGAGCTCTGGTCTGGGACAAAGCCACAGGATTAGAAAGTGACTGAAATAGACAAAGAACTGGATAGTTGCTGTGCGTATACAGAGCAGATCTGAAAAGTGACACTCTACAAGGTTCAAAAACATATACTTTGGACATCTTCATGTGCCCTAGTTTTATAGATTCTTTTAACCGTGGGGAAGAAGGAAATGGTTGAAACTAATTATTGAGGAAGGCTGGCAACCCCAAAATTCAGGTTTTCAAAATCTAATTTAGCACTTACTGCGGGTTCGTTGAAATTAACCAGGTAATTGACATCTCTGGTTCTTTTAGTAGTAGGGAAGAGTTTCTGTTGTCTTTTCTATTTTCTCAATACTAACATGTAGTTCTTTATCTGCAGTGCAAGGCATCACGGGTTGTTAGCATCGGCACGTCAGCCTGGGGTCTGTCACTATGGAACTAAACTGGCCTGCTGCTACGGCTGGAGAAGAAACAGCAAGGGAGTCTGTGAAGGTAATTTTGTAAAAACTCAGACCCTGCACTTGGATCAGGGCCCTTAGGTTTTTATCTGTCATACCATGAACTGCCACAAAATTGCCAGTGGATCTCTCAGGCAAGGACATGCATAACTACCAATAACCAAGGTCTGGGTTCCTATGAGATCTCTTCCCAGACAAAATGTGGCTGACGCCATCATACTTGGCATGATTTATTTTAGAAGACTGTCTTGTCAATTATTTTTGTGATTATCTTAATGAGTATGACTGGGTTGTTTGTTTTTGGTTTTCTTTTTAATCTAAAGGAACTAAGATGGGCAAAAGCAGGCTGGTAAATTTCTCCTCTAATTATAATTTAAGTGATTTCCAATGCAATAAACTTTAATTATTAATCACCCAACCAGTAGGCTTCAGCCACAAAATAAGTACACCTTTTAGCTTATAGATTTGTAACTCACATTTTTAAAATTCATACTGCCAATTTCTAAATGCTTTCAAGGTACATATGCATATATGCAAAGATTTTAAGTATTTTGCTGATTTTTTTGTACATTGCAAACCAAGGAACCATAATTTGCCTTGGACATTGTTTCTCAGACTATGTGTTAGGAACTCCGAGAGAGGCCTCTGATCATTTCAAGGAGGTTGGGAAGGGCAGAGATGAGCATAAAGTTTTTGCCTTGTTTTTCTTTTTATGACTTTCCATAACGACCAACACTGGCAGTGTAGCAGAACCAAATCCACATTCCTCCTGACTGTCTCACCAGGGGTGTATTCCTTCAGGGCAGTAGTCTACTCTCACTGTCCCTGTGTCCTTCAGTAGGTAGCATGTGCCTCATCCTAAGTTATTTATCTATTAAATGGGATAACAACACAGTTGCAGGTCCCATAAAAGCACTAACATGTTAGCTATTTTTAGGAATAACAATGCTACCTTCTTTTTGCTAGTCTGTTCCTGCCCCAACCTCCTTCTCTCTGGCTGGTTAAAAAATATCTGGATTGACCATAAGTGGGGTCAGAACTTGATAATATCCAAAATCTATAAAACAATAGAAAACATTGATATCGTTCCCACATGTTCCATATTATGCAAAACCTTCTGCCATCATAGTTTGCTTGTGACAAGATGACAAGAGCATAAAAATACTAGACAAAAACAAAGATCATCATTGCCCACTTAGATAAAGGAAGTTAGAATATCCTCCTGGGACTTGTGTCAATTAAAAGGGTGGGTCCTCATCCTGATTGGATTGATAGTGTCATGATCAAGGGCATTGAGAACCAGACTGACGTGGGTGACCTTGGGCAAGCTAGCTAAGGTAAGCTAGCTAAGGCTCAATTTCCTCCTCTGCAACCTGGAGAGAGCAATACCTACCTCTGAGAGTAAGGAATGTATGCATTAAAGGGTGAGTTCATTACCTGGCATGCATAGAAAATACCTCATAAATTACCATTCCTTCAGGAAGGACCAATAATTCTCATCACAGACTTCTCGTCATTAAAGCACCAGGTGATGGGGGGATTAAATGTGGCTTTATTCTTTTGCTAGACACAACATAACACATTTTTATTTGAAGTCAGTCAGGTGGAAAGGGGCAAAAACCACGTGAAACACATGATTTAGAGTCTCTCTTACAGTTGCACGAACATCAGCGTCTACTGCCATAAAACTTGTGAGACCCAGCATGTCGCTGGTGAATAAATGAAGGCAAGGTGTTAAAAGGGCAAGTGCAGGGGGTTCAAGCAAAATGCTCACTATGCAAGTTTTGCAAGCTGAAGAGACGGTCAGCACACCTACTGCTCCAGTCAAATGTTCAGGTCTTAAATTGCAATGATTTTTAGATCTAAAATGTGTATCATGTTTTATCCAATTTGCATGGTCCTTCTTGATGGTAAAGTCATGTTTCTTGAAGCACCAAATAACAGGGTAGTTATTCCCTGATTGCTGGGTTTCTGATTTCTAAGCCAGAGTTGTGGGATGCATGATAATAAGAATACACATCAACCTGCCCCAACAAGGAGAGCCAGACCCCAGGCTGTGAGGTCACAGTCTACCCAGGCCTTCCCCTCTGTCCATCTATTTGCCCTTCACTCCTTTTGAAGCCCTGCCTCTATGTATCCTGGAGCCTTCTAGCTCTCAGCCTCTACCCTGTCTAAATCTCCTCCCAAGGCAGGGTCTCATCAGTTCGATATCATTAACCTTAAAATGTATGCCACTTCAGTGAGATGAAATACAGAATTGTCCATAAACAAGTACCTGATGAAAAGCTTCAGATAGAGAAGTTTGGGGGAGAACCAAATAAGACTTTTACTTTGTCTAAATCATGCTTCAATCTCAGGCCATTTTAAACACAAACTGAATTTCCCTTGCTGTCGATTGGCTGTTGAAGTCACAGATCCAAAGTTACTGTAAATTGAAAACATCTTACTGAAGCTTTAACCTTATAGCAAGGGTATTATTCACCATTTCTCCTATGTTCTATTTGGCATTTATGCTGGGCTTTCCTGTCTGGACCACATTGGAAATCAGTTTCCAGGGAACAACTAGAGGTCTTCAGGGCTTAAAAAAAAAAAAAAAGATTTATTTTTCTAACATCTGAATTTAAAGTTGCAACTCCAAGTACATATCCATAACAAAGTAGACACTGGAAATTAAATTCTCTCTCTTTTGTCTCTAAAAGTGGAAAAACCTTGCTGGGGAAGCATTTTTCCCTTATGATTTGTTCAGGGCCATAAAATGTTCCCCCATTAAAAGTTCTACAGTAATTACTTTATTCATTATTCAAAAATATTCAAATATTTAACATGTTTACAACACTATATTAAATGCTACAGGGGAAACAATGATGAATGTTTAAGTCCCTGTCCTGAAGGCACTTGGAAACAAGTAGTGGATGAAAGACAAGCACTGTAGCCAAATATATGCCTCATTATTTAATAAGACAAAAACTGATCAGTTGCACAGGAGAGGCCTGCCAAAGTTCTGTGGAGTTCTCGAAGTTGAGTGGGCATTCATAGGTGGCTGGAGAAATCTGTAAAGGCTTTTAGAAGAAGGGGCCATGCAAGGTGGTCCTTGAAGAATGGGGAGGATATGAACTACTGGAAACCCAGGGAAGAGTATCCTAGGGAGGGGTAGGAAAAGGTAGAAAGTAAAGGGTAGGTCTAGAGAATAGCAAGCAATATCTTTTGCCCACAGTGTTGCCTTTGTCGGGGGGGTGGGGGGGCTAGAAAAGAAGGGGGAGGCCAGATCAGGCTAGGTTCTTTCTTTTTTTTTTTTTTTTTGACAGAGTCTTGCTTTGTCACCCAGGCTGGAGTGCAGCAGCGCAATCTCAGCTCACTGCAACTTCTGCCTCCTGTGTTCAAGTGATTCTCCTGCCTCAGTCTCCCAAGTAGCTAGGATTACAGGTGCCCGCCACCACGCCTGGCTAATTTTTGTATTTTTAGTAGAGATGTGGTTTTACTATGTTGGCCGGGCTGGTCTCAAACTCCTGACCTCAGGTGATCCACCCTCCTCGGCCTCCCAAAGTGCTGGGATTACAGGCTGGAGCCACCATGCCTGGCCAGATCATGCTAGTTTTAACTTGGTTATGATACCTGTACTGTATTCAGGAGGGAACAAAGATTATATTATGACCTCTGTGCAAGGCGTGGCATGATCAGAGCTATGCTTTTGGACTATTAGTTTAATGTCGTGTCTGACATAAAGTTTGCTAGGAGCAGAGCCTGAAAGGGGGATTCTTGTACAAATATTCCATTGAAAGGTATCTTACGAGCAATTTGCAAGGGAGTGAGGGAGCATGGGAAGCGGCTAGGCAGAGATATGGTTTCAGAAGAAGTCTAGCTTCAGCCTGATCCCACAGGGACCTCTAGGGGGTTAATTGCACCAGAGTTTGTCCTGCCAAGAAACAAGGAACTAGGCTGTTAGACTCCTGCATCAGTGAGGCACTGGTCACAAGCTGTGGTGGGGAAAGCAGGGAGAGGGATTCAGCATCATCTTCCAAGTATCTGTGGGCAAGGTAGTTCCCATTAGCTAGATAGATAGTTGTTCAATGAATGAGTTGGTGGTAGAAACAGGGATAGGATGTTGCAACTGAGTGGTCTGGAGACAAGAAAAAATAGACAACTGAATTTTTTGAGTCCAGGTAACTGGTAGAGGAATGATGATAATAACAAAAAATAGGATCTGGGGTTGTAGGGAAAGATGCTGGTATCTTTAAGAATAGGCTTTCTTAGAGGTGGACCTACTGTGAGCCAGGGGAATTGATGGATGGAGAAGTAGGCACCATTCCTGGGCAATTGCTGAGTCATTCTTTCCTATTATGGCTATTTCTTGAGCTCCTACTATATCCAGAAACTGCTGAGAGTCCTTGATACCCTAAAAGTCTCCTTTCTCTCTCATATATTATATCCTCTCCCTTTCTACTCTTGAGGCTTTCCCATTTTCCTTTTTTCCTATCTACTGCTTTTTCTCCTTATAACCTCCCTGTGAGCTGGAATGAAATTGTCCATCATCTTTGACTGTTTGTTTTCTTGCCCCCAACTGAATCGGTTATAACATCCTACCCCTGTTGTTTTTCCTACCACTTTATTCATTGAACAAATATTTATTGTCTACTTTGTGTCAGGAGTTGGGATACAGAAGTGAATAAAATAGAAAAACAAATCCTACCTTTGTCATGCTTTCTCATGCCTCCATCATCATCCTCATCATCATCATGATGCTTTTAGTTCCCATCCTTAGGGCTAGAAGCAGCACCTTCCTCCCTCCAATCTGTTGGTTGTTCAGTCTGACTGATAATGTGCAGCATTAAAAGATTTTGATCATTTAAAAGAGAAATGGAGAAAATATGGAGGAGATGAAACGAGGCAAGAGACAGAAGGAAGGGGAATGACGTTGGCATTTGCCCAGGGTTACTCTGGAGTCTCTTCCAGTTCCAACATTATACTTATTTTATTAAATCTTTTGTGTTTGCATGCAAAACTGGCTGACTGTGGTCTGGAAGGCTTTATATTTCATTGAATACCACTGGAAGTGTGGTATTGCCTCCCTTCAAAGGGAGGCAGATTGTCCTCTGTATGTCCCCATGGAGTTCTCTGCCACACAGAACGCAGCGAAGTTTTGCGTGCATTTCACTACACTAACTACTGTTCTTTTATCATCAAGACATCTTTTCCTTCCACAGCTACATGCGAACCTGGATGTAAGTTTGGTGAGTGCGTGGGACCAAACAAATGCAGATGCTTTCCAGGATACACCGGGAAAACCTGCAGTCAAGGTCAGTAAGGTAGCCCAGGGTCATAGTTCAAATTCAATCATTGCAGCAGGGCTGGCGACTCAATATGGTACGCAGGATTTCTTAGGGTTTTTTTAAAGTCAAATCTTCAAATGAAGGTGCTTTCAGGACAAGTTTTTCAATCTCTTCTCCTTGAAAAATGTAAAAAGTCTGATGTTTTTGTCAAGATGCCCAATAAAAGGCCTTTTTTCTTTTCTTTTCTTTTTTTATCTTTTTTAAATAAGCTAAAGGTCTTTTATATTTTTTACTTTTTTATTTCATCTCTTTCCGTAACACAGAAAAAAAGAGCCTTTTTAAAAAGTAAATAATTTTATTGCTTTTTAAACTACCTATGTATTATAAGTATATTTTTATTTTTAAAAATCCAGCAGTGCAAAAAAATATAAACTTAAAAGTGAGAGTGATCACCACTAGTTTTTACTATAAGCATAGTTAAGTTTGTCTTAGATCCTGGAAGTCTTTTTCTGTGATAGTATAAATGTAAGTTTTTCTCATAGGCATCTTTGCATGTCAGCACACACAGAACTACTTTACATTTTTTAAGGCTGTATCCTAGTCCCTAGTGTGAATACTTTTATCCTTTGTGCAAAAATGTGCTTTATTTAACCATTATCATTTATGTTGTCTCCAATTTTTTGCCATTACAAACAGTGCTAAATCTAACATTGTTCTCTGCATAGCCCTGCTTTCTTGAATGAATATTTTTGTAGGAAAAATATTTAAAAGTGGAATTGTTGGGTTGAACAACGTGCATATTTTTATTATACTTCATATACTTTTTTTTTTTTTTTGAGACAGAGTCTCGCTCTGTCACCCAGGGTAGAGTGCAGTGGCGTGATCATGGCTCACTGCAGCCTCAGCCACCTGGGCTCTAGCAATCCTCCCATCTCAGCCTTCTGAGTAGCAGGGACCACAGGCACACACCACCATGCCTGGCTACTTTTTACAGTTTTTGTATAGACGAGGTCCCACTACGTTGCCCAGGCTGGTCTTGAACTCCTGGGCTCAAGCCATCCTCCCGCCTTGCCCTCCCAAAGTGCTGGAATTAAAGGCTTAGCCACCACACCTGGCCTTGATATATCATAACAGATAATTTATAACTTTCATCCTAGATTGTTTGTCTGAAAACATTAAAGAGATGATAATATCTATAACAGTGGTTCTCAACCTGGGTAATTTTGTCTCCCAGGAAGCGTTGCCAGATAAAATACAGATACCAAGTTAGATTTAAATTTCAGATAAACAACAAATAATTTTATAGTATATGTTTGTTCAAAATAGTATATAGGGGATGTGAGGGTGATCTGGCTGTGACATCTGTCACCCCATTGCTCACCTGGGTTGATTTGGCTGATCTGGCTGGCTAGGCAGATGTCCCCTTCCTCCCTCACTGCTCCATGTGTGTCCCTCCTGAAGCTGCGCGCTCGTGTGGAGAGGACGACCATCCCCGATAGAGGAGGACTTACCTTCAGTCAAGGGTATATTAGCTGTGCTCCCCTGCTAGCACCTCCAAACAAGCTCTCAAAATAGTATATGAGAAGTGTGTATACTTTAAAAGTATTAGTCATTTATCTGACATTCAAATTTATCTGAGAATCCTTTACTGTTTTGTTTAGAGATGGGGGTCTCACTATGTTGCCTAGGCTGGAGTGCAGTGACTATACTGCATCCATGATCTCCTGGCCTCAAAGCAATCCTCTCGCCTCAGACTCCTGACTACAGGCACACACCACCACACCCAGCTGGAATCTTGTATTTTTATTTGCCAAATCTGGGAGCCTTATCCCGGGCAACATCTGGCAGTGTCTGAGGACATTTGGAGGGGGTGCTACTGGTGTCTAATGGGTAGAGATCAGGGATGCTGCAAAGCACCTTACACAATGCACAGGATAGCAGCACCCACAACAAAGAATGATCAGACCCAAATGTCAGTAGTGCCAAGGCTGAAAAACCCTGCTGTAAACGTGGTGAATAAAAGTGCCTCATTGGAGCAAGGGATATGGTCTTTGCTATAGATCAGCAGATTTCAACTTGGCTGATTTTGTCATCCACAGGATACTTGACAATGACTGGGGACAATTTTGGTTGTCATAACTGGATGTGGGAGGTACTCCCGGCATCTAGTGAATGGAGCCCAGGGATGCCGCTAAACATCCTGCAGTGCACAGGACAGTCCCCACAACAAATAATGATTTGTGTCAACGGAAGTTAAGAAACCCTGGCATGAAGAAATCTTCAATAATTCAGAAAGGGTCCCCAGTCCTATAAGGAAGTTGAACAAAGAGCAGTAAATCCAATTCAGCTGCCCTTGGAGAATGGAGTTTCAGAGAAGACTGGACACCCACTCCACTCTACCACTCCCAGCCCTTGCTGCCAAGCCCAGAGGTTAGCCCCATAAACTGAAATAGCCGCTCTTTGAGCTGCCAGCCCTACAGTCTCGGAGAGCAATCTGGCTCTCTGCGTCCTGCCACCAGCATAGAGGCCAGAGCCCTGGAGATGTTTCTTAGAATTGCATGCAATTGCTTGAGAGAGGTGCTTCAAGAATCGTGCATTCAGGGTGGGCACAGTGGCTCACACCTGTAATTCCGGCACTTAGGGAGGTCGAGGTGGGTGGATCACTTGAGGTCAAGAGTTTGAGACCAGCCTGGCCAACATGGCAAAACCCCATCTCTACTAAAAATACAAAAATTAGCCAGGCGTGGTGGCGAATGCCTGTAATCCTAGCTACTCGGGAGGCTGAGGCAGGAGAATCACATGAACCTGGGAGGTGGAGGTTGCAGTGAGCTGAGATCGCGCCACTGCACTGCAGCCTGGGCAACAGAGCGAGACTCCATCTCAGAAAAAAAAATCATGCTTTCATAAGTAATAATTCAGCTATACCCTTCACCAGAGGTTTTACAGCAGAAAACTTGGTTTTCCATATGTTTTGGATTCTGAACCAAGATACTGTCTCAAGAGATTTGGAATAGAGACAATATTTTCCACGCTAGTTTTAAAGTCTCAGCAAAATATTAACGTTGAGGGAGTGGTCCAGTTGGATCAAGTTTTGAGGCAGTCTGTTTTCTTCCCACAGCCTCCCTGCCCTGTGGCAGCCTGATCAAAGTCCACGTACATCCATTAATGGTGACAGGCCTCAGCCCTCAACTCATGTCTTTCCCAAAACACTCTTCCAAGAAATGAGTGAGTCACCTCAGAGTTAGGGCCAAGCTATGGGATATTCCTGGGTTTCCCGTTATGTCCAATCAGCATTTTTCAATTTCCCCATTTGAAGAGGTTAGGTTCTATGAGGGAGATGGTAGGGTAAAGGGGATAGGCAGTGGAGAAGAGGGTTTCAAATGTCCAGCTAGGGCACTGGAAAATCCCCATATAAGGATATTTTCAGAGATGAAAGCAGCTCCTTATTTTCAAGAATCTGTTACCATGCTGACCTTTTGCCTTCCATGGAATTTGTTTGTTTTTTTCCTCTCTGTATGTTCCCTGGTAGAGTTAAGATATGAAACCCTCACATGACCACATTTCCAAAGGCGACATCCTCTACAGATAATCCTTTTTAAAGTTCTATTTTCCTTCTGTGTCATTTTTTATTTTAATAAAAATGTTACTTATTCTTAAGTTGTTGTTGTTGTTGTTGTTGTTGTTGTTGTTTTAGAAAACAAAAAAGCACAGAGAAGAAAGTCACCCTCGATCTTACCACCTGAAGATAACCATTAGTCGCATTTAGAGCATACCCTCCTAGGCTTTTCTTTTCCTATGTATTTTTTAAACCAATTTTGGAATGATCTGTACACAGAGTTTTGTAACCTTCTTTTATCACGTAACATCCTGTGAACGTCATATGTATATATTTCATATATATATAATTCACATATATATAATTCATATATATATTTCATATATATAATTCACATATATAATTCATATATATTTCATATATATAATTCACATATATATAATTCATATATATATTTCATATATATAATTCACATATATATAATTCATATATATATATATATTTTTTTAAATCATCCAGCCCAAATGTCATCCTGTGAACATCTTTACTTAGGATTAAATATTGTCCTCCAACTTCACCACTAAGAGCTGTCTGACAGGGCTCCCTCTAGAGGAATGTGAGCCAAGGCAATTTGGCCAGTGCAGGGGCCAGCCAAAATAATAATCGACAGGAGGCTGTGCTGTCAGCTTATGTCAGCGGCTGCTTGGGATAGCATGAAAGGCAGAAATATATAAATTATCTATTTCTAAATTATTGTTCAAGTAGTATACACATAGAATTGTGCATATATAAAAAATGTATGGCTCGATGAATTTTTCTAAATGCCCATGTCACTAGTATCTAGATCAAAAGCCAGAAACTTGGCCCTTCAGAAGACTCCCTCACACACCTTCCAGTCACTTCCACTGCCAGTGAGAGAACCATATGTTGACCTCTTATATCACAGATTAGCTGTGCTTATTTTTTAACTGTATATAAATGGACTCATACAGTATATACACGTTTATATCCAGCTTCCACTCAATATCATGTTTGTGAGATTCATCCATTGTTGCCTATAGTTGTCGTTTGTTCAGTTTCATTGCTATATAGTATTCCATTGTGTGAATATACAAGTCATTTATCTATTCTTCTGTTGGGAGGTGTTTGGATTACTTCTAGTTTGGGGCTATCTAGTATCATGCTATTATGAGCATTTTAGTATGTAGGGGAAATCCCAGGACTGGAATTTCCAGGTCATGAGTATGTCTAAATATAGCTCTAGTAGATTCTGCCAAGCAGTTTTCCAAAGTGTTGTACCAATTTACATTCCTTCCAGTGGTGTATAATTATTCCATTTGCTACACATTGTCACCAATCCTTTAAAATGGAATTTGATGGTCAGAGAGAAGGTGGGTAAGTGGTGGTGTTCAGGGAAGCTAACCCAGTTGTCCTTTCCAAGACTGGGGTCTAATATTCCCCATCTGGAAGTTTCCTGATTCAGTTCACCTTTCCCTGTTTTCTAAATGTCCCTGCAGATGTGAATGAGTGTGGAATGAAACCCCGGCCATGCCAACACAGATGTGTGAATACACACGGAAGCTACAAGTGCTTTTGCCTCAGTGGCCACATGCTCATGCCAGATGCTACGTGTGTGAGTAAGTTTCAACAGCCAGGCTGATCTCAGTCAATGTTTAAGGCTTGGCTTTTGCCATTTGATGCTTGGGGAAAAGCTGACTTCAGTGATTTTTTAAAAAATCTCTAATATTGCCCCCAGCTAAAATGTTTTGTGGCACTTGTTTCTTTCTTTCTTTTCCTTCCTTTCTTTCCTTCTTTCTTTCTTCTTTTTTTTTTTTTTTTTTTTTTTTGAGACAGAGTCTCGCTCTGTCACCCAGGCTGGAGTGCAGTGGTGCAATCTGAGCTCACTGCAACTTCTGCCTCCTGAGTTCAAGCAATTCTCCTGCCTCAGCCTCCCGACTAGCTGGGACTATAGGCACATGCCACCACGCCTGGCTACTTTTTGTATTTTTAGTAGAGATGGGGTTTCTTCGTGTTGGTCAGGCTGGTCTCAAACTCTTGACCTCAGGTGATCCACCCACTTCGGCCTCTCAAAGTCCTGGGATTACAGGCGTGAGCCACCATGCCCAGCTTCCATAATTTTTTTAAAAAAGTAAGTGCTGATTGGGCACAGTGGCTCACACCTGTAATTCCAACACTTTGGGAGGCTGAGGCAGGTGGACTACCTGAGGTCAGGAGTTCAAGACCAGCCTGGCCAACATGACGAAACCCTGTCTCTACTAAAAAAAAAAAAAAAAAATACAAAAATTAGCTGGGCATGGTAGGGCACCTGTAATCTCAGAAAGAAAAAAAAAAGCGGTAAAATAATGTGAAATTCACATTATTTTAAATTTCAAGTGAACAATTCAGTGGCTTTTAGTACATTCACAGTGTTGTACAACCATCACCCCTATCGAGTTCCAGAAGATCTTCATCACTCCAAAAGGAAACCAGACCCAGTCACTCCTCACTCCCCCTCCTCCAGCCCCTGGCAACTACAAATCTGCCTTCCTTCTCTAGGGATTTGCCTATTCTGGATGCTTACTTTATAAATAAAAAGGCAAACTAGGAGAAAAATTAATTATATATCTATATCTGCATCTATATATATGCAGAGCCCTGTTGAGTTTCCTCATGAAAATAAGCACGTTGAACAAAATAAGCAGATTGTTTTAGGGAAGTGATACATTTAAATTCCTTCTCGGAACATCAATTCTTCCCACCAGCTAACTTTCTCACGCCCCTTGCCCCACTACCAAAGATTAGTGATACTTGTTGGAAATACATTCCGACTTACTCAATTCCTTGAAAGAAAAGCCCTTCTGTGATAAAGAAAAACCCATGTCCTGTGGGAGAGTGAGAGTCTATACCCATTCATTTATTGAGAGGGAAGGCTTTTCAGGTTTTATGTTCCAGTTGAAAGGGAAACCCACCCTCCCTGCCTGCCTTCCCTTCTCCCCTTTTCTCTCTCCATCTTTCTTTCCTCTGCCTTGCAGCCCCCAACAAACCCAGAGCCTGTGCCTTCAGCCAGCTTCCTGTGGTTGCGGAGTTGCACAGACTCCCCAGCCCATCCTGGGTTTTCCCGAGATTATAAAATCTTGCCTAGTGCACGGGCTCCTCCTTGGCAAAGTGTCCCAACACCACCAGTCACGTAGATCTTCTGCTAGCAAGCAAGCATTTGAAAATGGGCATTGGAAGGGCCTTTTTAAAAAATCCTTATTATTATAAATTAAACAGAAACTCACAGGAAACAAATGCATAGTTTAATGAATTCTTATAAGGCAAGCACCCTTGTAATCATCACCAAATAGAACTCTGCCAGAACCTCCTCCTCCCACCCCTCCCTAAAGGGAACCACTATCCAGGCTTTTATAGTAATCACTTAAAATTTCAAAAAAGATGTACGCTAATGGATGTTTCTGAAACATTCCATGAAAACCCAGTCAGTGCCAAAAAAGATATCTTTCCTCAAATGGAAAGATAGAATTAGGTTAATTTTGAAGATTAATTTTAAAAGAAGACAACTAAAGAGAAAAGATGAAAGAATAAAGGAGTAATATAATCATAGGTAGATGTTTGTTATAATACATTGGGTCTCTTTCTGTATATCTAGGGGTTACCTGTGCCTCCCTGTTTATAGCTCAAAGTGTCCAGATAGCCCTAGAACTCTCTCCTGGATGCTGATTGGATTCCACCAGGCCCCTTGGGTCTCTTTTGTCCAGCTGGGTGATTGGCACGTTCTGGAGGGGGATGGAGGGAGGGAGTACATTCACCATGCCCCTCTGTTATGGACATTGGGCTGAAACCATATGAGTTTCTTAGCCCCCCTGCATTTCTAATCCACACATACTGGACTGCTGCTATAAAAATGCATTTGTGTAAGATAAGTTATATTTAGCAACAAGTGACAAAAAAGCCAAGTAAATTGTCTCATTTACTTTAAAAGCTGAAGGCAAGCAGTTCCAGAGCAGCTCAAGAAGAAGTCCATCTCTGTCATCCTCAGAGTATTGATTTTACTCTCACACTTGTGGCCTCATAGTTACAATATGGCTGCCCTAGCTCCAGACATCACACACACATGGAAAATAGACAAAACTAAGTGGGTACGGGTGATGCCAATGAACCAATGCCTCTTTCATGCCTGTCTCTTTTTATCATGCAGTAATATCTTTTCCAGAAGCCCCACTCCCTCCAGTGGACTTATTTTTGTATCTCTTTGGCCACACTGCATCATATGGCCACTCCTTGCTGAAGGAAAGCTGGGAAAAGCCTCAGTGCTGGGAATGGCAAGAGAAGAGTCCAGAATGGCTTTCAGATAGCTGATCAGCTATATCTGCCACACGTTTTAGTTCAGTCACCTAAAATATCGAGTCTTGTGACTTAAGTGACTCTCACTGAGGCTAGATATGTATGGAGAGCTCTCCAGAGTAGATTCTTTTACCCTGATTACTCAGGTTGATAATCTCCATCAGCAGTTGCAATTCAACCTACTGAGGCCAGCCAGGTGACATAAAAGAGTGGCTAGAGCACACACAAGTGGAGAAAGTGATACAGTTTGAGGGGTGCATGCTCTGCCTAAAGACAGTCAAATTCAGTGAAGTGGCCAAGAAAGCAGACCATGAGTAGGATTCAGTCCCAGGGCCACCAAGATGCCACCCCTACTGATCCCTTTTGGCTCTCCATTTGGGACTCAGACAATGAAACTTGTCCTATAATGCCATGCAACGTGTTCCATTCAATGGCTCAGAATTTGGTGATAGTTTCTTAGTAAGCTCTTTTTATCATCTCAAGAGAGAAAGGCTAATCCTTGTCTACTTTTTCAGACTCTAGGACATGTGCCATGATAAACTGTCAGTACAGCTGTGAAGACACAGAAGAAGGGCCACAGTGCCTGTGTCCATCCTCAGGACTCCGCCTGGCCCCAAATGGAAGAGACTGTCTAGGTACAACAGCAGGAATCACCTCTACTCCTCCTTCTCCTCCCTTGACTCCCCTTTTACTGAATCTTTTTTCATTCATCACAATCAGCTTGTTGACTAGACATTGGAAACTTCTAAAAGTACAGATTTATATCAGTTTCTGAGATACTTTTAGCCACATATGCTCTAAACATACTTTGGGATGCTAAAAAACACATTTTTCTATTATTTTGTATTGCCTTAATGCCATAGTAGAAAAGGGATAATTTTAGTATATTTACTATGTACATTTTATTTAAATTACCATCCAATATAAACTCCACTACTTATATTTTGTCATTTAATGAGTAAGGTCCTAAGGACCATTGGGTTTTATTCTGGGTTCTAGCTAATATTTTCTGGAAAAACTATATTTACTTATTTTTTAGATATAACATTATTGAAAATAGTATACACCTTCTATATAATTTACATTAGCATGTAATAAATTTCATGTTGTCTTTAAAACTTGCTCCAAGTTATATGAACTAAGTATAATTAATTTAACTGGAGAAAATGAGCAGATTAAGTCCATAATATTAATTAAGGGAACATAAAAATTATTTGTTTATAACTTTGAATTTAGTCAAATTCATTGGCTTAGAACTTTCCTCTCTTGTTCTCCTTTGTCTTATTTTGTGTCTTAGTTTTGGGTTCCACAGAAGCTGACCCTGAGCAAGTAGTTGATTTGGGAGGTGATCCCAGCCTGAAATCCCAGCCTGAAATTCATTCACTAAGGAATAAAATATTTATTTCACATAGATTAGGGCAATAGCTGACTGGTACCAGAATCTTATGAGTAAGATTCTGGTTGAGGAGTAGGGAAGTAACCCAGGGAAAGGAAGGCACCAGTGTTGGGTAAATCTGATGAGCAGGTTAAATGAGCTGGGGGCACCTCTGGGAGGCAGAGAGAAGCTGCCCCTGAATTTTCCCTCTGGGGCAGGAGTGCTGGATATTCATCCACCAACTTCTGCCCTTCATTGATGGGAGGCTGCTCTGGGACATGACCCCCCAGCACTCCCAGCCTAGCCTGGGTCGGGAGCAAAGCACAATGTTGTAGGTGCAGCAAGCAGCCTTTGGCAGGTATGGAAACTTGAGTGCTGAGGAGCTATGGATGGAGCACCCACAGGGCACCCTCAGTGACTGAAGCAACACTTTTTTCACTTTGTGCTTTGGTTCCTTTGTGGATTTGAATTATGTTCAACCATCAAATTGCCATCAAATTGTATATACTCATAACACTTAATTACATTGCACCTAATATACATAATATTTAGAGTAAGTGAGCACTTAGCATTAATGAGGGATGTCAAACCAAATCAGAATGTTGAAAGAGTTCTTAATCTGTGATTTAAAGAAGCACATATCAGTATGATTTCATAATCTTCTTCACTACAATAGAAATATTTTTCAGTCAAGGTGCTAGATGTTTATTTATCCTAACTATACATAATGTAAAAAAAACTGCATTTAGAAAGCTCAGCCAAATGGATCCTAAATTAGCTAAACACTTTTTAAAAATATACATGTAAATTAAAATTTTGTCTCTACTCTGAGAATAATCAAAGGTTTAATTAGGTTCACAGGATTTACTACTTTTTAGTATAATAAGATTTATATGACAAGGCTAATTATTGACCAAACTGAATCCAAATTTCCACCCAACTCTTTGAGTTGTTGGGTGCCATTTTTATTGGAAGGGAAAGGTGATGTGCATGAAAATGATCACCAAAAATAATTTTGTTCAACCCAACACTTATTTATTATTTGGAAAATGCAAGAGGCCAGCCTGGGCAATATAGCAAGACTCCATCTCTATAAAAAACTTTTGTTAAAAATAGCCGGGCATGGTGATGTGCACCTGTAGTCCCAGCTATGCTAGAGGCTGAGGTGGGAGGATAGCTTGGACTCAGGAGTTTGAGACCAGCCTGAGCAACATAGGGAGACCCCATTTCTACAAAAAAAAAATAATAAAAAATAGCCAGGCATGGTGGCACATGCTTTGTAGTCCCAGCTACTCAGGAGGCTGAGGTGGGAGGATCACTTGAGCCTGGGGAATTTGTGGCTGTAGTGAGCCATGATTGTTCTGCTATGCTCCAGCATGGGTGACAGACCAGGCCTTGTCTCAAAAAAAAAAAAAAAAAAAAGATTGCAAGGGAAATAGTAAGACAACATCAACTTGCCGGTTTAAGCCAGGTTCAGAAGAACAAACTAACATCTATTTGATTTGACATCTGAAAGTTAAACCAAGCCTGAGTCTTAGTAGATTGGTCAGCATAGCTGTCAGCCCCTCTGTTACCTGACTTTCAATGGTAGAAAAGGAACAACACACCTATTGTTGGCTAAAATTACATCATTACATAATTACACCTGACCCACAATTTATGCATAAGTGCATGCCTTCACAACCACATTTCTGTGAGTCAATATTGCAGGGGCCTTGGACAGTCTTACTCAAGAAATAGTTATTTTGTAAAATGCAAATTGTAAAAGTCTGTGTGTTTGGTTTACTTAAAGTATAGCTATCTGACTCTAGTTTCAAAAATTGTATATGTTATACAATATACAATATTCACTCAGCTGGAGAAAATATTCACTCAGCACACACGTAATGTATAGGTACCAAGTGTCAGACACATGCTCCCTGCCTGAGAACAGCCAGGGCCTAACAGAAGATGTGAATGTAAGTAATGACATTATGGAAAGATAATGCATCTTAAAAAGGTATAAAATAATATAAATACATAAAGTGAAGAGCTGTGTGTGTGCCTGGGGGATCTAGAACACTTGCCAGAGGATATGATGTTGGCACCAGTATACTATTATCAGTTTCCCAGATAAAGAAAAGTAGCTGTGAGTGTGCGTGCGTGCATGTATGTGGCTACTTTTCTTGCTATCACTGACACCTTCTGGTTTTTACACCCTAGATATTGATGAATGTGCCTCTGGTAAAGTCATCTGTCCCTACAATCGAAGATGTGTGAACACATTTGGAAGCTACTACTGCAAATGTCACATTGGTTTCGAACTGCAATATATCAGTGGACGATATGACTGTATAGGTAAGATTCGATGGCACCTTTTCCTTTTTTTCCTGTCCCCACCAAACCTTTGAGCCTTCTCTGCAGATATTTTGATGTCAATTCAAGCTATTAGTTGAACAATCTACTGTGCTGACCAGCTTAACAATAAGGAAAGGTTATTTTTTTAGGTGTCTGGCATTTAGGGAATTCCAATGACATCAATTATAAAGCTAGGTCAATAAAGATTTAAAGTAAGGAATACAGCTCTCTTGTGGAAACGATTATCTCAAGATGATTCTGGTGGGACTCTCTTTAATTTGGCTTTTTGTTTTGTTTATATTTTTTGTTTTATCTCCAGTTACACATCTAAAAATCAGAACAATAAAGCAGTATTTATATTTGGTAAAAGGAAGAATAACAAGGTCTATCTAATCTTGATCTCAGTGATCTGTTTATAACAGTCTCCATCAGGGGTGGCTTTAGAGAAATGTATGAGAGACATGAAGGCCTATGCTCTTTACTTTCCCCTCTTTCAGCCCTTTCATAGTTCAAGCTCCAAATATAATGTTCCCTTTCCACAGTTACCAAAATTGCTCTCTGATAAGATTCTGGTATCAGTCAGCTATTGCCCTAATCTATGTGAAATAAATATTTTATTCCTTAGTGAATGAATTTCAGGCCTCCATGAACAAGTGAGGTGGGGTATTTGGGGAGACCTTGGATGCATTCCCATTGCCCTTTATATAATGTAGGATGGGGCCTGCCCTATAGTGAAGGGAAATTCGGGCTCTCTGTGGATTTCTCTGCCCGTAACACGTGTAACAAAGCTATATGCATGACATGGAAGGCTAATAGTTGAGAAAAAATAGGATTTCTTTCAACCCTATACTCAGGGCTTCCCAGGACACGTCTTGTGTAATCATGTTGGGACAACACACAATTGCTGGGTTTCGAACCATCTTGTGAAGCCTCTACAACTCTTCCCTCAAATTTCAAACACAAAGTCCATCCTAGAGAGGATCATAAAATCCATATTTCTCGTGGACTTGGACCCCATGCCCTCCTGCAGACCAAACCAGCCCAGTAATCCTATGATGCTGTGTTACAGAGTTTAATCCTGTTTCCTGATACCTAAGGGGAGGTTCCACAGAACAGGGTGGAATTCACATGGAAAGGTTCAAAAGGAAACAAATCTTTGAGACTTTAAAGGTGACTAAGATTAACATCTGAGCTCAGCTTTGTGGCTAAATTAAAACCAACAGACTATTTTGTACATACATGTCTACAAATGCATAGATAGAAAATGGGGTGGAGAATACGGCAAACAAACCTCTCGCTTGGGTGAAACTTGGCAAATTTTCCTCCTCTAAACCCAGCAGACAAGCTCAGGCCAGCCTGACCCTTTCTCCTGGCAGTCTTAGAACAAAATGCCTGTGCCTATAAGTTAGATGATGTCAACGGTTCCTAGTTGATCTTGCCTTTGTTTGTTAGGAGTTTCAAGACCTTCTGAATATAGAATTGATTTTCTGGTATTGTTATTTAGTTCTAAGTTAGAGGAGAAAGTTAAGAGAAAAACCTAAACATCTTACAGATTTCAATAGCATTGATAAGCAGGAGATTAAATTGCTGTGGGGGAGGGAAGCAGCAAACACTCCCTACATACCAGGCAGCAAACAAAGCCAGGGCTGCTGGCCAATGAGCCTGCAGTTCTGAACACCTCTCAGTTCTCAGGCAATGCTTGGTTTGTCAGGGGTGTTTAGTGCTTGGCCCTACAGTTGATCAAGTGTAAGGGTGAGTCTTTCAGCAAGCTCTGTACCACAGAGTCGTTCACTGGAATGTTCTTTTTTAGATATAAATGAATGTACTATGGATAGCCATACGTGCAGCCACCATGCCAATTGCTTCAATACCCAAGGGTCCTTCAAGTGTAAATGCAAGCAGGGATATAAAGGCAATGGACTTCGGTGTTCTGGTAAGTAGCATTTGGTCATGGTGTCTTAGCTATTCCCAATGAAGCATTCTCCCCATATCTCCTTCCTCCCTCTATTTCTCTCCTTTCTTTGTCTTCCTCGCCTTCTCCCTCTCCCTTACTCTCACTCTGTGTGTGTGTGCAGTGTTTAACTCTCTGCCTCAGCCTTCTCTTCTTTGCTAATTGGACCACATCTCCAATACTCACTGAAGTTGTAGGCACTAAACTTAAAGAACAGCAAGGGTACTTAATATCTTTCTGGCCATGACATACTTCAAATACTGAACATAACATTTAAGGACAAAAGACACTGAGCAAATTTATCTATCAGGATAGACTGAGTTATGATGCAGTAACAAGCAAACCTAAAATAACAGTGGCTTAAAACCACAAAGGTTTTTTAACCAAGTGAATCCGGACGTTTTCCAGAATGCACAACCAAAACAAAGTAAGGCAAAGCTGATCTTCATTAAAGTATGATTACTTTATCTGTCATCCTCAACGCTGGATCCACTTGTTTTAATGTATATAGCAGAGAGTTCCATTGTTCTTGCTGGTGAATTATTTAATACTTTTTGTTAAAACTTTAAATTTATAAACCAGACATCTAACAATAAAATGTCACTGCTATTAATAACTACAGCAACAATAAAGGTTTATTTCTCACTCATGTAATATGTCCAAAGAGAATTTTTCAGGGGTTTCTTCTCAATAAAATCACTTAAGGACACAGGCTGACAGAGGCCCCATCATTTTATGGTACCATGGTCTCAATTCAAGGCCTTAAGGTTTGTCACAGCAGAGAAAGAAGCATGAACAATCATGCACCAGCTGTTAGTTTATTCAGCTTGGAAGTATCTAACTTCAAGGGACAAAAATAATATTAAACTTGCTGTGTGTCCCAAAAGAGAAGAAAACTAGAAATCTTGGTGAATACCAGGAATGTCTTCCAAGGCAAGGCAGCTATGATTACAGCACAATCACTTCCCTAACAATATCTTACAATGTTTAAAGTCATCCAGGTTCGGCTGGGCGTGGCGGCTCACACCTGTAATCCTAGCACTTTGGGAGGCCCAGGTGGGCAGATCACCTAAGGTCAGGAGTTCAAGACCAGCCTGGCCAACATCGTGAAACCCTGTCCCTACTAAAAATACAAAAAAATTAGCCGGGCATGGTGGTGCACGTCTCTAATCCCAACTACTCAGGAGGCTGAGGCACAAGAATTGCTTGAACCTGGGAGGCAGAGGTTTCAGTGAGCCGAGATCGCACCACTGCACTCCAGCCTGGGCAACAGAGTAAGACTCCATCTCAAAAAATTAAAAAATAAATAAATAAATAAAGTCATCCAGGTTTATCCCTCTGGTCATGACCCTTTTAGCACTAGCTCATAGTGTGACTAGACTTGTTGACTGCCCTGATTCAACTCTCTTATATACCCCTTAGCAGAGTTCCCGCATGTTCAATAAATATGGCTGCAAGGTGTACCCTAACTTACGTCACATTCCATACACCCATCTGGCCAATGCTCCCAATGATGCAAATGACTGTAACAGTATCTACTCAGTCATACAAAAATAAACTATATGTACCATGCTAGACATTCAGCGCCACACCCATAAAAGGTTCACAGTACCCCAGTGGGCTATTGTTGAGCACCACTGGACAAGAGTATGTATAAAAGAATATAACCAAAGAAAATGAGTCTGGAAATCAAATTCTGTGAAGAACTGCCAAAAGAACAGGGCAGCATTTAGTCTGGGAAATATAGTATGGAAAAGCATAAATTGTGCCTGTAAATACTTTAAGAAATATGAAATAAAAGTGGCTTTCTCAAGCAAACTAAGTCCAGTGGGTGGAGGTTACATTCTCTCTTAAAAATGGCTGCTAGGTATTGAAGAGTGGAGCAGGGAGCCCCATGGAGTAGGGACATTCCACTGCCCCTGGCTTGCAGGCTGGGGGCTCTGAGACGGATTCCTGCATTGGGCTGGAGATGGTATTAAATGACCACTTAGTGTCCAGCAACTGGATGCCATGGTTTCTATCCCTCTAGATAGAAGTATCCAATGATGTCCTTCTGAAACTTGATTCAGAGAGAGAGATTGGCTGCCCAGGCAGGGCTGTGCATAGGTAGGTTGGGGGGAAGGACACCATAACCTTGGGAGTTCCCCAGAGAGGAGACTGAATAAATCAGCTTTCCATATCGGATGAGTGCCCAAGGGACCTGTGCTCAAAGCTCCTTTATGCCACCAAATTTGAACATGCACATTCCAGGTTGGGAAGGCCTGAGTTTAAATCTTAGCTCTGCCCTATGCTGGCTGTGACCTTTAGCAAATTTCTTAACCTCTCTAAGCTCAGTTTCCTCCTGTTCAAAATGGGGTTTATGGTAGTACTGTGGTGGGTTCTTGTAATGGGCCAGTCCACAGTCCCTTGGAGCTCCCTAATCCTATTGAGGTAGGGTAGACAGTTGCATGCGTATCTCTAGCAGTGCTCTCTCTGACAGGAGTCTCCAGCTTCCACTTCACGGGGTGGGACAGTTCTGAGGTGTGTTCTGCACTGGCTCCCAGATGTCCCCAGCAGGACTGAGCCCCACTTACCCACAGAGATTACCTGTCCATCTAAGCACCATCTTTTGGCTTTTCTCCCTTCCTGTCTCACTGTCTCCTCTCCCCAGTTTCTGCCTCCTGGAATCACCTTCCAAGTAAGTCATCTGCACCCAAATCCTTGTCTCAGGCTCTGCTTAGAGGAACCCACACTAAGACAAATATGTCTCACAGAGGTTCATTGTGAGGTTTAAATGAGGTAATATAGAGAGAGAGCTTAGTTTAGCGGGACCATATAGTAGATGCTCATTAAAGTTCGCTGTGATTGTTATTGTTATTAGTATCATTTCAATCAGCTGTTTGTTAAGGGCCACCCACTCTGAAATTTCACAAAGGTAAATATGAAAATGTTGTGCATACAAAAAAAGACACCTCAGGAAAGCATTTGTTTCAATAAGTGGGCAACTCACCCCCACATACTCACTCTCCTACCCCTAGAGGGGAATCGAAGGCCCAGAGTAAACCTGGAGCCATCTTTCTTCCTCGTCATTTGATCCCCTTAAACCGCAATGTATTATTAATGTTCAAATGAAGGCAACATCTTTAAGCATGCAATTAGATAGTTGTTTGCAGCCTGTGTTTTCTATATTGTAACTCAGTGCTTTGAAATTGTAAATCCTACATCAACACAAACATTTCTTGTGTCAAGAAAATGTCTGTTTTTCTTGGACCATCCAACTTTATTTTGGGATAAAAGAAATTTGTCTTTATTCTTTGAAACCTCAAATTCATCACACTGTTCTATTCAATATCTGAAAATTATGCATTTTGTTATCCATTCTGCAGCTAAATTATTTCTTTAGTCTTTCACTGGAATGTTTATTTAAAGGAGAAAACTATCTTTGGGTCATTTACTATATTACTTGTCCAACCCTTTTCATTTTGCTTTAATTCTCTAATTCTCCATAAAATAAACAGCCATGTTACTATTGAAAATTCATCTTAACAAGGTCTTAACATTCATTGCTTAAAGAAGGATGCCTCAAAATCCACTCTTTTTTTTTTTAAATTTTTTTAGTATTTATTGATCATTCTTGGGTGTTTCTCGGAGAGGGGGATTTGGCAGGGTCATAGGATAATAGTGGAGGGAAGGTCAGCAGATAAACATGTGAACAAAGGTCTCTGGTTTTCCTAGGCAGAGGACCCTGCGGCCTTCCGCAGTGTTTGTGTCCCTGGGTACTTGAGATTAGGGAGTGGTGATGACTCTTAACGAGCATGCTGCCTTCAAGCATCTGTTTAACAAAGCACATCTTGCACCGCCCTTAATCCATTTAACCCTTAGTGGACACAGCACATGTTTCAGAGAGCACGGGGTTGGGGGTAAGGTTATAGATTAACAGCATCCCAAGGCAGAAGAATTTTTCTTAGTACAGAACAAAATGGAGTCTCCTATGTCTACTTCTTTCTACACAGACACAGTAACAATCTGATCTCTCTTTCTTTTCCCCACATTTCCCCCTTTTCTATTCGACAAAACCGCCATCGTCATCATGGCCCGTTCTCAATGAGCTGTTGGGTACACCTCCCAGACGGGGTGGCGGCCGGGCAGAGGGGCTCCTCACTTCCCAGACGGGGCGGCTGGGCAGAGGCACCCCCCACCTCCCAGACGGGGCGGCTGGCCGGGAGGGGGCTGCCCCCCACCTCCCGGACGGGGTGGCTAGCCGGGCCAAAATCCACGCTTATGTACATACAAGAGTCATAAAAACAAAAATGAGAGAATTGCATCTAGTTAGCATTCAGCATTATAAAACATTATAAAATGTTATATTACAAATACATTTGTATGCACATAAATTGTTATTATATAATCTAGGGCATAGGCCGGGCGCAGTAGCTCATGCCTGTAATCCTAGCACTTTGGAAGGCCGAGGCGGGTGGATTGCCTGAGCTCAGGGGTGCAAGACCAGCCTGGGCAACACGGTAAAACCCCGCCTCTACTAAAATACAAAAAATTAGCCAGGCATGGTGGTGTGCGCCTGTAGTCCCAGCTACTCGGGAGGCTGAGGTAGGAGAATTGCTTGAAGCCAGGAGGCAGAGATTGCAGTGAGCTGAGATCGTACCACTACACTCCAGCCTGGGCGACCGAGCGAGACTTCATCTCCATAAATATATACATATATATATATATATATATATGTCATATATATGGCATTGATGTAGCAACTTTTATTAAGTTCATTGTTTTGAAAATTTCAGACTCTACATTGCAATATGGAAAAAGAGTTAGATTATCCTAACCCATTCTCTGTACCTAAAGGAAGAAGCACCCTAAATGTAGATGTGTATATGTTCCACTGTTCTAATATGAGTATTAATAGTATACTGCCAGATAATTTGGTCTTGATTTGACAGCAGCTACACCTCATTCTAAGAAAATCAAAACCCAGATAACACTCAATTTGGGGAGTAACAGTCAACTTAGGAAAGGAAACTGTCATTGGCTTACGAGGAGCACAGCTTCTGGAATCGTATTACCTTAGCTTGATTCCTGACTTGCTAGCCTACTACCTGTGGAGTGAGAACAAATTATTCAACCTTTCAGTGCCTCAGTTTCCACACCTGCAAAATAGGGATGATAGTATCTAGCCCTTAATATTGTTTTGATGATTAAATTTATTCACACAGAATAAGTGAGCGTCCATCTAAAGAGCTTAGCACCAGCCCAGAATATATGAAATGTTCAATAAGTATGTGCTAGGAGTAGGAGTAATAGTGACAAAGCCCTCCTTACCAAAATTCAACAATCATTTCTGTTGAAAAGCAGCTTCTTTAGTCACTAAAAATATGCTGATTGCTTAATTCAGTTTGTAGGGTGTGTATTCAAGAATATGGGTTTTGCTACAACCAGGCCATCCCCATTTTTTTTCTTCAATTATAAACATTAGAAACTTGGAGGTATGGCCTGGGAATTTTTCTAACTCTGGAAAAGATTTTAAACATTCTGGTCATGAATGCTAAAAATAATAGCACACATGCTGAGTGTGTGCCAAGCACTAATCTTAGTAATCGATGTGTGTTCACCCATTTAAGCCTCCCAAAAAAATCTGTTCTTATCCCAATTTTATAAATGGAGAGACTGAGGCAAAGAGAAGTTAATTATTCATTTGAGGACATATGGCTAGAAGATGTGGGAGCTAGGAGTCAAACTCAGGAAAATGGGCTTCAGGATTATGTGCTTAAACACAGGACAGGTGTGTTCATGACCAATTGGTTGATCCTCTGTGATGGAGAACTCACAGAGTTTGCCCTCCTCAGCAAACTCTCTTGGCTCATCTTTTGTTCTGTCCTAGCCCCTTCCTGTTTCCTGGGTCCCATGCTGGAACACATTCTTCATCTGTGATTAAGCTTCTTCTTCCAGGACTGTGTCCAAAGCTCAGATTAGTAGAACTTTTCTCCTCCCAGATGATAGATCATCTAATGCACTAAGCACAGTTGAATGAATGTCAAAGTCATATTCCTCCTGGGTAAGATATTCTCACCTAAGAGTGATCTTCTATAAAGTTTTATTCCAAAGATATGAAATTAAAATTAGGGTTTTCAGGTTGATAGAAGTGTTTGACAACATGGGTGTTTGGAGAAATCTCAAATACCTCCCGAGAGAAATTGTCAACTTTACAAAAAACTGGCCTGTGAACCTGAAGACCTAAGTTTTATATCTGAGTTCCCCAAATGTGCCAAAGACCCTCCTACTGCAACTCCCTCCATATTTTTTTTTTTTTTTTGACATGGAGTCTCACTCTGTTGCCTAGGCTGGAGAGTAGTGGCATGATCTCAGCTCACTGCAACCTCTGCTTCCTGGGTTCAAGCAATTCTCCTGCCTCAGCCTCCTGAGTAGCTGGGATTACAGGCACCTGCCACCACTCCCAGCTAATTTTTGTATTTTTAGTAGAGACGGTGTTTCACGATGTATGTTGGCCAGGCTGGTCTCAAACACCTGACCTCAAGTGATCCGCCTGCCTTGGCCTCCCAAAGTGCTGGGATTACAGGCGTGAGCCACCATGCCTGGCCCCTCCCACATTTTTATATTCTCAAAAAGATGATGCAATAATCAATAAATCTTTAAGAGAAAACCGTCATAATGTCAAATTTGAAACAGCAATACCTAGATAAATCCAAATCTACTTATGCATATGCATATCATTAAAGTGCATTTTTATCCTTGCCCAGCTTTCTGTTTACATACTAAGAGAATGAAATTGTCAACACTATCAAGATTATGATGTTTTAGTTTTTGTTTCTTTTCAATAGGAACATTTGAAACTTCAAAGCAGAAACTGAAAGCAGATGTTTAGGTTTGCCTGGTGTGAGCTGAAACCCTTTCCTCATTATTTATTAAAGGTCTTTAGTTTTATGTTACTGATTGCAAAAAGGAAATTTGCAGGGAATAGGGGTTTCCTGTTAATTTTTCTTGCCAGGTGCTGGAGAAAGATGCAGTCGACCATGGATGGAATTACAGTGGGGCCTCCAGAGGAAGGTCTATATATGATCACACATTACGGTCATAACTTAACATGCAATCTCTGGCAAAGTAGCTGAAACAGGCTATCTGAAGGTCAGGAAAATGAGTAATGATGCATTACTTGTATTAGTGCTTGTTGGTTTTCTACCTATAGTCAGGCTGTCACAATGATAAATAACTAGAATATTTCATTGAAAAGAAAAATGTTGCTCTTTTGATTCCAAAGTAAAAGCAATTATTAATTAAGAGCATACATATTTTCAAAGCATTTTTCCCCCGTTTGGTTACCCCAAATATTGTGGACTTCTGCTTGTTTATTTTTCTACTACTTTGATATAGATTGAATCAGCCAAATGATGGAGAAGGAACAAAGCAGGAGAAGAGGTTAAAACATTGTTAAGAAAAATATTCTAATAAAATCCCACTCCAATTTTTTATAGTACTCTTTTTAGGCATCAAAATTAATGTCTACTCCATTGTTTCACTTCTCTCTAAACTATGTCCAAATAATAGAATTAAGTGAATTGATTGAGGTGTTATTAGACCCTTTCTTGCTTAGTCTTAGATTAGTACATGCCTAGATATTTTATAGTGAGACAATATATTTGATTTCAAATATCAGTGTATTTAATTTTTTAAAAATTAATTACTTCTTTACATCAGTTGGATATTCTGAATTATCATGAGTATATCCCTGAAAAGGAGACATATATCTTTGAATTATAGATCTCAAGGAATTTGAAACAGTCTAGAGAAAAGTAACCTTAATCTTAAAGCAGAAATAAATCTATCATAGAAATAGGACTGGAAAAAAGAGACATTCATGGCCAGGCATGGTGGCTCACACCTGTAATCCCAACACTTTGGGAGGCCGAGGTGGGTGGATCACCCGAGGTCAGGGGTTCGAGACTAGCCTGGCCAACATGGCGAAACCCCGTCTCTACTAAAAATACAAAAATTAGCCAGGTGTGGTGGCACGCACCTGTGATCCCAGATACTGGGGAGGCTGACGCAGGAGAATCACTGCAACCCAGGAGGGGGAGGTTGCAGTGAGCCGAGATCATGCCACTGCACTCCAGCCTGGGTGACAAGAGTGAAACTCTGTCTCAAAAAAAAAAAAAGAAAGAAAAGAAAAGAAAAATAGTCATTCATATGCTCTACTGCCAAATCTTAGCTCCGTCCCTAACATGATGAGTGCCTTTGGGCAAGTCACTTAACACCCAGTTGCCTCATCGACAAGACAAGAGTCCTGGACTAAATGAACTTTTTTGTACCTCTTGCGTTCTTCGACACCAACATTTTTCCTCCAAGGGTCATTAGTCCACTGAGGGATAAGAAGAATTGATCTAGAGGTACATTTTTTTTTTTTTTTTTTTTTGAGACGGAGTCTCGCTCTGTCGCCCAGGCCGGACTGCGGACTGCAGTGGCGCAATCTCGGCTCACTGCAAGCTCCGCTTCCCGGGTTCACGCCATTCTCCTGCCTCAGCCTCCCGAGTAGCTGGGACTACAGGCGCCCGCCACCGCGCCCGGCTAATTTTTTGTATTTTTAGTAGAGAGACTAGAGGTACATTTTTAAAGTAATTTACTTTTGTGGTGGGAAATAGAAAACGAATGAAAAATAGTAAGTATAGAAGCCTCTCTGAAATATTTAATAAATAAACTCATTTAGCTTTAGATAATGGTTGACTGAGGTGAAAAAATTCAAAGGGGAGAGAGAAGAGAGAAAGAAAATTGGGTATGTGTATATTGCACCATAAGTCACCATTTTTGTAGGTCACAAATGGTCCATTATTAGCAATTTATATGGTTCAACCTAATGCTGTAGCTGTAATTTTTGAATATCAAATTTGGACAAATCTATAGGGCTATCAGGACAATACCAGTTTTTGAAGAATACCACAATGAAAGCAGAAATATTAGACGAACATGGCAAATCCATGTCTTTGGGATCTGTAGCCCAACTGGGTAGTAATAAGTGTTTCACTAAAGTGGTCTCCGAAGCAAAACAAAAGCAACAAAAGGTAATTAAGATAACTACCATAACAGTGGAACTGCTTAAAACAATACAAATATAGTTCTTCCTAATTTATCATCAAATAGTAGAGCCTCATGTGGGTTCATTCTGGAAGCATTCACTTACTACACTTTAACACTTTTTAAATGCTCCATTTTGTGAGTAATTTAATTATCTTCCAATTTGGAACATATTGCCTCTTATTTGTTTTAGCTATCCCTGAAAATTCTGTGAAGGAAGTCCTCAGAGCACCTGGTACCATCAAAGACAGAATCAAGAAGTTGCTTGCTCACAAAAACAGCATGAAAAAGAAGGCAAAAATTAAAAATGTTACCCCAGAACCCACCAGGACTCCTACCCCTAAGGTGAACTTGCAGCCCTTCAACTATGAAGAGATAGTTTCCAGAGGCGGGAACTCTCATGGAGGTAAAAAAGGGAATGAAGAGAAAATGAAAGAGGGGCTTGAGGATGAGAAAAGAGAAGAGAAAGCCCTGAAGAATGACATAGAGGAGCGAAGCCTGCGAGGAGATGTGTTTTGTGAGTGTTATTTTTATTTTATATGTTTTATGAAAAATGAATTGCAATTTCTCCTGGCAAATGAAAGAAGACAAAAAGCCGGTTTCACAGCTTAAGTAAAATGGGTTGGGTCTTAAGTCCTGAGAAGCAACATTCTCTGTAATGTCTAGAAACGAATACCTTCTGCAAATACCCAATCAAACCTGCTGCTCTAGGAACCAAGGAGGGGAAGTCCTGTTCCCCTACTTGGGGGGTTTCCTATTTGACACAGACCTTCTCTTCTAGCTTCCAGCCAAGGAAGCCTGCTAGTCCTGCAAGGGCAGTGGTTTGGCTGCCCAGCTCTCCATGAGGCATGCCCCCAAATCAAAGAGAGGCTCACCACATGGATCTGCTAAGCTCTACCTTTTTATTTCTTGAAGGCACTTTTACAGGCCTAGTCTATGAAAATGGAACCTCACAGTTGTATGGTTGTGATTTTAAAAGCCAAAATCGACAAATGTAGGAGGACAAATTTTATAGTGGAGCTTAAGTTTTCTATGTGAACTAGAGAACTGCCGTAACTCCCTTTTCACTAGTTGCTGTGCAGAACCCACCATAAGGCTCAGTCCCCCCAGGAGGGTTTCCATATTAACCCACCCTGCATCTCTACACTGAGACTTTCCCATTCATTCTGGCTGGGCATTTGTTGCTCCCTCTATATTTTGCCTTATCTAGTCTCGGCTCTGTGACTGGTGGTCATATATACAAATGCCAGATGGATTTAACCAAAGGAAAAGTAGACACAGGCCCACCCGTCCAAGAACTAGCATCCGGTGACATTCTCTGCCTTAATAGAGAGTGAAAAATCTCAAAAAAAGAAAAAAAAAAACATATTTCCAAAACCTAGTATGAAGGGATGTATCAAGAGTGTAGATGCTTAGTTTACCCAAGGAAATGTCTGGAAAAGATGTTTTAGATGAGGAAACTGGATCCAATGTGAATTATTTGGAAATGTTAGGGAAACACTGCTCTAATATATTCTGTAATTAGAATACATGATCTAACCTTCTTTGTTTGGTCATTTGATTGATACCTTCTGAGCATGTGGGCTTTAAGGTTTTTTTCTTAACTGACCAAGTGTTCTTTATTAGTCCCTAAGGTGAATGAAGCAGGTGAATTCGGCCTGATTCTGGTCCAAAGGAAAGCGCTAACTTCCAAACTGGAACATAAAGGTAAATAATTCTTTCTCCCAAGTGTATGCTCTTTCATGTTGTCCTGGTCGTTTTCATTTCTTCATACAGTGAAATGATTGTTTATGAATCCCTGCTTCATTCGTAAACCCCCAAGGGAAAAATCATTACATCACACACACAGTGCCAGTATTAAAATAGTAGGTCCTTGTGTGACTGGTACTAATGATTGAAATATAGTAAGGCTATTCTCTTCTCCCCGCCACTCCCACCTGATGCTGAGAGTGAATGGTTGAAGCAGACTGTATATATGGAGATGGGAGAAACTTACATATTTTCTTCAACTCTACTGCCTGAGGACCCACAACCTGAAAGTCCTCATGTACTAAATTTGGCCCAAAGTGCCTGTATCAGTTACCTATTGCCATAATAATGCTGTGTAACAAACAACCACAAGCCCTCAGTGGCCTACAGCAATAAATATTTATTTTTGCTTATGAGTCTATGGGTTGGCTGGACGGTTCTGCTGCCCTGAGCTAGGCTGGGTGGGCTCACTCATGTGTCCACATACAGTCAGTTGTGGGCCTGCTTCGTGATGTTGCTGATCTTGGCTGTGCTTTCTTACATGCCTGAGGCCTCAGTTGGGAGGATTGGACTCACTCAGCTCTGCTCCATGTGGTCTCTCATCCTCCAGCAGGCTAGTCCAAGCTGTTTCTCATGAGGCAACAGCAGGGTTTCAGGAAAGAGAGCAGCAGCACACAAGATATTTTGAGGTCTAGGCCCAGAAATGGCACAACATCACTTCTGCCATATTCCATTGGCCAAGCCAAGTCACAAGGCCAGCGTAGACTTCAAGGTTGTGGAAGGAGCTGTGAAGTCATACAAAGAGTGTGGATACAGAGAGGGATAAAAATCAGGACCATTTTTGCGATCATTCCACCAAAGCCTCATAATCTGGAGTTTCTTAGGCATGATCCCTAATTCCTCTTGGTTTATTTAGAACGTTCACCACTCATGACAAATTACACAGACCTCAGGGAAAAGCCCATTTATATATTTATCCCTTTCACTTGGTATAAGTATGAATGCCTTGATCATCTCTTTCCTTTTCAAAGTTTCTTTCACTTACCACTATACATGTGGTAAGTAAAAGATTAGCATAACCTTTTCCTTTTCAAACTTCCTTTTACTTACCACTATACATGTGGTAAGTAAAAGATTAGCATAACCTTGTGCTAATTGATTCCCTTTTGTGTTTACCCTGTGAGTGCATTGCCCAGTTCTATCACTTTGGTTTACAGGACCATCTCTACCGCAAAAAAAAATGTACCTCTCTAATTCAGTCCTCCAAATTGTATCTGAGAAGCTTCTACTAAAACTCTTCAAAGCCTAGTAACCTATGACCCAACTCCTACAGGCATTTTGTTTTCTTCCATATTTCTCCTAAGTATTCTATGTTTTTGTTTCTCTGCATTAGACAACTTATTGCCCATTTTCCTGGTTAGAAAGAAAATGTTTCATTGTACAGGGGGTAAGCTACGTTCTCCAGGTGCTCACAAGTTCTGCCCAAGCTCTGTCTACCCTTGATAAGTGACATGAAGGAATCCGTTGACTCCTCTTTCGATCCCCAAACCACCAGATTTCTTAGTTTACTTTCTATTCCATGATTCCTAATGAAACACAGAAAGGTTAAAATTTTGCACATGACCATATGACCCTGTAATTTCAACAGTCCTTGAGTAAGTTGTCTTGGAAAGCTCAGTCCCAATCAGAAGATTCAGATGCATACTGCAACTCTTCCACTGGTTGTTTGCCTTGGACAAGTCACTTGGATTTGCAGTGCCTCCTTGCTTTCATACATAAAATTGGAATAAGAGCAATATTCATCTCTTAGGTGCTGTCTTAGGCTGGGTTCCCCAGAAATAGACCCCAAGATAAGAATTTGTGTGCAAGTGGTTTATGTGGAAGATGATCCCAGGAAATGGTGGTTGGGGGTGTGCATAAGTGAGATGGGGAGACAAGGAGGCAATAATGGGTATGTTATCAGGCAAGTTTCCACTGTGGGCAACTGGAGCTCAATCCCATTGGGGAACTCCAGAAGCCAGTGTAGAACACATGGCTCATAATTATCCTACTGAAGGAGTAAGGAGGCTGGGGCATATATATACCAACTCCCATCTGGCATTGATTGAAGGCTGCTCCCAGGAGGGTGCTGATTCCTTGGTGCTCCTGGCCTGGCATGAAAGCAAGGAAGGGCACCACTGGGGCAACTTGATCTCAATCCCACTTGGACCCTCGACAAGACAGGGGAAGCCTGAATTCCAAACTGACTTTAGTCCACATTCAATTCCAGCACTTAGTGGTCCTTTCCAAAGGCAAGGAAATGGAGGTATCTATCCAACAACTCCTGTCCATCACTGGTTGAGGGCTGTCCCTGGGAAAATAACTTCCCAGCATTCTAGCTCACCTGGTTGGGCCAAGAATGCTCCAGCCAGAGAACACCCTCACACAGAGAGCTGTGAGTGTTTCCAGTAGAAAGCCAAATGCCTGCAAGAGAATATAAGTACTGACAGATATTTGTGTGGCACCAAGAGCATCTGCTTCAAGGCAGGTGTGGATTAAACCAGAGAATATATGTGAAAGCACTTTCCAAACCATGAAGTGCTATACAAATGAAAGAATGTGCCTGTGAGACCAAAGCCTTGAGTTTTATCTCTGTATGGAATAGTTTGCTATATACTATTCCATCATCCCAATTTACACACTCGCTTTCCCCATGTGGAGGAAGGGGAAGAGTTTGGGAGAAACATTCCACCACAATTGTAAACCAACTGAAAAGCTGATATTCCACTATTTGTGGGATAATAACATCAACTATCTAACTAGTATTAGCACTCATTGAAGAATACTGAAGACTGGAAGCCAGTATTACCTGGCATCTTTTACTTTTAAAACTGGGACTAGAAAGAAAATATATTTGCTGCACAGAGAAAAAATAGGGAGTTAAGAAGAAAGGAAAGTGAGGAAAGGGACCGTATGTGCTCACTTAGGATATGTGCAAGATGGAAGGTCCTGGATTGCAGTCTGATTTGGGATTCAGGTCCAACTCCAGCATTCAGTGTCAGCAGAACTTGAGCCTTAGTTTTAGTTTCCTGAAAATGAGTCTGATGCTAGACGTTTTTTTAAACAACCTAATCAAATGATATAAAATATTTGGCAAATCAAAATGAGTCAAGAATCAGCTGCTGCTGTGTTTCTTTTTACCCTATTCCCTTTCCTTACCATTCCTTTCTTCCCCAGCATTAAAACATATAAAGCCCCAAAATCAGAGCCAGAGGCTAGCCTTAGTTATAAATAAAAAATATCTCATTCTTCACCCCCGCCCTTTCCCAGTGGTATTTATCTACATCAGAGGTCAGCCAACTTTTTTCTATAAAGGGCTAGATAGTACATATTTTAAGCTTTGTAGGCCATAAACTACTTTCACAACTATTCAACTCCGTCATTGTAGCTCAGATGCAGTCATTGATGTTATGTGAATGAATGGGCATAGTGTGTTTCAATAAAACTTTATAAAACAGACAGTGGGCCAGGATCTACATAAAAGTAACCACAGGCACTGGTTCAAAACTTAAAACTAGCTGAATGAACTCTTATATTTCTCTGACACATCTAAACAAGGCAGTCATTAACAGTTTAGAGGCCAGGCACGGTGGCTCACACCTGGAATACCAGCATTTTGGGAGGCCAAGGCAGGTGGATCGTTTGAGCCCAGGAGTTCAAGACCAGCCTGGGCAACACAATGAGACCCCCATCTGTACAAAAAAAAAATTTAAAAATTAGCTGGCATGGTAGCATGTGTCCATAGTCCCAGCTACTCGGGAAGCTGAAGTGGGAGGATCACTTGAGCCTAGGAGGTAGAGGCTGTAGTGAGCTGTGTTTGTGCCACTACACTCCAGCCTGAGTGACAGAGCAAGAACCTGTCTCAAAAAAAAAGAAAAAGAAAGTAGAAAGTTCCGGCAAGGTCTTCACTGGTTTATTTGGGTAGGAGATATTTTATTTTCTGGCCTGAATTCGATAAACAATTGCTTATATTCTGTTTCTCTTTGTGCATGGGGTTCTCGCCCATTACTAATTTTTTTTTTTTTTAAAAAAGGGTTTTTGTTTTATTTTGGGTTTTTTTTTTTTTTTTTTTTGAGACAGAGTCTCACCCTGTCACCCAGGCTGGAGTGCAATGATGTGATCTTGGCTCACTGCAACCTCCACCTCCTGGGTGATTCTCCTGCCTCAGCCTCCCGAGTAGCTGGGATTACAGGTGTCTGCCACCATGCCCAGCTAATTTTTGTATTTTTAGTAGAGACGGAGTTTCACCATGTTGGCCAGGCTGGTCTTGAACTCCTGACCTCGTGATCTGCCTACCTCAGCCTCCCAAAGCTTTTTGTTTTTTTAAGATCACAACTGAATTTGTTCAGAATGGCTTCACAGACATAACTCAAAACAGGGTATGTCATGATCTGTACTCTGTGCGACTGAAAACAAGGTATTGCCTTCCAAAGCCCCAAATGTTAGACACCTTCCTAATGCTTTTAGGGGTTATGAAATATGTTCTTTCTTTTTAGCAGATTTAAATATCTCGGTTGACTGCAGCTTCAATCATGGGATCTGTGACTGGAAACAGGATAGAGAAGATGATTTTGACTGGAATCCTGCTGATCGAGATAATGGTATTTATATTTGACAGTTTCATGTTCTGCAATATGGTGAAGGGATAGAAAGCCCTCCATGAGTGATGGGTTGTTATTCCCATTACTCATCAGAGCAGGGTTGTTTGTCATTTTTGGAAACTTTTAGACCTTCTGAGCTCTCCCTTGATAGATGACTAACTTGGTCCAGCATATATTCTCCTACTTAATCCCTCTCCCACACACCTGCCACCACAAAGGATATGGGAGAAAACCTCTTCCATATTCACTCTCCTGCTGCTGAGGGAGAGATGTTGAGATTTGTATAAAGTTTGGGAGAGTTAGGGAAAAGGTAGAAAGAAATGGTTTCTTCTTCCCAGTTTACCAGCCATGGCATCTTGTAGTTTTTGTTTTTTGTTTTGTTTTCATGGGGGAAATAAATCTTGAAAGGAAATATAACCTCCACCTAAACCTGGTGTTTTAGTAGAGTGGCCCCTCAAAGCATGAAAACCATAATGAACATCAAGTCAATGACCTGAACTCCTGAACTGAGCTTTCCCTTCTGTTTGTTGCTTGAGGATTTCTTTCGAGCCACCTGTCCTTGAATTTTTCTCAATCTTATCTGTGAGCTGCGGATTTCCCACCCTTCCCATTGCCTACTTAAACACTATTGACGGACCCTAACTATCCCCTTAGTGTTTGTCTTGCAGATCCCATTTAGAGCACAAATTGAATCTCTGTCTCCTGAAGACTGACTATATAATTAAAGTCAACTGTTACACCTTCAGGGACTCCAGTTACTTATCAATCAAATTATTTCTTTGGGGATGTATAGGCTCAGCCCTCAGTTAAAAGATCTTTCTTTTAGATCCTTCCTCTAGACCAATTCCTCTCCAACATCTTTCCTTTCATGCCCTCACATGCAATCAGAAAACCTAGATATCCCCTAACAAGAATTCCTTTTTGAACTTGGGGTTAGGGGAGAGGGGTTACATCTCACACAGCAGTTGTGTGAATGGGACTTTTACTAAAGATTCAGTGTAAGCAAAGGGCAAATTTAACCAGGCTGAAAACATCATATCATTGGAAAAGCTATCTTGTTGATAACTAACCTGAGTTTCTCTTTTCTTCCATAATGGCATCTCTAAATTTATGTCTACCAGAGCTATATCATATTGGGAGCCCATAGGTTATTCCAGGACCTCCACAGCTGATATAAGGTTATGTTAAGTCTTAAGTTGAGTCTTCTGTCCAAGGGAAGTTCCCTATTTACAAACACTCAATTCACAAATAACCCCAGGGTTCTCAGCTTCTGCATCATTCAAATCATACCCCTGCTCCTCCTGCACCTCCATTGGATTTCTAGGTGAGCTTTTCATTCCCTCTGTACAGCTAAATATGAAAAATAAACATGGCCAAGGCGGGAGGATTACTTGAGCCCAGGAGTTTGAGACCAGCCTGGGCAACACTGGGGGATCCCATCGCTACAAAAAATTGAAAAAAAATAGGCTGGGTGCGGTGGCTCATGTATGTAATCCCAGCACTTTGGGAGCACTTTGGGAAGCCGAGGCAGGTGGATTACCTGAGGTCAGGAGTTCAAGACCAGCCTGGCTAACATGGTGAAACCCTGTCTCTACTAAATATACAAAAATTAGCCGGGCGTGGTGGTGTGTGCCTGTAATCCCAGCTACTTGGGAGGCTGAGGCAGGAGAATCGCTTGAACCCGGGAGGCGGAGGTTGCAGTGAGCTGAGATCGCACTATTGCACTCCAGCCTGGGCGACAGAACAAGACTCCATCTCCAAGAAAATAAATAAATAAAAAATAAAACACAAAAAAATGAAAAAGAAAAAAATTAGCCAGGTGTGGCGGCATACACCTGTGATCCCAGCTATTCAGGAGGCTGAAGTGGAAGGATCACTTGGGCCCAGGCATTTGAGGCTATAATGAGCTATGATGGCACCCCTGCACTCCAGCCTGGGTGACAGAGTGAGACCCTGCCTCAAAAAAAAAAAAAAAAAAGAAAAAGAAAAAAAGAAAAGAGACATGAATGAGTTAGCATTATTAAAGGGATAAAACCACAAAGACAGCTCAAAGCGGACTTTATCTGGGAGAGAAAGGGAAACCTTCCACAGTAGGTGACAGAAAGCGTAGCTGAAAGAGATGCCAGATGAAATATAGGATGGCTATATTTCAGACAGGCAATTAATACTTTTTAGTATGTCTTGGACATGTACTTTATCTGAAATTCAAACTCCACTGGGCATCCTATATTTTTATTTGCTAAATCTGGATACCCTACTAGCTGGGGAAGAAGACCAGATTCTGGATGCATTGAAAACTAAGGCAATGTCAGCCTGGGTCCTGCAAGTATCTCCGACTTGCAGTAGCAGAAGACGACCCATTCCCCAATGTCTTCTTCCTGGCTTCTATAGAAATTTTTCCTTCTTATCAACTTCTTCAGACCCTACTCTTTGAGAGTTTTTGCCCAAGTTCATCAAAGCCACAACCCGAAGATTGGATATGAGCAAAAGTCCACTACACCACAGGTTAAAAGATACTTAGAAGATTTGCAGGATTTGAAGGAGAGTGTTCCTGTCATCCTAAATCAGAAATTGGAGTGATATGTTACACATGGTAGTTGAGCTCCATGAAACCACTAGTACAGGTGCAGGTGTGTTTTGGATTAAACACCACACTCTGGACCCATTTAAGGAGCTGATCATCTTACATGTCATTGACTCAGTGGGGAAGTGCATTCTAAGTTTCAAGTCACCAAAATGGAAATGAAATTATGGAACACAAGTTCTCCATCAACTGCAGATTACCTGCAGTGCTAAAGGATCATTTAATTAGATTCTTACCCCATATCTTTGTGTATGCTTTGTGTATGCAAAAAATTCCTCGGTTTCTCTGACCATCAATTTGTCTATATAACAAAAGATTTCAATTGTGTGATCCCTAAAATCCATTTTAGCATGAAACTTTTATTCCTATGTTCAAAATGAAAAGGACTTCAGCTTTCCCTATAGGAGACTATTGTTTACTTTTTATAGCTTTTTTTATACATTAAAGCCAAACTCCTTACAATTGCCTCATTAATTGTGCATTTTTTCCCTTCTCTTAAAGCTATTGGCTTCTATATGGCAGTTCCGGCCTTGGCAGGTCACAAGAAAGACATTGGCCGATTGAAACTTCTCCTACCTGACCTGCAACCCCAAAGCAACTTCTGTTTGCTCTTTGATTACCGGCTGGCCGGAGACAAAGTCGGGAAACTTCGAGTGTTTGTGAAAAACAGTAACAATGCCCTGGCATGGGAGAAGACCACGAGTGAGGATGAAAAGTGGAAGACAGGGAAAATTCAGTTGTATCAAGGAACTGATGCTACCAAAAGCGTAAGTGGGAAAAAAATGATTAAACTCAATATTTGCATTCTTTTGCAATGATTTAACAAATGAAACAAAACATTTACTGAAGTATGTAGGCATTAAGGATACAACGATAAGACTTTTTCCCTACACTTAAAGAATACGTTCTGGAGCTGAATAGGCAAGGTGATTAATCGGCACAACTCATGGATACTTATCTGGCGTATGCATATCACGTTCTATGGAAATAACCTGTTTGTCAGGCTCCTCTCACCAGCGTCCTTCCAAATCAGGCTATACATGCTATACATTCCGTAGTATGTAAAAGAATGTCATGCTCATTCATTCTATGCCCAGAACTTACTACAATTAATGGCAGCTAGAAGGTGATTTCTTTTAAATATTTTTTTAAACGGAACTGAGAGAGTGGCTATTGTCAGTGTCCCCAGGACCACCCTTAGGTTCAGTGATTCCGTAAAAGGACTCACACAGAAGTCAGAAAAGCTGTTATATTCACAAGTACAGTTTGTATAGATTAAAATCAGTAGAGGGAAAAGACACGTAGGGCAGAATCCAGGAGAGACCAGGCAGAGGCTTGCAGTTTTTGTCTCCCAGTAGAGTCATATGGGCAGCTATTAATTCTCCCAGCAACCAAGCATGATGACACTTACAAAGTATTGCCCACCAGGGAAGCTCACCCAAACTTTCATGTCCAAGGTTTTTGTTGGGGGTCAGTCTGCCCATGTGATCACCTGCATAGCTGACTTTAGTTATCTAGTCTCCAGCCTCTCTAGTGGTCAAGTTGATACCATGTGACTCAAGGCCCCCACCATAAGTCACATTGTTACCATAAACTATCTGGCATGGCCCAAGGCCTCAGGTAAACAAAGGCACTCTTAATCAAAGAGGGTATTACAAGGGCTTAGAGGTTATCTCCTAAGAACCAGTCAAGGGCCAAACCTTTCTTTGGAATGTGTATGGTTTGGACAACCCAGACCTACTGAGTTAATCTTTTATTGCACAGTGGGTTTAATAAAGGAAAAGGAAACAGAGTTTTAAGAGGAAGTTGGTCAAGTGGATGAAACCCTGAGAAAGAACAAGCAGAATAAAAATGGCAAAGAGTCTATTCAGTTTGACCCATCAGAAGGTGGCTAGTGACCTTTGCAAGAGTTCTTTCTTTGGAGGGGAAGGGTCGAAGGTCACACTTCAGAAAGATGAAAAGAGAAGGGATCAGAGCCTTAAGGCAGCCACTGTGGACGTTATAAAGAGTTTGGTCAAGGTAGGCCAGACGAGGTGACTCACGCCTGTAATCCCAACACTTTGGGAGGCCGAGACAGGCAGATCACCTGAGGTTGGGAGTTCAAGACCAGCCTGACCAACATGGAGAAACCCCATCTCTACTAAAAATACAAAATTAGCCAGGTGTGCAAGCCTGTAATCCCAGCTACTCAGAAGGCCGAGTCAGGAGAATTGCTTTAACCCGGGAGGCGGAGGTTGCAGTGAGCCGAGATCGTGCCATTGCACTCAAGCCTGGGCAACAAGAGTGAAACTCTATCTCAAAAAAAACCCCGAAAAAACAAACAAATGAAAAGTTTGGTCAAGGTGGGAAGGAAAAAGGGTGAAAGCTAGAAAAAGGTACATTAAGTGGTGATAATAGGAAGAGCAATTAGTAGATCCATGTATTGGGATTCCATTTATACTTTGCTTGTGAAAGATGACTAATGCAAATTTAACATCTTTTCATTTACATGTCATAGTTTAATTAAAGCAGAACATCTTGTTTAAAATATGTCATGAGACATGACTATAAATAAAAGTATATGTTGGGTACCAGTTAATGAATTTCCTAACCACTCTTCCCCTCTGAGGTAAAAGCAGCCAGTGCTTGTTTAGGAATGACACATGCATTAATTTGAGTTTATTCTTATAGCAGTACATTTAAATCAATACAAATCCAATCCACGTATTTTCTTGTTGTGTTTGCAGCATGGTTTGGGGACTGTGGCACTGAGCCATGCTATATATGGATGATATCCCCTGCTGGAGAATTGAAACATGCCTCTGCACAGCATTCATAATCACTTTCATGTTGACTGAATTCATGTGATGGAGAATATTTTTAATATAACATGGTAGCTTGCAGGGAGGGTATACTAGCAAAACAGTGATTTTTTTTTTAAATGCACATTTCTGTAGACATGCCCCCAAAGAGCCTGGCCAGCAATCACACTGGAACACAGCAGTGCTTTCATAAGAGGCATTCTCAGACCCAGGCATCTGTTCCTTGAATTCTTCAGTTCTAGGGGAAATCTTGATGGGGGGATATTGAAGGGTAAGGAAGCTGACTAATCCAGTCTAAAGAATATATTCCAGTTTAGCAATGTCATATTGGCTGTGGACATTTGTAACATATGTGACTCTTGCTGCATAAACTTGGGCATACAATGTAAGTCACATTGCTTTCTCGAAATCAAACTATTTCTGAATCCAAAGCCCCATCCCATTAGGCTGGGGGGGAAATTTAATCTTGGCTATTTCCTCATTCAGGGTTGGGATAGGGGCCCCCTCCCTAGGGTAGCCTGTGCTTTTGAAAGGCTAAAAATGGTCCAGACATTAAGAAGGGGGCAACACATCTTTACTTCATCATGGGGGCCATGGATACCCATATCTTCTGCACCTACGTGGCCCTTGAAGTCACTCATCTCTTCAACTTCCATGCCAGGCCCAGACACAGAAACCTTTACTGGGGTTGGAATCTTGTTGCTGAGAATCTAGCCTCAATAGGAACATCAGGCAACCATTTTCTGCCCAGGGCTCTGCCAGGGAGATGCAGTGGTACAGCATCCTAGTCCTGGAGAATCTCATGGCTCCCCTCACCACTTCTCCTTTTAACCTTCTACCTTCAGCCACAGTCTCAGAAAGTTAAGCTTGTGGGTAACAAACGTCAGGAAAGGGACCATCTTCCAGAAAAGTCTGCTTTTGATTGTTATATCCCAAATCTCCTTGATAAAAAAGAACATTAAAATCCTGCCTAATTTTGGGGGGGATAGAGGAGGTAAAAATATAGTGAAAAACACAAAATTAGTATGTCAATTAATTATCCGGACATTTATTTCTAGTTATCCAGTGGTTATCAGTCAGGGGTCTTAGTGTTGGAAAAGCCACCATATGCCAAGATGTAGACATAGCCACCCTCATTATCCCACCCATTGCAGCTGCTGTGAGGGGTCTGCTGTTTGGCTCACCCCTACTTTTTAAAAAAAGTTCCTTTGGGTGCAAAAGGAACATCTTTCTGAAAGCAGTTCCCTCCTGAGACTAGAGGAAAAAGAAACTTCTATACCCAGTTGTGCTATCACTGGCTGCTTAGTAATAACTTGTTTCCAATAGTTCTCAAGAAAATGCACTCAGATTGAGAGCAAAAGAGAGCAGCCCAGGTACTGAGCAGTCATAGACCCTTGTCATCTCCATTTGTTCCCTGAGGTTTCTCTTCTTTGGAGAGCCAGAGAAAACTGGATATGGTGATGACAGCAAGCCTAAAGTTGCTTCATTTCTGAAGACTATTCTGTGATTCTTTATTAAGCAAAAAAGAGATGGTGCTGGGGATAGTGAATAATTGCATGATGGCATTGTTGTGAGCATGATTCTTAAAGGGTCTTTCTTTAAAATGCCAATTTATACAAGTTTGAATTTATATAAGTTTGAGCTTAAAAAGTTTAGAAATGACAAAAGGAAATTACTTTTTTGAAAATAAGAAAAGATTCATAATCATACTACAGTAACATGAGTGCTTTTATATTTCACATTTTACTTTGCACATGAATGTATATTTTTATTTATCTGTAACTGCAGTATGCGTAGGCTATTGTTGAATTTCATTTTGATAGGCTATATGTGCATGTTATTTTAAAGAATACCATGTTCCAAATGAAATATTCTTTTCCCTCTATGTTTGTTCCAGGGTAACTTTTGTCATCTTTGAATCAGGATCATTTTGTTGTCCTCTAAATCTGCTTATTTCGGATATTGAAGATTGTAGAAACCCTCTAGGCCTAGTCTGCTCTTTATGGGAGGCATGGGAGACATACTTCTCTTTAGAGTGAATGTTACTGGATAGGTGCTCCATAAATTGTAGCTATTATTATTTTCATAATTATTGAATTTAACAAATATTTCTAGTGTTTTATCTGATTATAAAATTAACATGAACTATTTTTTTTTTTAAATTACAATATTGAAGAAACATTCATTCAGGCCGGGCGCAGTGGCTCATGCCTGTAATTCCAGCACTTTGGGAGGCCTAGGTGGGTGGATCACTTGGGGCCAGGAATTCGAGACTAGCTTGGCCAACATGGTGAAACCCTGTACTAAAAATTTAAAAAATTTAAAAAATTAGCTGGGCATGGTGGCACATGTCTATAATCCCAGCTACTCAGAGGCTGAGGCACAAGAATCACTTGAGCCTGGAAGGCAGAGGTTGCAGTGAGCTGAGATTGTGCCACTGCATTCCAGCCTGGGTGACAGAGCAAGACTCCGTCTCACAAAAAATAAATATAAATATAAATAAATAAAACAAAATCTTCATTCAGCAAATATTGATTTTAATTTTATTTATTTGAAAACATGTTTGGATAAATGAATGAATATAAAATAGTCACTGTATATCCTTAATTTTGTTAAATGAGTCCCCTGTCATTTTGTGTCCAATTTGAAGATAATTTTTTTAGTATTCATCCTCTGTTCTCTCTATATAGAAATTTCTAAACTATAAAGAAGTTTGTTTCTCTTTTGATTACTAATAAATTTATTAGACAAAAGTGATTATAGCATATTATGAAATATTTTCAACACGTGAAAACAACATTCCAGATAATCTCCAAATACATTAACCAATATTTTAAGAAAAATAATTAGGCCGGGCACGGTGGCTCACGCCTGTAATCCCAGCAACAGAGTGAGACTCCGTCTCAAAAAAAAAAAGAAAAATAATTACACTCATATAAACTACCAAAATCTAAATATATCTTTGACTATATAGTTTTGTTTTTTGGTTTTTTTTTTTTTTTTTTTTTTGAGGCAGAGTCTCACTCTGTCGCCCAGGCTGGAGTGCAGTGGCGCGATCTCGGCTCACTGCAAGCTCCGCCTCCCGGGTTCACGCCATTCTCCTGCCTCAGCCTCCGAAGTAGCTGGGACTACAGGCGCCCACCACCACGCCCGGCTAATTTGTTTGTATTTTTAGTAGAGACGGGGTTTCACTGTGTGTTAGCCAGGATGATCTTGATCTCCTGACCTCGTGATCCGCCCGCCTCGGCCTCCCAAAGTGCTGGGATTACAGGTGTGAGCCACCGTGCCCGGCCTTGACTATATAGTTTTTTATTAGATGTTCAAGGGGAATATCAAATTTCTTCTCACTTGGTTTTTGTAAAGAAAACCATATTTTATTTTTTGTTTTGCTTTTCTTTAAATGTGAATTCCAAAATTTCCTTTTAAATCTTATTCTTCTCAGCTTTATGGCGTTTTTCAGAATCTATGTGGGCTTTGCTATGACCTTGTTTTCACCAAATGTAGTTCTCTCAGCGCAGACACCTGGCATCTAAAAAATAATCTATTACAGTATATTCAATGTCGAAGCCGGTTTCTATGAAATAGGGACACGAGTTAATAGCTATTAAATAGCTTGATTATATCATTGTTTTGAACAGTTTGGAGTAATTTTTTTATTCTCTCTCCATTATTAGATCATTTTTGAAGCAGAACGTGGCAAGGGCAAAACCGGCGAAATCGCAGTGGATGGCGTCTTGCTTGTTTCAGGCTTATGTCCAGATAGCCTTTTATCTGTGGATGACTGAATGTTACTATCTTTATATTTGACTTTGTATGTCAGTTCCCTGGTTTTTTTGATATTGCATCATAGGACCTCTGGCATTTTAGAATTACTAGCTGAAAAATTGTAATGTACCAACAGAAATATTATTGTAAGATGCCTTTCTTGTATAAGATATGCCAATATTTGCTTTAAATATCATATCACTGTATCTTCTCAGTCATTTCTGAATCTTTCCACATTATATTATAAAATATGGAAATGTCAGTTTATCTCCCCTCCTCAGTATATCTGATTTGTATAAGTAAGTTGATGAGCTTCTCTCTACAACATTTCTAGAAAATAGAAAAAAAAGCACAGAGAAATGTTTAACTGTTTGACTCTTATGATACTTCTTGGAAACTATGACATCAAAGATAGACTTTTGCCTAAGTGGCTTAGCTGGGTCTTTCATAGCCAAACTTGTATATTTAAATTCTTTGTAATAATAATATCCAAATCATCATCTTGTGTCATGGTTTAATTTTTCTAGGTAAGAAAATATGTTCTTGATTCTGTGTTTACTTATGTAAATGATTATTTGCTTTTCTGAAAAATGTAGTTTTTATCTTTTCACTATTACTTCATATTCTTTAAAGGTACTTTCTATTATGGGAAAATATGACTGCTTTATTAGGCCTTATAACTGCAAAGCAGATTCACATATATTGGGGTTTTGTTTGTTTTTTATTTTTTAGAAATGAGGTCTTGCTATGTTGCCCATGTTGGTCTTGAACTCCTGGCCTCAAGCGATCCTCCCATCTTAGCCTCCCAAAGTGCTGGAATTACATGAGTGAGCTGCCGCACCCAGCCAGCATATATTGTTGAGCTCAAAGCCTCAGAGAACTACCTAAAACTAAATGAGCAGGTAGCAGGACTCAAAGAAACATGGATGACTTCTTTGTCTTACTCTTTTCTTCCAAATTCAGGAAGAGCTTTGTGTAGGAATCTTGAGTGTATTCCTTGAGGACGGTTTTATATTCTGTTTAAGATTCTGGGTTAGAAACAGGTCTAAGACACCCTCCAAACAGAAGGTTCTCCAGATATTTGCTCTCTGTTACCTAAAGCAATTAAGGCATTGAACCATGGTAGGAAAAAAAGAGAGGTGATCCACTTACTAATCTTTAAAATTTAATTTTAATACAAAATTTAAACCCCACTCTTGAAGGTTTTTAAATACTTAAACCCTAAGTAATTCTTCTTCAACAATGTTCTCTTTAATACAACCAACACACACAACCTTTTAAGATGGGGTGGGGACCACATTGTTTATCCCTAGTGTGAGAGAATCTGGGCATACAAAATCTATATAGGACTGTAACTGTATCTGTTAGGATAACTGCTAGTTATGGAAACCACAAAAATAGTGTTTCTGGTGAGACCAGATGAAAAACTGCCCAGCTAAGGCAAATCAGCCCACAGAATCCTAAGAGATAATAAAAATAGTTGTTTTAAGCCACAAAATTCTGGGGTAGTTTGCTACACAGCAAAAGTTAACTGATATAGGTGATTTCTGATATTGTGGTAGAACTTGAAGAAGACCCCCTGTCTCTTCCATGACCAAGGACATTTGAGAGCACAATGTGGCTTAGAAGAAAGGACAATGGGGCCGGGTATGGTGGCTCAAACCTGTAATCCCAGCAACTCCCTTTGGGAGGAGGAGGTAGGTGGATCTCTTGAGCTGAGGAGTTCAAGACCAGCCTGGGCAACAGGACAAAACCCCATCTCTACAAAAACTACACAAATTAACAGGGCATGGTGGTTTGCACCTGTAGTCCTAGCTACCCAGGAGGCTAAAGTGGGAGGATCACCTGAGCCTGGGAGGTTGAGGCTGCAGTGAGCTGTGATCACACCAGTGCACTCCAGCCTGGGCCACAGCATGATACCCTGTCTCAAAAAGAAAAAAAAAAAGAAAGGACAATGGAGGGGAGAACTTACAATGAAAGGCAGTGCCCGAGTGATTTAGGTTAAAGGAAGAAACGTTAAACCAGAAATGAAATAAGGAGACCTGGGAACTCTGCTACATATGGATAGAAAATCAGTGCACAAAGCTCAGTTAAGTTTCATGTTTCTCTAAAGTCTGCAGCAGAGACCGTGGTTGCCTACACAATATCCATTCTCATCGTTTTCCTTACCAGTATGACCACATATAAATAGATTTTTAGCAGGGGGAGGTAGGCAATGTGATCAACTAATAGACTGCATTTCCCAGCCTCTCTTACAGATGGGGAGGCCCCTGAGATGGAAGCTGAAGTCATTCTTGGGGCTTTCAGGAAGGATCATCAAAGGGGGCTTCCAGCTGGCAGACCCCTCTTTTGGCATTTCCCTTCCTCCTTCCTGCTTGCAATGTGGCTGTAAAGGCAGAAGGTCCATGAACCACTTTGTGATCAAGAGGGCAAGGCCCTCACCTTGTGAAGTACATAACTGGAGGAAGCCTGGGTCCCTGATGATTTTGTGAAGTCTCTACCACTATCCCAGACTAGTCACTGCTGGACATTTTCTTAAGTAAGAGAAAAGCCCTCTGTTGGCCTATCTAGGATTTCAAACAGCACAATGCAGACCCAAGTGATCACTCTCCTGGGAGAGTCTTATGGACTAACTTCTTAGATCCTTAAATAGCAACATATTGTTTTGAATTCCAGTCAATAGCCTATGGTATCAGCTCTAGCCTGCACCAGCACTAAATCATACTTAGATTCCTTTGCAGAACTTAAGTCAGCTAGTTCAGCCATGACTTCCGTATCTGTTGCCCCTGGCTACCACCCAACATGCAAACTCTCCCTCTTCTCACCCATCATCTCCCCCTCTCTCATCCCCACTCTGTATGGGCCCACTCTACTTGGCACTTCTCCCCACTATTTCTACCCCCATCACACATGATCCATTGTCTGGTAAACAAATCCCCCTCCATCTTAATTCATGCTTAAAGGTCTCTTCCTGCATTTCTCAAGCTTAGCTGAAACTGAGCTCTCTCCCAGGGACACCTCTCCCGCTGCAGCCTTATCAAATGAAAACCACTCATCTTCCCACATTCCACACATGGCAGGGTCTAAAGTTGAGGGTGGCATTCTCCTTACTCCACTCTTATTCACCACCTCTTATTTCTGTAATGTGAAAGCTGCTGTTCTTTGGAGATGCAGTTAAGTAGTACTACAGCCTTCTGTCCTGGCTAGCCATTGTCATTGACCAGCATGGCGATATCCATGCAAATACCAATCCAGGATCCTAGCCTCAGAGTCCTTTGACCTCATCTATCCCAGTTACCATCACCTCCTCCTCAGTCACTGCACCATGGCCACCCCTTGGACTTGATCATTGCCTCTGAACTCTTGAACTCCAACATCCCACTCTCTGGTCTCTCTGGCTTCCTCCTCATCCTACTCCCCCTACACTTACTCTTTGGCCTTTTTGAGACCTCCATTCCCTTGACAGCTCCATTTTCTTCCTATCTCTTGACCTCCTCTTGGCTTGACTTTCCTCTCTAATAAAACATAGCCTAGACTCTGAGGCCCATCATCTCTTCAAAGACACTCTTGTCAATGCCCCTCAAGTCCCAGGCTCGTGTGTCTTCCACTGCCACCAGGAAGAGCCCTCAATCAACCCAACTGCCTTCTTTTCTCCATCGTGTCTCCAGGCTGCTAAGCATGGTTAGAGAAAGTTATACAACTGTGCAGGCTGAGCCTTCAACAAAACCATGATCTTCAACCTTCCACAAACCTGTAGTGCTGCCCAAATTATTTACCACTGAGCAGTGCTTGGCTGTTTGCTTGTACACACTAAGTAACATTCACCAGGATGTCCCTATGGGGGGAACCTACCCCCAGTATTTCAACATAGGTTCTATTTTCCCTAAGTGTCGGTCTGAGAAATAGAGAGTACAAAGAGAGGAATTTTACAGCTGGGCCTCTGGGGGTGACATCACATATCGGTAGGACCATGATGCCCACCTGAGCCACAAAACCAGCAAGTTTTTATTAAAGATTTCAAAAGGGGAGGGGGTGTATGAACAGGGATCAGGTCATAAAGATCACGTGCTTCAAAGGGCAAAAGGGAGAAGAAACATCACATGCTTCTGAGGTAACAGGGCAAGGACAAAAGCAAAGATCACAAGGCAAAGGGCAAAATTGGAATTACTGATAAGGGTCTATGTTCAGCTGTGCACGTATTGCCTTGATAAACATCTTAAACAACAGAAAACAGGGTTTGAGAGCAGAGAACCAGTCTGACCTCAAATTTACCATGGCGGGATTTTTTTCCCCACCCTAATAAGCCCGACGGTACTGCAGGAGACCAGGGCGTATTTCAGTCCTTATCTCAACCGCATAAGACAGACACTCTCAGAGCGGCTGTTTATAGACCTCCCCCCAGGAATGCATTCCTTTCCCAAGGTCTTAATTATTAATATTCCTTGCTAGGAAAAGAATCCAGCAATATCTTCCCTACTTGCACGTCTGTTTATAGGCTCTCTGCAAGAAGAAAAATATGGCTCTATTCTGCCTGACCCCGCAGGCAGTCAGACTTTATGGTTGTCTTCCCTTGTTCCCTAAAAATCGCTGTTATTCTGTTCTTTTTCGAGGTGCACTGATTTCATATTGTTCAAACACACATGTTTTACAATCAGTTTGTACAATAGTGGTCCTGAGGTGATGTACATCCTCAGCTTACGAAGATAACAAGACTAAGAGATCAAAGTAAGACAGGTGTAAGAAATTATAAGAGTATTATTAGGGAAGTGATAAATGTCCATGAAATCTTCACAATTTATGTTCCTCTGCCGCGGCTCCAGCCAGTCCCTCTGTTCAGGGTCCCTGACTTCCTGCACCATGTCCTCACATCCTACAGCCCCATAAGTTAATATTAACTACTGAAATAACAATGACATGTCCCCCCCATTTTTGCCTGCTAAGGCTGAATGTCATTCTGACTAAAGCCCTGAGTTGAGGATTTTGAGATCACATTTGGGCCTTTATCACAGCAAGGACGGGTACTGAATGACACTGTTTGGAGTTCTCAAAGGCAAGGAGGTAGGCAACTGTCAGCAGATGTGACCTGTGTGGCATGATCCTCTCCCTATTCTACAGGCTGTGGCATGATCCTCTCCCTATTCTACAGGCTGTGTCACTCACTCCCTCTGAGGATATGAAACAAACTGGGAGAACAGGCCTGCCTGCAACAGGCTGGGTAGTCCTTGGCCTGTGAGGATCCTCTTCTAATAATTCACAAAGGGGTGGCTGTGTCCAGCCACATGACCAAGGAGAAGGGCTACTACTCCTTCTTCAAAACACTGCCTCCACTCTTCCCCAGACTGAAGGCTGACCCTAACCAAGGAAATGATCCAAAACTGTCCAGAATGGGGGGCCCTGGAGAGGGGTTGTACCTTTAGTTAGGTAACTCACTCCTAGAACAAAGAACCCTGAGCCGTGTTGCTATAACCTTAAGACTGGTCTCAGAACTTTGTCACATGTGAAAAACCTTCAAATGTCCCTCCATTATCTCTAAGAGCAAAGCAAGAAGATGACACTTGAGCACTGGCTCTGCAAGTAGTTGTTGAGTATTCACTGTTTAAGAAAACAAGGAGACAAGTAGAAATTTGAGCACTTGCAGGATATCTGACAATATTAAGCGATACTTTTAGGTGGGATAATGGTACTGCGGTTATGCTTTTTTTAAAGAAAGAATTCTTCCCTTTAGAGAAACACACTGAACTACTTAAATGAAATTACATGAGATCTGGGATTTGCTTGGAAAACAATGGGGGGGAGAGGAGGGAGTCGATGAGGGTATCTAGAAGAAAAGATGATAAACATTTTTTTCTGGAATGAGGCATATAGTAAATATTTCAGGCTCTGTGGGCCAGACATCTCTGTCACCACAACTCAACTCTGCCACTATAGCACAAAAGCAGCCGTAGGCAATATGTAAACGAATGGGAGTGGCTGCATTCTTTATAAAGTTAATTTTAAAGCCTGTAGCTGGCCAGACTGAGGCCAAATACTGTAGTTTGTTGACCTCTGGTCTAGAGGAAACAAGAAAAGCCATGTGTTGATAATTGACAAAACTGAGTGATGGGGGTCTCAGAATACTAATTGGTCTACTTTTTTGTATGTTTCAAATTCTCCACAGTAAAACATTAAAAAACAAACAAAGAAGGAAATAGACCATGTATTTTTAAGAAAGATTACCATCACAAATGCTTAAAATGAAACCATTTGGATTTTTTTTTTTTTTTTTTTTTTGAGACTGAGTTTCACTCTGTTGCCCAGGCTGGAGCGCAGTGGTACAATCTGGGCTCACTGCAACCTCCACCTCCCAGGTTCAAGCAATTCTTGCACTTCAGCCTCCCGAGTAGCTAGGACTACAGGTATGTGCCACCACACCCAGCTAATTTTTGTATTTTTAGCAGAGATGGGTTTTCACCGTGTTGGCCAGGCTGGTCTTGAACTCCCGACCTCAGGTGATCTGTCTGCCTCAACCTCCCAAAGTGTTGGGATTACAGGCATGAGCCACTATGCCCGGCCACCATTTGGATCTTGAAGCATTAAACCTTCAGATGTATGGAAAATGTTCTCCTAGTAATCCCCTAGCAATTGGGAGAATCGATTTCCCACTGGCCTTCTCTAGGCCTTCCAAACCAAGACCAGGCCAGGAGCGATGGTTCCAGAGCTGGCATTGCTACCACAGCAGCACAATTATGGGCAGGCTCTGGGGCGGAGGCTCAGTATCTGTAAGATGTGTGGATCTATGGGAGGGTCGCTTTAACTCTCCAACAAGACAGTGGCCTCCCTCCACTCCTCTGCCACACAGCAGAGTACAGTGGTTGAGAGCCAAGTAGTGAGAATCCCTGGGGAGGTTACCTACCCTCTCTCTGCCTCAGATTTTCCCAAATGAGGATGGCAACATGGAAGCCTACCCCAAACCAGGTAAAACCCCAAGGCACAAAATGTCATCAGGCCTGGACATGTTCACTGCTGTCATGGAGATGTCATCTACAGAGCTTCTCTTTCTCCCATTTTCAAGGGGAAAGCACCTGGCTTCTGAGGGTGCTGATTGAACTCCAGCGCACATTTCTCCCATGGGACATGCACAGTTTTTTTCATTGTAATAGTTACTGCTGGGTTCCCCTCCTAAGTGGTTCCACCAATTCACAGGCCCACTAGCAGTGGGGTGAGAGTAGTATTCCCTTACCCTCTGCACACAGTTCATATTAGCAAACCATTGTAGTCAACCTCACTGGGGGCAGACACCGGCTCCTTGCTGATTACGGTGAGATGGGGCATCTTGGCAGGTCCACTGGCTGCCTATACTTCTGCTTTTGTGATCATGTCTTTTTATCCTTGAGTCACCACCAGTGTTCTGAAGCCCAGTCTTGGCTCTCCCTCACATCCTCTTTTCCTGACCCAACCTGTCAGGCCTCTGCCTCACCTGTGGGTCGCTTCAGATGTTCACCATCAGCTCTGGAGGCTGGGAAAAGCTTCCTTGTGGCTGGGGATATCTGTCCTGCCCCTCCCTTACAGACCTCAGGGGATTTCCACCCAGCGTGGAGGGTGTATGCTGTACCTCTTCTGCAAGATGGCAGCTGGGACTTGGGTGACCCCTGTATCCCCACTGCTCAGGCACTTACTTGATGCCTCCCTAAGACAGCACTGGCTTCCAGCCTAGCCTGAGAAAGCCTGGTTTTTTTTGAGATGGAGTCTTGCTCTGTCGCCCAGGCTGGAGAGCAGTGGTGCGATCTCGGTTCACGGCAACCTCCACCTCCTGGGTTCAAGCAGTACTGTCTCAGCCTCCCAAGTAGCTGGGACTACAGGCACATGCCACAACAGCCGGCTAATTTTTGTATTTTTAGTAGAGATGGGGTTTCACCATATTGGTTAGGCTGGTCTCAAACTCCTGACCTCAGGCGATCCACCTGTCTCAACCTCCCAAAGTGCTGGGATTATAGGCATGAGCCACCGCGCCAGGCTGGGAGCCTGCATTTTTTTGTACTCTCCTTTTTCCTTGAAAACACAGAATACTTGTGGGCTGGCTATGGAATGTTTTTTACCTGGAGATGTCTTCATAGGTCAGAACTGTGACCTAAGCCAAAAGAACAAAGCTGGAGGCATCATGCTACCTGACTTCAAACTATACTACAAGGCTACAGTAACCAAAATAGCATGGTACTGGTACCAAAACAGAGATATAGACCAATGGAACAGAACAGAGCCCTCAGAAATAATGCCGCATATCTACAACTATCTGATCTTTGACAAATCTGACAAAAACAAGAAATGGGGAAAGGATTCCCTATTTAGTAAATGGTGCTGGGAAAACTGGCTAGCCATATGTAGAAAGCTGAAACTGGATCCCTTCCTTACACCTTATACAAAAATTAATTCAAGATGGATTAAAGACTTAAATGTTAGACCTAAAACCATAAAAACCCTAGAAGAAAACCTAGGCAATACCATTCAGGACATAGGCATGGGCAAGGACTTCATGTCTAAAACACCAAAAGCAATGGCAACAAAAGCCAAAACTGACAAATGGGATCTAATTAAACTAAAGAGCTTCTGCACAGCAAAAGAAACTATCATCAGAGTGAACAGGCAACCTACAGAATGGGAGAAAATTTTTGCAATCTACTCATCTGACAAAGGGCTAATATCCAGAATCTACAATGAACTCAAACAAATTTACAAGAAAAAAACAAACAACCCCATCAACAAGTGGGTGAAGGATATGAGCAGACACTACTCAAAAGAAGACATTTATGCAGCCAAAAGACACACGAAAAAATGCTCACCGTCACTGGCCATCAGAGAAATGCAAATCAAAACCACAATGAGATACCATCTCACACCAGTTAGAATGGCGATCATTAAAAAGTCAGGAAACAACAGGTGCTGGAGAGGATGTGGAGAAATAGGAACACTTTTACACTGTTGGTGGGACTGTAAACTAGTTCAACCATTGTGGAAGTCAGTGTGGCGATTCCTCAGGGATCTAGAACTAGAAATACCATTAGACCCAGCCATCCCATTACTGGGTATATACCCAAAGGATTATAAATCATGCTGCTATAAAGACACATGCACACGGATGTTTATTGTGGCACTATTCACAATAGCAGAGACTTGGAACCAACCCAAATGTCCAACAATGATAGACTGGATTAAGGAAATGTGGCACATATACACCATGGAATACTATGCAGCCATAAAAAATGATGAGTTCATGTCCTTTGTAGGGACATGGATGAAGCTGGAAACCATCAATCTCAGCAAACTATTGTAAGGTCAAAAAACCAAACACCGCATGTTCTCACTCATAGGTGGGAATTGAACAAAGAGAACACTTGGACACAGGAAGGGGAACATCACACACAGGGGCCTGTCGTGGGGCGGGGGCAGGGGGGAGGGATAGCATTAGGAGATATACCTAATGTTAAATGATGAGTTAATGGGTGTAGCACACCAACATGGCACATGTATACATATGTAACAAACCTGCACGTTGTGCACATGTACCCTAAAACTTAAAGTATAATTTAAAAAAAAGAAAAAAAAAGAAATAAAGACGTATATGAACTAGCCCATGGGCTTTAACATCAAAAAAAAAAAAAAAAAGAACCGTGAAAAGGCTGATGTTTTACCTGAATTACAAGCTAGCAGGTTGTCCTGTCCTGGTTTCATAGATATTGGTAAAAAAACACAGCTTGGCTGGGCATGGTGGCTCATGCCTGTAATCCCAGCACTTTGGGAGGCCGAGGCAGGCAGGTAACTTGAGGTCAGGAGTTTGAGACCAGGCTGGCCAACATGGCCAAACCCCATCTCTACTAAAAATACTAAAATTAGCCTGGCGTAATGGTGCACACCTGTAATCTCAGCTACTCAGGAGGGTTAGGCAGGAGAATCACTTGAACCCAGGAGGTGGAGGTTGCAGTGAGCCAAGATCGCGCCACTGCACTCCAGCCTGGGCCACAGAGTGCAGCATTCACAGTGGGCTTGTGCCACAGCTGAGCCCTGAGTCTGGGAAAGCCCCAGTCTAATAAGAGGGCTGAGAGCAAAGCTTCCCAAACTTTGTCCTGGAAGGAGACAATACCTTTATCATCTTAGTGGAGAACCAAGTCTGCCCCCCAAAAGGAAGATGCTATCCCTGTTCCCTGAGGCTGTTCATTATACAAACATCCTTGAAAAGAGGCCGGGCACAGTGGCTCACGCCTGTAATCCCAGCACTTTGGGAGGCCGAGCTGGATGGATCACAAGGTCAGGAGTTCAAGACCAGCCTGGCCAAGATGGTGAAACCCCCATCTCTATTAAAAATACAAAAAAAATTAGCCGGGCGTGGTGGTGGGCACCTGTAATCCCAGCTACTCGGGAGGCTGAGGCAGAGAATTGCTTGAACCCCGGAGGCAGAGGTTGCAGTGAGCCGAGATCTTGCCACTGCCCTCCAGCCTGGGCAACAGAGTGAGACTCCGTCTCACAAAAAAAAAAAAAAAAAAAAAAAAAAAAGAAAGAAAAGAAAAGATAGTTCAGAACAAAGGCTGCCAGGGCTTATGTGTATAAGATGGGCAGACCTATGGCGAATCACTTCCTAACATAGACTCTTCACTTTCTAGAATTCATTAGATGAGGGGACAACAGAAAGATTTGATAGGAATGGTGATCTCTCACAAATCCGTAACATTGCAAATAACACTCTCCCCTTATATGGGCCCAGCTACCTTTCCTTGAGTGAAGAGAAGTATACTTTCTGGAACTTACTTTCCCAGGGCTGCTATTGAAATCCTGTTCCAATCAGACCATAAGATATCAGTTAGGTGATTTAATTTCTGCAAAAGAAACAAACATAGAGTGAAATCATTCCAAATTTTGAGGGAGAAGTATCACAGTTTTGGAACATGTTATAATTTGATAATCTCCTCTAAAAGTGGTTATTTTTTTTTTGAGTCGAATGGGCTTGTCTCTTGGAACAATTAACGTGTTTTGGAAACCTGACAGGATGAATTGGATAATGACTATTTAGCATAATTTCGGGTAAAGGCAGTTCTCATGGAAGGTGGAAAGCTATCAGCCTGACAATCTAAAGCACCGATAGTTTCTCCCCAAGAAGGAATAGGGGGTAGAGGTAGTGGCTAGACACATTTCTATTTTTAAAACTGGCTTTTATTGAATGTTGGTGAATTTATCTCAGTACATTGATTTTAATTGGGATACAAAAAAAACTCCTTTGACAAGTCTGAGGCCCTCTAAAAATGTCAAAAAGGCTTAGACTGGGTCAACATCTAAAAAACCAACGTAAATGAACTCAACCTTTTTTCTCTTTAATTCCATCAGACCATGACTACAGATACTAAATAGCTGTGTTCTGTCTCTATTCAAAGTGTTGTCCTGGAGTTGTGTAGATGCAGCTTCATCATTCTGTCTGGTCAAGGAATGGTAAGGTAATATGAACTTTGGGATTTTTGTACATACAAGCAAGGGTCCTTTTTGTGTGTGGAGAATGGGGTTCTAGGTTGACCTTTTTAGAAATCTGGCATTTTTAAATGTCATATCTATGCTTCATAAAAAATTCTAGTATTAATATGCACATGAAAAAAATCTGTAAAATGATTTATAGATGTAAAATAGACTTACATCTTGGGAGGCAGTAGTATAGACTTACATCTTGGGAGGCAGTAGTATAGACTTACATCTTGGGAGGCAGTAGTATGGTGTGGTGGTGAGTCTGCCTGGGGCCAGAAAGAGCTGCCCCTAAGTGGGCTTAAGACAGAAAGGTTACATATGCATAAGATAGAGGGGTTACATATGCATATTTTTGACCAAAATAATTATCTTGTGTATATCTTTAATCAATTTGGTAGTGTCATATAAATTGTTTTACATTTCTATGTTGTCTTATTTGTTTGTTTGGTTTGGTTTCCTCCACTCTGTGGCCACTAAGAGTGCTGAATGTCATTAGGTAAGAGCTAATTACCCTTTCTTTCTCAATAATTTCTTTGACGGCCTATATATTTATTTTAATGACAATGTTGCTCAAAACACATTTGAAATTGCCTTTTTCAGGTACACAAATCATACAAGAGACTTGGCATTGTCAATTTATGGTTAAAATTTTTGGTCATCATTTATGACCAAAAATAGCATTACCAACCCAGAATTCCACTGCTAGGTATATACCTAATAGAAATGAATAGTAGCACTATTTGTATTAGTCCCAGTGGAACAACCCAAATATCCATAATGTCCATTGTTAGAATGGATGCACTGTAGTGTATTCATTCAATAAAGGACTATGAAGACATGAGAATGAATAGCTTAACGCTGCCCACAGCAACACAGACAAATTTCAAAAATATGTAATTGATCAAAAGAAGCCAGAAAGTACATACTGTACACTTCCATTTACTTAAGTTTCAAAATCAGGCAAAATTAATCTATAGCGGTAAAGTTGGGATTCTGTTTATGCTTTTACCCGTGGTGGGGGCGGGATGCTGGAAGGGAACACAAGGGGAGAATTTCTGGGGGGCTGGTAATTCTGCTTCATGGTGCCTTTTGAATGGACATGTTCACTGTGAAAATTAACAAGCAGTACACTTACGATTTGTACACTGACTTTTCTATATATGTGTCATACTTCAGTAAGAACTTCTTTCAAAAATAAAAGTATTACTCCCCCTACCCCTTAAGATGAACCTCTTCTGTCTGACATTGTGCTGAATGACTCGGGACACCTAGAGTGAATTCAGCTCTCAGCGCCAGGTAGGTTGTGGCTGAAGCTACACAGACTCAGGTATAATCCAGCCACGGATGACTTTTGTTGTGGGTGTTCACTGGCCTGCCATCCAGGCTGCTGGAGGTGAATGGCATGGGAATCTGGAGAGGAAGTTCAACGGGCCCAGGGGCTGAAGTTTGAGGAAATATTCCTGCTGCTCAAGAGCCTGGAACTCTCACCTGCCCCACATCTATTAGTCTTTCTGGACAATGATGGAAGTTTCTACGTCTCCCTTTTCTATCCCTGTTACTTCTTTTAAAAGTCTTTTTCCTCCTAGGATTAGTCCAGGCTATCCTCACCCAGCTCTCCTGATGAATGTGAACGGCTTTCCACTTGCATCAGTTTTTTGGAGTCTTCTCTCAGAGTTCCAGCAGTGCCCCCTTGTGACTGCATGTGTGTGGCTGCCACCAGGCAAACAGCAGAGCTGTTTCCAGGATCTCCTCCTACTCCCTCTTTGCTCCATTTCTTCTCCTCCCTGGTGTTTTATGAACTCATGCTTCTTTCTGGGTACCCAGAACCTTCCAATTCAGTCACCCTTAAGATCTCGAAGAATCCAATCTTGCAGACCTTTCATTCCCTCCCAATTCTCCCCATCAACATTTACTTATCCTATGTCCCATTCCATTGGTCTCTGACAAGGGAGACGATCCTTACAATATAACTCAGGCATAGCAAATAAACAGCTTCAAGTGTAACCTTTCCTAAGTAATAGTTGCTGTTTTATAATAGCAGCTTTCAATGTCTTCATCCAAAGGAATGAGTAAGAAAGGAATTCTAGCACCATGGTAAGGTCAGGGGTTCTCTTCTGATGTCCCTCAAATCACACAGCCATATTAAGACAGGCTGTGTCAGTTAGTGTTTACTGTTAGCAAGCCACCAAAACAGACCCAGCAGAGGGAAGTTATAGTAAGGATAGCAGGAATGTACAGGTGGAGGGAGAGACCAGCCAGCCAGCTTTGGAAATGGGCCGCTGGGCTAGAAGCAGAACTGTGGGAAAGGAGCCATTGGAGGAATGGTCTCATAAGGACACCACCCTCATCTTAATGATCTTTCACCATGTTTAGACTCCACATCATTCTGCTTAAAATTCACATTCCAGGGAGGATGTGCAATCGGGCCAGCTGGGGTCATCTGGCTGCCACCTGGCTAGGGCAGAATAGGCACCTGATTGGCTGTTTGGAAGGTGTGCTGAAGCTGGGTGGTCCAAACTCACCAAAGCCCACCATGTGAATGAACCCCATCATGCAAATCTGAGATCGAGTACATGTAATTATCCCAGGCCACATACCAGTGTAATAGATCTACTCTCATAACGACAAAAGAGTTGACAACTTCATTCTCTTCAGCAACCAGAAACCTAGGTGGGGTCTGAGTCAAGGTTTGAAATGAAGAACAACTAATATAAACATTATTGCCAGGCACAGTGGCTCACGCCTGTAATCCCAGCACTTTGGGAGGCCGAGGCAGGTGGATCACTTGAGATCAGGAGTTCCAGACCAGCCTGGCCAACATGGTGAAACCCTATCTCTACTAAAAATACCAAAAAAATCAGCCTGGTGTGGTGGCACCTGCCTGTAATCCCAGCTACTCGAGAGGCTGAGGCAGGAGAATTGCTTGAACCCAGGAGGCAGAGGTTGCGGTGAGCCAAGATCACGCCACTGCACTCCAGCCTGGGTGACAGAGTGAGACTCTGTCTCAAAAATAAATGACTAAAATTTTTTTTAAAAAAAACATTATTATATGAGCCAAATAGTGCAGCAACTCCATGTACTAGGTTTTTGTGAGAAAATGAGGCTGAAATGGCAAAGCGCTTCTCTTGGGCACTGTAAATCAGAACGGTATACTTCTGGCCAAATGTGTCTCCCACTGAAGACTAAGAAGAGAACATGGCTGTCCTTTATATTGTCACTGTTGATAAATAGGCCCTCCTGGCAGCATGCCAGGTCATATCATGAAAGGACAGCTGTGGGTGGTGTGTATAGTGTCAGTCCATGAGAATGAGTCATGAGGCCACGCGGTGCAAGAACGAAAGATAAAGGAAGCAGCACCGACCAACGCTTCAATGTTTAATGCTTATGTCTCACTATGCCGATGAACTGCTGTTACAAAACGACTTCCCTTTAAAACAAAGACTCAAAAACCAAAATGAAGTGAGGCATTTCATGGGGCAGTCCACATGTCAGGATCACCTCCAGACTGTACTACTCCTGGTTACAAGCCACTCTGGCAGAACAAAACCCCAGATGACAGGCCTCAGTTTGGATTTCTTCATAGCAATGGAAACAGCAACTGCGCAGGCAGGCAGAGGTCTTTGAGTAGAGTTGGTGTCCCCTTGTTCCATTTCATTTTGTAAGTGTTCTATATTTTTCTGATTAAAGAGAATTTTGAAGAATCCCTAGTAACAAAATAGTAAAGATGTTGCACTGCCTCTGAATTTTCCTCTTATGATATGCACCAATGTATTAGTACATTCTCACACCACTGTGAAGAAATACCTGAGACTGGGTAATTTAATAAGCAAATAGGTTTAATTGACTCACAGTTCTGCAGGGCTGGGGAGGCCTCAGGAAACTTACAATCATGGCGGAAGGGGAAGCAAACATATCCTTCTTCACATGGTGAAAGCAAGGAGAAGTACAGAGCAAAAGGGGAAACACCCCTTATAAAGCCATCAGATCTCATGAGAACTCACTATTACAAGAACGGCATGGTGGTAACTGCTCCCATGAATCAATTACCTCCCACCAGGTCCCTCCCACAACACATAGGCATTATAGGAACTACAATTCAAGATGAGATTTGGGTGGGGACACAGCCAAACCATATCAACCAAGAGGTGACTGAAGCCAGACTTTCTGGTCCTTCATCATTCCTCCACTAAATGTTGCCATAAATCTATGGTAGAATAACATACCTTCTAGAGAAATTAGCAAAATGGACAAATGGTATAGAAAAGGAGAATAAGAGGTATGGAACTGATCTGGAGATTACTACAGGTACAAGAAGGTGTTAAATGGGATATTTCCTGACTCAGAGTTTTGTCCAAGGCCCCAAAGGTGAGAGCACAATGTTAAGTGTCTGCTGGTTCTAATGAGAGATGTTAGACCATTTACCCAGGGCTTACTAAATGATGAGCCAAAAACTCCTGTCACCCATGCCCGTTTGCCACTCTTCAGCTTATGTACAGGAGAAGGCAACAGTGAAAGAGGGTTGTTACAGTTCTGGAAGCTTCCTTCCCACCCCCACTCCAAGGCAAGTGAGGGTGACTTTGAGAGAACCACTCAGAGAGATTGACAGGTGCCCCTGTTGTAGAATGGTGTCTGACTCTCCAAAAAAAAAAAAAAAAAAAAAAAAAAAACAATAAATAGGCGAGAAGCCAGCTAGAGCTACCTAAGACCAACTGTGAAGATGACGAGAAGGGCTGCAGAGGGAACAGCCCTGCTTCCAGGGCTGGGCGGGGAGCAGGGCCGCTGGGTTGTTCCCATGGGCTAAGTGCACATCAAGCAAGCAGCTGGGCCTAGGCTGTCTTGGAAGGACCCTGACCAACAGGCCTGCAGGTGAGGTAACCCGACAGAAAAAGTTTGTGTGGGATGTGCTACCAAAAGCAGGAGCCAGCGGTTAACCAGAGGGTGCAGCATCTGAACCATGGAATGGGTAATAAGGGGCTACCAGCAAAGGGAGGGTCCTCCAAAAAATCTCCAAAGTGGGCCCCTCCAAAGAACAAAAGAGGTATTAGGTTGGTTTAAGCAATCTGTGGCCCACCAGCCAGGGACTGCCTGACCCGTTGAACTAGCTCTTCTGGAAGCCTCTGGGGATGTTCACTGGAGATACCATGTTCGCTGCTTCTCTGTCATTTCACCTGCATAAGTCTGAGAAATATGTTGCAGAACTTAAACATAAAGTTTCTGTTTCTATAATGTATGACTTTTTGTTCTATTTCCTAATATTCTGTAACTCCTGAGATTTCAAGGGAACTCTTCATCGTTTTAATCCCATGCCTTATGTACTGTGACTTATAAGAACATCCCCAGTTAAGCCCAGTGTCTGGTCCTGGTGTTTTATCAGGAAATGAACACCGGCCGGCACCTCAGAACCCAGAAAGAGGCAGTTTCTATGACCTCATTCCATGGAAAACATCTGTAACTGTTCCCTCAGCAATGTGTAACATTAGCCTCTGGAGAAGGCCCATAAGATTTTGTCTCTCTTCCGTGGGAATTTGCAGGAAAGGGCTGTCTGCATGAGCTCAGAATATCTATTAATATATTGCCACTCAGAGACTTAATAAGGATTGAAAAGAGGTTTCCGCTGCACTAAGGGAAATTTATCAAAGAGAATTCCAGAGTATTGAAGCAGCTGAAAGATGATTTTAAAACAAAGGCCTGAAAACTATGCATGATAAATTATCATAGATGTGAGTACTTTTATAGGTATTCCATTTTTAAATTGCCCAAAAGAACAAACTTTTCAGCAACCTCTTTAGAATCCACTGGCAGCCCTAGATTCATTCCAGATGAACTCAGCCAGAAATTTCTACAGCAATGAGCATGTTCTATATCTGTGCTATCCAATATGGTACCCACTAGCCACAGGTGGCTATTGAGAACTTGACATTTAGCTAGTGCAACTGAGGAACTGAAGTTTAAATTTTATCTGAATAGCCACATGTGGCTACTGTAGTAGACAAGGCAGGACTACGCAGTAATTATAGCTTGCCTCTTAGTTGAAATAATGGTCTTATCCTTCACACCAGAGAAAACACTAGGTTGTTTTTGATTTTAGACTTTTGAGTAATTTCTGTTTTTTTCTTCAGCATAGAGTTCATGAGAAATTGATTATAATATGCCTCAAAGCTCTAATGACCACTTCTGTAGTAACTTCTAGTTTCCAAACTGACTCCTTCAGATTGAGCCTTTCATAGTTTGAGTGCCATTGTTTTGACAAATATCAGATATTTTAAGAATTGCATGTTACAAATCTGATCACAAAGAAAGTATTTTTCCTAGGTAACTGTCTAAAACTAGAGATGGTTGGTCTAGGAGCCAATAGTCCTTCGGATTTTTAAATCAGTGTTTACAAAGTGGGGCAAGAGTACTCATAAAATGAACCAAAAAAGTAACAATGAGAAGAGAAATACCATTAAAGCATGTTAAATTAAATAAGCAGGAGGCTATTGGCTCAAGGCTGTCTCTGTACTTTGATTTTCTACACAATGAATTGCAATTTAACTTAGTACATAAATACACTGAAAGCTTAACCTAAGGAAGAGTATAATAAACAGCCAAGTCTCAGCCAAACACAAGCAGACAAGCTTCAGCCAATCACAAGCTGCCAACTTCTCAGATCATATCCAAATGATCTGATCATTGATTGCAACCAATCAGCCTATTTCTGTATTTTACTTCCATTCTCTGTCTATAAATACTCACGGCCCACAAAGCTCTCTGAACCTATTCTGATTCTGAGTGCTGTCCGATTCATGAATCATTCTTTGCTCACATAAACTCTGCCAAATTTAAATTACGTCAATTTTTTTTTATTTTAACAGGCAAAAGTAAAGATTATCAAGCATTCTTTTCCAACCAAACTTTAGTCAGTCTCCTGACTAGGCCTATCTGTGCACTTCCTTGTAAAATCCAGTTTTAGCAAAAAGCCTTGATAAATCAGTTTAGCCAAAAGCAACCACCCTCAATATCTGATCACCCTTAATATCTGATTTGGTTCCTCATCCTCCACCAACCTCCAGGTGACATCTGATCACCCTGGCCCGTCTTCAGCAAGAATCTTGTCAGGTTGGTTTAGACAGAATCCCCCTTACCCCTGATGTTTCCTCTTAATAATTTTCCATCCACTGACCCCCCTACCTTGCTCCTTGGCTATAAATTCTCACTTTTCCATGCTACAATTGAAGTTGAGCCCAATCTCTCTTCCCCACTGCAAGACCCTGTTGCAGTGGTACCTATGTCTATCTCAATGGTCCTGAATAAAGTCTTCCTTACCATGCTTTAACAAGTGACAAGTGTCATTAAATAATTTTTTTTTTTTGAGACCAAGTCTTGCTCTGTCGCTAGGCTGGAGTGCAATGGCTCGATCTCAGCTCACTGCAACCTCCGCCTCCCGGGTTCAAGCGATTCTCCTGCCTCAGCCTCCCAAGTAGCTGGGATTACAAGCACGTGCCACCACGCCTGGCTAATTTTTTGTATTTTTAGTAGAGACGGGGTTTCACCGTGTTAGCCAGGATGGTCTCGATCTCCTGACCTCATGATCCGCCTGCCTCGACCTCCCAAAGTGCTGGGATTACAGGCATGAGCCACCACGCCCAGCCAAATAATTTTTTCTTTAAAAAGGTATTATATAATCCTTAAACATTTTAGCCCTATAATAGACAGCAAGAAAAAAGTAACCCCTGACAGCTCTGAGCTGCCCCGGCAGTCACAGCTGGGCCTTGGTGCTGCGTGGAACATAAATACTTCACAGAACACCATCAGACGTGGCCACTCTTTGACCAGATGGATCAAGACAAAAACAAGACTCCTTCGTAATCACGTGGGAATGCTGAAAAAACGTAAACATTGTCCAAACCACAAAAATGACCAAACATCCCCTATCCCAGTTAATGAGTCACTGGTCTTGTCTCCCCTCCTTTTAGGTAAGATTTATTATGATACTTAATCATACAATCGCCCTCCTTCCTGCCAGCACCCAGTCCAGAGTATTGGATTGGATACTCTGTTTCCCTGAACCTTTCCCCAAATTACCTTGGGGTAAGGCATCAGCAAA